>NC_000001.11:40765956-41068986 GCF_000001405.40 Homo sapiens
TTCTATGAAAGGTTTATTGATTCTGCTTCCCCTTGGGAGGTGTTTGGCCAGAAGCTAGTGCTGAACACCAAAGATCCTAAAAGCCCCACAGACCCCCATCCAGCCTGGCTCTTGGGGACAGAGATGGTTAAGCAGTCCAGCTTTTGCCTCCAAAATGTGCAGCATGGGGCAGGGCAGTGTGAGGGCTATGATGCGGAATGATGGCTGTTTGCTTTGGGATCCTGGCAGATGCTGGATCTCTTTACAGATGGGAGCGAAAGAGGCCCACACTTAATGTACAGGCATTCTGATGATGTCAGTCAGATAAATTCCTAAGATAAGCTGTGATCATGTAGCTAAGAGCTGGCAAATAATGAGCATGCAGCCATGCTGTTCTCACCTTTGTGACAGGATCTTCTGGGAGTTTTTTCTGAAGTCCATTCAGGGAATATATTCTCTTCTGTGCTGTGTGACTTGTGGGATGTGGATGTTCTGATTTTGCTTGTTTTGACCTCTGTTTAAAAGGGACTTTTTTCAGGGCAGGCTTCTTTGGAGGGCTTGAGGGGTAGGGGGCAATCAACATCTCTGGTCATGGAAAGTTTGCCTGTTTGAGATTATACTCAATGTCTTATGGTCTCTTTGTCTCTGCCCCTGCCCTAGGTGCAGCTGAATGCCGGCCAGCTGCAGTATATCCGCTTAGCCCAGCCTGTATCAGGCACTCAAGTTGTGCAGGGACAGATCCAGACACTTGCCACCAATGCTCAACAGGTATGTGCCCCAGAGACACAAGGCCTGTGTTGGAGACCAGGAGCAGATGGCTTCTGACAGGAAAGGAGCGCTCAGCACACAGCTGTCTTGCCACCTCATCCTTCAACCAGAAGCACCACCCCCACACCCTCCATATCCTTCTGCACCCAAGAGGCATGGGTGGTAATTGGAACATTAGATTCAAAGTGTTTTCTCTTACCATCTTGTTCTCAAGGGGCAAAGAAATGCAAGTCAGGGGAAGCCTCGAAGGTGCCTGAAAGAAACCTTACAGGTGTGCACACCCATCAGACCTGGGAAATGTTCGACAGATCGCCTGATCGTCAGGCTGTTTCCATCTTTAAACCCAAGTGGCTGTTGTGTTCTGGCACCTCCTGTGCTCTTTGGAAAGCTTACTTAGATTTTACCCCTACCTCCTCTTGCATCCCTAACCAGAAAAATTGCCCTTCTCCTCTCCTCTCGTGCCCTACAATATTGATGGCTATGAGTCACAGATGGTGAGGGGGCTGCCTCCCTGGGCTTGGGGGTGTTGAGGGACATGGGTATTACTTGCAGAAGATGGGGGGTGCTGGTCAAGGGGAGGCATTGTTAATGGATTCTTTTGCCTCAGACCCAAAAAAAGCAGCGATCGTTTAAGAGCTGGACCCGTCTGGCCCAGTTGCATTTCTGGTGATGTATCTATTGACAGTGGTGACAGAGCTGAGTTTGTAGAGCAGGTCTCCAAAGATCTCATTTGGGAAAATACGAGGAATGAGCCAAAAGCAAGGCTTCTGAGTTCCATATAGTCTCTGGGATCATTAAGGGCTGTTTCTGTGCCCACTCCCCGGCTTACCTAAGGACGCGGCTTTTCCGTAGCTGATACTGACTCACACCCTTCCCCCAGCCCCTCTTTTTAACCTCATAAGATTCTTCCCTGGGATCCAAAAAACATAACGGCATGGGAGTGGGAGGAAATGAGAAGGAAGCTTCTTGGTTCCTCAGAAGTCAGTTTGGGGCTGGGCACAGTGGGTCACGCCTGTAATCCCAGCACTTTGGGAGGGAGGCTGAGGCAGGTGATCACATGAGGTCGGGAGTTTGAGACCAGCCTGGCCAACATGGCAAAACCGTTTCCACTAAAAATACAAAATTAGCTGGGCGTGGTGGTGCATGCCTGTCATCCCAGCTACTTGGGAGGCTGAGACACAAGAATCACTTGAACCCAGGAGGTGGAGGTTGCAGTGAGCTGAGATTGTGCCACTGCACTCCAGCCTGGGCGACAGAGTGAGACTCTGTCTCAAAAAATAAAAATTAAAAAAAGTCCGTTTTGGGAACAGAACTAAAGCCAAAAAATGGGAGAGGCTGGGGAGAAGCAAGAAAGTGGTAGCTGAAGGCAATGAAAATCTTTGTAACAACAGGTTGTAATTATGACAACCTAATACTTAGTAGGTGCTCAGTAAATGTTTGTTGAATGAAGCTGAATGAATAATATGTAAATAAAATGTAAAGGTAAATGAAATCTCAGCTAATATGAATGGCAATCCTGCTGGCCACAGAGCAGTTAACCTTCTTATCTATGTGGAATATTTTCCATTTGTCTCAGGCTCACTTGTTTATTCTGCAACATTTCTGGAATACTAACTTTGTATGGGCTCCTGCCCTCAGGCATCTTATAGGCTGTTGGAAGGAAAAGGACCAAAATAAGGAACAATAGTAAAAAATAGTCATGAAGCCTGTCATACCTGTTCCCTTTCTTGTTCCTCATAGCCTCATGGGTAGGCCTGCAGGGGTTGTTTTTGGCCATGGTGAGGACATTTGAGAGGACAGTCCTTGTCTTGCAGGCTGGCTGTGATGATTCCAGGAAATGGTACACAGAGGACACTGCTGGCCAAATGTTCCATAGGAACACATGTGCATGCACACCGCAGTCTTCTTTCTAGTTTACCGAGCTGCTCCCAGCAGTTGTCATTATATATGCAGTTCTACATGTCAGTACATTTATCTAAAATCCATTCACAGTCCACACATAAGATTTTAAGTACTTGTGATAAATGTTGTCTTTGTTCCACTCCCGGTCCCTCCCCTTTTCTCCTCCCCTCCTTTGGCCCAGAGGGCTGCACAGTGCCTCTCTCGGAAAAAGTACTTCATAGGTTTGCCATGAGGACTGCTGGGACCAAGGCCACTTGCTCGCCAGGGTGTTTCATATTCCAGTCAGATGATCTGGGTGATACGGGTTTGGTTTGGAGCCCACCTTCCAAGAATGAAAGAGGCCACTTACCACTTTGTCTGACACTTTGCAGTCCGCCTTCACTGGCTGAAAGACTGACTCTTAGGACTTCTACCCCAAACCATAGCACCTAGGGTCCATGTGTTCTGTTTGAGCCTCAGAGTTTGAGATGAGTGGGTGGTTGAGGGAGTAGGCATTCATTAGAGAGATGGGTGTGGGAACTATCTATTATGTGCTCCAGGATTCTCGATGTCACTTTGTGCTGCCAACTCTTGACGTAGCCATCAGTGCTAGATTAGGAGGGGTGCTTGCTTGCTTACTACCCATTGAGCACCTGCTGGGCACTTTATATGCATTGTCTCATTTGATCTTTATGACCCTCTTTTGGGTGGTGGGCTGGTGGATCAGACCCTGCAGCTGACATACCAACTCTACCATCTTGATTCTTACAGATTACACAGACAGAGGTCCAGCAAGGACAGCAGCAGTTCAGCCAGTTCACAGATGGACAGGTAGGGTACCCAACCTGGGCTGGGCAGAGGGTGAGGATTTGCGGGGCAGGGTAGCAGGTAGTATCTGGGTTTGGATGGTTAGGGCAACTGTCCTGTCCTCTACTAACAGTGAGTGGACAGAAATTGTTAAAACAAGTACGGTATTTAAATCAGGGCACCTATCCTTTAGTTTTATAGACTTAGTGGGAACTAAAATAATCTTAGACATGTAGCCCAAATTGCCATTTTACAGATGAGTAAACTGAACCCTGGAGATGGGAAGTGCCTTGTCCATGCTCCCCTAGATGTTCATTGCAGAGCCAGGACTAGAGAGCAGGTTTCCTGTTTCCCTCTCTAGAACTGTATTTTTTTCCCCTCTAAGCCATGATGCTGTTTTAATAGCATGGACTGTTGAGACGCAGAGAACACGTGACCTCTTGAGCTCTCTGGGTGCCTGAAATTCAGTCATTTTCAGTCCATGCGAGGAGAGAATCTTCCCTTTTCCCTCTGCTTTCCCCTCACAGTACAGTCCCAGAGACCACTGAGGACATGATAGGATGACATGCCCAAACTTGTGCCCTCTGCTGCTCAAAAGGGAGAAGAGCTGGCATCAGGACCCACCTCTGGCTTCTGCCAGCACCACATGCTAGGCTTACATGCCAGGGCTCCCATGAGGGCTTGGCTTTTGGCTTCTTTGGGGAGCGCCTGGGAAACCAAGTAGTCAATTAGCCCTGACCTTCCTAAGTGGCTGTGTGAGTATCTTCTCCACCCCTGGAGCGTCTTGGCTATAGTTAAGTGTTTAATACCAGGCCACCTCCTTAGCAGGGTCCATGGAGAAAATTCAAATTCAGTTTAGTTTCAACCTGAGCCAGATATTCTGAGAAAAGAAGGAGAGGAGGGGGTAATCCTACTGCCCCTGCCAGTGTAGATTACCAAGAGTTGGGGAAATGCTGACTTCCAAGCTGCTGGTACAGTGGTTCGAATTGCTTGTGTTTGCCACAGAGGAACAGCGTGCAGCAAGCTCGAGTCTCTGAGCTAACGGGAGAGGCAGAGCCCAGAGAAGTGAAAGCCACAGGAAATTCAACTCCCTGCACCTCTTCCCTGCCCACCACACACCCCCCCTCACACCGGGCTGGTGCCTCCTGTGTCTGCTGCTCCCAACCCCAGCAGAGCTCCACTTCCCCTCCTCCTTCTGACGCCTTGCAGTGGGTGGTGGTTGAGGTATCTGGGACCCCCAACCAGCTCGAGACCCATAGGGAGCTGCATGCCCCTCTCCCAGGGATGACCTCACTCTCTCCTCTCCACCCCTCGCAGCAGCTCTACCAGATCCAGCAAGTCACCATGCCTGCGGGCCAGGACCTCGCCCAGCCCATGTTCATCCAGTCAGCCAACCAGCCCTCCGACGGGCAGGCCCCCCAGGTGACCGGCGACTGAGGGCCTGAGCTGGCAAGGCCAAGGACACCCAACACAATTTTTGCCATACAGCCCCAGGCAATGGGCACAGCCTTCCTCCCCAGAGGACCCGGCCGACCTCAGCGCCTCCTGCAGGCTAGGACACTGGTGCACTACACCCCATGCCTGGGGGCCGAGATTCTCCAGCAGAAAGATGCAATATTTTTTGTTTCCTTTTTTTCCATTTTTTTCTCTAAGGAATCAATATTTCAATATGTTGAGTGTGTGTCCAATGCTATGAAATTAAAATATTAAATAACATATTTATGGCATTTTCTTGAAGAGTGTGGTTGAAGAAATATTTCTCCTTTTGTTTTTCTTTTTTTTTTGTTTGTTACTGCCACTTCTTTTTAGGAGCAAATCTCCCCAGGGGTGTACGGTATTTCTTGACTCTGGGAACAGCTGCTACCCCCAAGACTTGCCACGTTGTTCTGCCCTCAGATGGAATTAGGTGAATGTGTGTAGCTGCTTTTTCACTCGTGGTCCTCTCCCCATCCCTTGCTCTGACCCCAGAGCTCTGTGTATTTGCATCCAGAGGCCATGGAAACATTCTTTGCATTTAAGAGACAGATTTATTCCCTGTGGAGAGTGGGTGGATTCATTGCCACACTCTTTTCTCCCAGGGACCCAGGAAACTAGGACTTTGTGTGTTTGCTGCCCACCTCCCTTTTATTTTTTAAATGCATTAAAAACTGTGCTAGTCTCCTTTGCATGGACTTCAAGCTGCATGAAATGCAATAAATCTCATTTTAGATAATTTAGAGTCTGGGTTTCTGTGTCTGGGGGCATTCATGGGGCCACTTTGCTTGGAAAGGTTCATTTGCCCTCAGTTTGTGTGTCTGGGAGAGAGGGCCACCCTTGTGAGAAGGAGATGTTCAAAGCTAAGGGAACTTAATGCTGTGTACCTAATTCAAACTGAGGTCCTTAGCCGATCTTTTTTTTTCTGGCTCTGTTGCCCAGGCTGGAGTGCAGTGGTGTGATCACTGCTCACTGCAGCATCAATCTCCTGGGCTCAAGCAATCCTCCCACCCCAGCCTCCTGAATTGCTAGGACTACAGTCAGGTACCACCATGCCCAGCTAATTTTTTTTATTTTTTATTTGTAGAGACACGGTTTCACTGTATTGCCCTGGCTGGTCTTGAACTCCTGGGCTCAAGTGATCCTCCCACGTCAGCCTCCCAAAGTACTGGGATTACAGGCATGAGCCACTGTGCCTGGCCTACCTCGGCTGGTCTTAAAAGTGAGCTTCATCAGAATATATTTGCTGCTCAGAGATGCTTGCCTGCTGGACTCACTAGATTCTGACCCGTGTATCAGACTGAGCTGTGTCCTGCCTGGTTGAGGGTCAAGAAGGGGGCATCTCTCATGGAGAAAGCTGGCTCCGTCAAAGCCTGGGGTAAATCCTTCCAGTCCTGCCTGGCACAGGCTATCATTCAGCTACCTGCTGTGGCCATGCCCATTAACAAAGGCATGGCATCTGCCATAGAGAACAACCCAGGCCCCTTGTCAGCCAAGAGTTCTACAGCCAAGACCTACTTCCTGTTAATTGAAGCAGGGAGAATAGAGAGAGCATTCCACTTCATTGGCCACAGAGGCCAGTGATGAGCCATCTTTCTTACCTCCACCATGCCATCCTTCCAGCTGGAATGAGCTGCTGTTGTGGGAAGAACAGTGAGCTGGGTGCCAGGAAATGTAGGTATTTGCCCTAAACCCATGGGCAAATACCTCCCTTGTCTTTGGGACTGTCTCAGTGGGTGAGGTGGAAATTGGGGAAGGGCTTATATTAGATGATTTCAAGTCTGAACCTGATGCTTTTATGATTATCTTATGAAATATCCACTGTAAACCATGGGGATAAGACATGAGTTAGTTTTCAACAAGTAGTTTCAGATTACTGCCCTCTGATCTTCCTCCCAGGAGATTCCCCAGATTTCTGGGATCTGCTTAAATACTTTGCCTAGATTCAAGTCTGGCCAGCTCTGCTCTTTACTCCAGATTGGGGCATCCTGTTGCCTATATTGTCTTGATGATGGTAGCTTATAAAATACTCAGCATCTACTTCACTATGCCTTACCTCAGTCCATAAGAAAAAATTGCAATGAAAACAACACAATGAAATAATAAAGTAAAACAAATTAGAATTAGGAAAAATACAATTGAGTAGGAAATCAGGATTATAGAAAACAAGAACACAGATATCATGGTTATAAAGACCTACGTATTTGTTAGAATTATTTGACCCTGAGCTTCCTGGCCACCAGAGCAAAAAGAGATGAGACCAGGTAAAGGATTCACATTATAAAAGAAAGACAGATAACTTTTTTTTTTTTTTCAAAAGCAAAGTTTTTTTAGCTTTAAGGTTTTGGATACATGATGCTGTCTATCCAAAATGACATGGAGTGTCACCAGGGTAGGTAAAGCAGGTGACAGTTCACCATGAGAAGTCAGTAAGTTGGCCCCCATAACAGTGAGTCAGGGTCAGCCCCAACCTGCTCGCAACTCCCAAATTCATTCCCTCCTTCTATATCTAGTTACCTTCATTCTAGCTCTGGACTTTATTCTGAAGGGGGTCTTCTGGCCTTTCCAGCTGTCCAGAACTCAGTCTTAGCGAGACATCATATAATAGCAAGTTTTCACTGATAGCCGTGTGCCTAGCCCTGTGTGCAGGGAATGTAAGAGGGAGAAAGTGAACATGCAGAGGGGCCCCAGGCTCAGAGAAAAGGCAGAACCTCCACAATTTAATTTCATGGTGCCCTGTGTCCCACCTTGTTTGCTCTTTGGTTCATTCCTGAAAACCCAAGTGTGATTGGAGTTTCAGGCCAATGAATGGGTCCCCATTTTCCTGTAGACTTCCATTCTTGTTTTAGAGATGTTTTGATCAGTTGTGATTAGCAAGCAGCTTCCCTGCTGAACACTTTCCCTTTAAATTGCCCTGCCAGCAGGGCCCATCCTGGTGTAAACAAACCCTTTGGCGCAGCCCAAGAGAGCCCCTATCTAATACCCAGCACGATCCCCTTACATCCGGAGCACTCTTTAAACATTTTTCCTAGCACTTGCAGCATCCGTCCTCCCTCCCGATGATCTTCACAGTGACCCTGCAGGGGAGACAGGAAGAGGTATCATGATCCCTGTGTTAGCGATGGAGTCATGGGAGGGCTAGTGAAGTGCAGTGACTTGCCCAAGGTCACTCCATGAATTGAGGGTGGAATTGAAACCAAAACACTGATCTCCTGACCCCCTGTGCATACACAGTTGCTCTCTGGCCAAAGGTGACATGTATATGTGTAAGAAAGAAGCAGGCTATTGAAATGTGAACTATCCCCTTTTAGTCAGTCTTCCTGAACTGACTGGCCCAGCCTTGAGTATACATGAAATAAATAAAGCAGTTGGGTCTGGTCTGGGGACAGCTGGTGGTTGGGAACTTGCCACAAGGATGACCTTGGAGATTGGAGACCCCTGGAATCTGGAGCAGACAATCTGGCTGGCTTCCTTGCAGCTCAGGTCTGCGGAGGCCACAAGGGGGCAGCATGCAGCCCTCACCTGTGTCTCTGGGAGGTGCCCTGTCCCACTGTCATCCCAACTGTAGACAATTCTAGGAACTAGTGGGAGTATGACTGTCCCCTTTCTTAACCCACTTCCTGATAAGACCCTCACCCTTTGAAGGGAGGGTCCTCCCTAGGATAACAGTGAGAGCTGGAAACTCTACCCTCTCCAGAGTATTGCCTCAAGGTAGGTGGTTAGATTTTAATAAGGACTTTCTGACAGCCCAAGTTGGTTCAAGGTCCTTCTTATCTCCCCAGCTTTGTTTCTTTTCACTCTCCTCTCCCTCACCACCTCCTGTACTCTATGCTCCTGTCACACCCAATTACTCACTGATCCCTGAACTTAGCTCCATGTTTTCAGAATGTGCTAGCTACAATTCCTGAAATGCCCTTTTACTTCCCTTTTCACTTATTGAGCTCCTATACATCCATCAAGGCCCAATTTAAATGGCCCTTGCCGAGAAACTTCTAATTCCTGAGCCAGAGTCAGCAAAGACCTCTTCAGTGCTCCCATGTGAACTTCTACAACCTCTATTATTAGAGCTCATATACAGTCATTCAGCAGCTATTTCTTTGGCACCTTCTGTGTGTCAGACGTTGTTTTAAACATTGTGAATACAGCTTAAAACAAGTCTGACTTCTCTGCTACCATGGAGCTTATATTGATGATTGGGTTGAGGGCAGGGGTTGGGTTGGGGAGAGAGACAACAAACAAAAGACCAAGTTAGCCTCTAAAGAAACCCTCTATCCTCTGTTAGTGTTTTCTGGTTTGGGCTGTCTTCCTCACAGGGAGTTCTCAAGTCCAGGGTCATCTCTGCACCGCTGGAGTGCAGCACAGAGCCTGGCACCAAGGGGGTAACAGTAACTGATGAGTGAGTGAATGAACACAAAGCCATCCTTGCAGCCACACTGCGCACATTCCCACCTCTGCTCATCTGCTCTCACCATGACATTTTTTTCTTAACAATTTTTGTTTGTTTTTTTTTCAGATGGAATCTCGCTCTGTTGCCAGGCTGGAGTGCAGTGGCGCGATCTCAGCTCACTGCAACCTCCGCCTCCCGGGTTCAAGTGATTCTCCTGCCTCAGCCTCCTGAGTAGCTGGGACTACAGGCGCCCGCCACCACGCCCAGCTAATTTTTGTATTTTTAGTAGAGACGGGGTTTCACCATGTTGGCCAGAATGGTCTCGATCTCTTGACCTCGTGATCCGCCCACCTTGGCCTCCCAAAGTGCTGGTATTACAGGCGTGAGCCACCGTGCCCAGCTCTTATTAACAATTTTTTATTGAGCTCTGATAATATGCCAGGCAGGGGTGTTCAATGGAGATTATTGTTTAAGAAATTTCTGTCTAGGAAAATATGTCTAAGGCCAGGCATGGTGGCTTATGCCAGTAATCCTAGCACTTTGGGAGATGGAGGCAGGAGGATCACTTGAGGTCAGGAGTTTGAGACCAGCCTGGGCAACATGGTGAAACCCCATCTCTATAAAAAATACAAAAATTAATCGGGTGTGGTGGTGCGTGCCTGTAATCCTAGCTACTTGGGAGGCTGAGACAGGAGGATTGCTTGAGCCAGGGAGGATCACTTGGGTGACAGAATGAGACCCTGTCTCAAAAAAAAAAAGAAAAGAAAAGAAAAGAAAAGAAAATACATCTAAAGCTTGGTACTCATGGATTCTCATTTCATCTTCACATCCTCGTTAGGTAGGCATTCTCCCTATTTTATAAGTAAGAAACTGGGTCTCAAACATGTTAAAATATTACCCAAGGGCACCAGCTGGTTGCCTGGAGCCAGATGCTCCTAGAAGCCTCCTGTGTCAGCTGGCCCAGCCCCCATGGGTTTTGTCCCCTCCATTTGTGATTATTTTCCTACAGAGAATGAGAGTCCCCTTCCCACCAACTCTTGAGTAGGGACCTAGCTTTTGTCCCACAGCTCCAGCCATCTATAGGCCTCAGTGAGGTGGCATCTGATCTCCTAAGAGGAGTGGACCCTCCTGTGGAGGCCCAGTGCCCAGTCACATGAGCAACTTGGCCATGGCTTCCTCAAGGCCTCGTGTGCTAGGCTGCTGGTGTCTTCCCCAGCTTGGGTGCTGTTCCACTGCCATGGCTTAGGAAGAGGGGACAGAAGGACAGTAAGGCTGGCACTCAGGAGGGAAGAACCTGAGCTGGGCCAGGCTGGGCTGGCCTCCTGTGTCTGGCTGGTGCTGAGGAGAAGTCTGAAACAGAGCCCGGCCTCCCTCCAATCCCTGAGACTCCAGCCCCTCCTTAGAGTCCTGGCCCTGCGCTGTGCCCATCATCTCTGTGAACTCCCAGCCCCTCCCCCAAGTTCCTGTTCTCTCTTTCTGGGAAGGTCTGTGGAACAGCTTTCTAAGATCTTGTATGTGTCAAATGTCTTAATTTTGCCCTTTCATTTAAGTGACAGTTTGGCAAGGTATGGAATTCTAGGTTCACAATTATTTGCCCTCAGCACTTTGAAGATACGATTCCATTGTCTCTTGGCATCTGTTGTTGCTGATGAGAAGTTTACTGTCAACTCAATTATTGGACCTTTGTAGATAAGCCATCTTTTCTCTCTGGTGGCTTTTAGAATTTCTATTTATTCTTGATATTCTACACTTTGACTACAAGGTGTCTAGATAGAGTTTTGTTTTCTAAGATATCTTACTAGGTAGTCTGTGGGCCTTTTAAATCTAGAAATTCATGGATTATTTTTGGCAAGTTCAGTCACTCTTTCCAGTATCTCTTTTTGAAACCCTTAATGCATATGCTAGATTTTCTCATTCAATCTTCTATGTCTCTTTTCTTTCATCTGCTTAATCTCTTTATTCTGTGCTTCAGTCTGAAGGATTTCCTCAGTTCTAGCTTCTAATTCATTAATTCTCTTCAGATATATTTGATAACCTATTTATTGATTTTTTAAAAAATGTTAGTAACTTTAGTTTTCATTTCTAAAATTTCTAGATAGTTCTGTTCATTTCTGCTACGTTTCTGTTTGATATCTTTCTATTCTTGTTTTATATATGCTACTTCTTCCTTTATCTTTTTGATGATTTTAGCTATATTAAATTTCCTTTCAGATTGCTCCATTAGCTCTAGGTCTTTATGTATAAATTCTCCCATGAGAGGTATGTCTCTTAAGGTATGGTGCTTCTAATCTGTTATGGAATTTATCCTTGAGATTATTTTCAGCACATTTTCCTGATTGTGCCCTGGGATGTGGAGGCCATCCTAAGGGATGATTTCTCAGTTGTATGTGCCTAAGCCATGTGGAAGTGCAGCAGCCTCAAATCAGCTCTTATAGCAGTGTCTTGGTTTGGGATTTTTGCATGGCCTGGATATCAAATCCTGAGCCCACACCCCCTGTGGACAGACTGAGGTGTCACACTTATAAGGATCCTCTTTCTGCTTAAAGCCAGGGACCAGGTGGCTAGCAGACAGAGATTTTAATGTTCACGGCAGGCAGCACTTTACCAGACTCAGCTTTAAGCAGAAAGCCTACTGTTGTCCCTGGCATTTTTGAGGTTGGCAACTATACTTCCCACCCTCCCACCCCACTGGACACTGGACCCCCCCTCAGAAATACACCTTCAATTCCTGCTTGCCACCAGGAATTACCTCTTATGGTCTTACACAATTCCCCATTCTTGCTTTTGGTGCTTGAATATGTACTTTTTTTTTCTTTTAATTATCAGCTGGGCATGGTGGCTCATGCCTGTAATCCCAGCACTTTGGGAAGCCAAGGCTGGTAGATCACTTTGAGGCCAGGAGTTCGAGACCAGCCTGGCCAACATGGTGAAACCCCATCTCTACAAAAAATAAAAATATTAGCCAGGCATGGTGGTACACACCTGTATTCTCAGCTACTCGAGAGGCTGAGGCAGAGAATTGCTTGAACCCAGGAGGCAGAGGTTGCGGTAAGCCAAGATCACACCACTGCATTCCAGCCTGGGTGACAGAGCAAGAACTGGTCTCAAAAAAAAAATTTTTTTTTAATTTAAAAAATTATTTAGCACTTATCTTGCTTTGCACATCTAATATTTCAAAGAGGAGGAATTTAATAAGCGTTTAATCAAGCTTGACCTGGAAATCCTGGTCTCTGAGCCTTCCATCCCTGTCACCCAGTCTCTAGCCTCTCTTTGGAGCCCCCATTCTCCTCCCTGAATCCCATCTCCCTTACCAGGTTGTCATCCTCTTTCTGAACCCCATTTCCTGCTACTCAACCTTCTGTCCCTCCTACTCACGTCATCTCCCTCCCTGAGCCCTCATTCAAGTTTCTCCCACCAGGCGAGCATGGAAGTTCTTTTCCACTGCACACTCAGCAACTCAGAAAAGTCCTTCCTTTTCATTTTTCAGCCAACTCTATTGTCCCAGTGGTTCTCACCGAGAACATGGAGTTAACCAGCAGGACCACAGCACTGTTGCCTTCTGCATGGTCTTCCAGAGGTAGAGGTTAGAGGAAGGATCTTACAGGAAGAATCCTGAAGGCAGAGGAGGAGCCCTGCAAGAAGGGAGGGCTTTGACCTTCATTTCCACGCCCCTTTCTCCCTCTGTGTCTCCTCTGTGTGGGCCCCCTCCAGCCCTGAGGATCAATGGGGGTTCACTTTCACTGAGCTCAGCAACACTGCTCCCTCCCCACTTCCTGTGGCTCTGAGCTGACTGGCCTGCTTGGTCTAGGCTGGGGGCTGGTCAGTGCCACACCCAGATCTGGGGAAAAGAAATTCCTTGGCTGGCGAGGTGGCTCACGCCTGTAATCCCAGCACTTTGGGAGGCCAAGACGGGCGGATCAGGAGGTCAGGAGATCGAGACCATCCTGGCTAACACGGTGAAACCCCGTCTCTACTAAAAATACAAAAAAATTAGCCAGGCATGGTGGCGGGCGCCTGTAGTGCCAGCTACTTGGGAGGCTGAGGCAGGAGAATGGTGTGAACCCGGGAGGCAGAGCTTGCAGTGAGCCGAGATTGCGCCACTGCACTCCAGACTGGGCAACAGAGCGAGACTCCATCTCAAAAAAAAAAAAAAAAGGAAAAGAAAAAGAAATTCCTTGGGCCCCTCCAGCACCTCGTGGCCTAAGTCTCTTGTCCTTTCTGGGCTGCACAGGGAAAAGGAAGAAGGCCTTATCTTTCTCTCATGCTTCCTCCTGCTCTCAGTAGAGGTGGGTTCCCAAAGGTCAATAATGTGATGCCATCACCCCCTGAGCACTCTCCACTCCAATCCCCTCCTAGGAAGGCTTCCTAGATTGAGAAGAACTGCTAGGACCAGGGAATTCCCAGAGCATCTCCCTGCTCCACCTGAAACACGTACCTGAAGAGCAGTCAGACGAATGGGTCACGTGCGTACAGCCCCCTGCATGGTCTCTAACTTTTTCATGCATTATTGCATTCAGTGCTGATAGCCAGGGAAAGTGGGGAAGAGGTGGAGTGACTTGCCCAAGGTCCCCAGGTATTCCACAGGTGGAGCTAGGACTGGAAGCCCAGCCATGACTTGTAGTTTAGGGCTCTTTCTGCCCCTGGCACTGCCAGCCTCTCTGGATGCTGGTGCCTCCCACTTCACCCATCCTGGGTTCTCTCCTAGGGAGCCACAGCCTCTGCAGCATGCCCAGCCTCAGGGCCTGGCCAGGCTCCCTGTTTCTTATCAGGCCAAATTGGACCCTCCATCCTGGCATTCAAGTCCTCCTGCGTGCCCCTGGCTAAGCTTGCTCTTCCGAATGCTCTGTAACATTCTTCCCACACCAGTACACACACACACACACACACACACACACACACACACACACACATTAAAGCAGCACCTGAGTGAATTAACAGCCATACAAGGCAAGTCTCTTCACTGAGCCTCAGTCTTCTTGAGTGTAACATGGGACCGTGAACAGTATTACCGCACAAGGTTGTGGGGATGCTGAAATAGACAATGCAGGTAAAACATCCTGCATAAGGCTTAGGATTGACTGCAGGCCTCATTAATGGTAGCTGCAGGCATTATTGGTTGTACTTCTCTGCGTCTCTCCCAGTCCTCCCCACTCCTGTCCCCAAGAAAGCTCCCTCTGCCATTGCCTGTGGAGACTTCTCCCTCCTCTGAGCTCTAGCAACCCTTGGAGCTGTAAGAAAGCCCAGGGTCAGGTGGCTAGCAGGCAGAGAGATTTTAGGAGGCAAGTGAGTGGAACCCAGACCTCCTCGCCTCGATTCAACTAGCGCACTTCTGCTCCAAAGCTTTGTACACATTGGGGTGCTACCTTACAATTCTGTCGGTAAAAAGGATTCCATTGCTGATAAAGTCTAAAAATCACTGACTTAAACCACCCCACCTCTCACTCCAGGAAAGGAACCTGAGCCCTTGATTGACCTGGGGTCACAGTGGGAATCACTGACAGGCTTGAGCCTAGCCTGAGAGACCATAGTCCTAGCCACTTCCTGCCCTCCATCCTTTCAGACCTGGAAGTTTGATCCCTTGGCACGAGTAAGTTCTAGAGAACAAGGATTGGCCGTGTATGGTTATCCTCAGCTCCCAGCACCCAGTGCCCAGCCGGCAGGTGCCAGTCAGTGGAAAGCACAGGTCACAGTTCTGGGGGTCACCAATAGGCTGTGTAGACTTAGGTGAGTCCCTGTGCCTCTCAGAGCCTCAGCTGTCTCAAGCAAGCTGCTGCTCTCTGGCCCAAAAGGGACTGGGCCTGGCACACAGATGGCACTCAGCAAATGGAAGCACTCGCCCTCCCACCCTTCCTCTCAGTCAATACTTGCTCCATTGATGGCTGATGGGGACAGTGATGAATTACAGAAGATCTTGGAGCCCTGCCCACTTCTTGCACAGATGGGGAAACAAGTCCAGGGTGGGGAAGAGACTTGCCCAGGTGGGAGTGAGTCTTAGTGAGTGCGTCTGTCTCCTCAGTGGGGCAGGGAAGCTTTCGCAGTGTTACCAGGGTGGAGACAGGGCCTGGGGGTGGAAAGGAAACTGCTGAGGGTGGGGTCAGGGGAACAGGTGGGAGAGGGAAGGAGGAGGGTAGGGAACCACGGTGTCCAGTCCCCTCCAGCAGAGGGGCCAATTGAGGGAGCCTGAGACAGCTGTTTGCTCAGAAAAGTGTCTTAGTCACTAAAGGTTGTGGTGGGGAAAGTCCGTCCTCCCAGTCATGTCCTGGGAATCCGGATGGCGCAGGAAGGCCACCCGGTGACCCTAAGAGTGGCCACCTGTCCTCTCTGAACTGGACTTTCTCTTCTGGCCCTTCCACTCTTCCATGTGTACACATATGCCAAGTAAATTTGCTGTGGCCTCCTGGAACCATCTCCCCCATCCCTCTCACCCCTTAGGAAGAGTTCTGTGTCCCTCCATTACCCATACGCCCGCAGGAGAAACAGGCTTCTATGCCCTATGAAAGTCCTTCCTGAGATCTAACTTCCATCCCTCTAGCTGCAACCACAGTCTCTTTCCTCTTTCTGCTGCCTTTGAGCAGGTAATCTGGAGCTGGAGTTGGGAATGATGAGACACTCCCTGCAGTGAGGGCTCCTCACAAGGTGGGGAAGGGACCTTTGTAGTCCCCCAGCTGGGAAGAGAGCCATGGGATCCAGAGGTGATGCTGAGCTTGAAGATTAGATTTCCCAGAACAGACCCAGTTTCAGATATTCTGGGTGTTAAGGGCAACCTGAATTCAAATTCCATTTCTGCTACAGAACAAGAGCCTCAAAAAGACCCCCTAGAAACACCCCCAGGGCGCTTGCAACTGCTTTCCTGTGCACCTTTCATGTCCTAGACCTTAGTCCCATTTCCCAGGATCTATGATTGAGAAGAACCAGCCAGGCAGTTCCACAGAGGGAGGACAGTGCTGCATATTTTGGGGGTGCCATCTTCAGCTCATAGAGAGAAGATGGGTTAACTCAGCCCAGGCACCACATCCCTAGTGGGGCCTTGGGGTCCAGAAACTGTCCCCAGCTTCCAGTAGAGGATCCGGGCATAACCTGCCCTGGGGCACCCGGCTCTGGCCCTGGGCACACCTGGACCAGGAGCAGCAGAAGAGATTCAGGTCAGACCCCAGAGGGCACCCCCAGCTAGGCAGAGGGGAAAGGATCACTATGGGGTAGGGGTGTGGGCCGGTTGCCAAGCCCAGTTTAGGGACCCCACAGATCCCTGCAGCCCACGGCCCTGCCTCCCTCCCTCCCTCACTGGCGCTCAGCAGATCAATGCTGCCTTTGCTGACAGCTGAGAATCGAGCTCGCCTTCCCGCCCCTTCCCCCGCCCCTCCCGCTCGGCTTCGTCCCTCGAGATCCTCCCGGAGGAACCGGGAAGAGTTTGCTGCGGAAGGCTCACCCTGGGGCAGGGCCTGCGGAGGGAGCGGCTGGTGTGGCCGCAGCTTTCCGTGGAGGAAGAGGGAAAGAGGATCGGGAAACCCAAGTTACCAACCCTGTGCAGGGCCCAGGAGGGCTAAAGGAGAGGGACTGCCCCCTACAGCCAGAGAGATGGAGGTCGGGGACTAAGAAAAACTTTCCAGCTGGAGAGGGAATGCCCTGGGACAAAGTATCCCCTTTTCTGGCTGGGATTCTGTGGGCCTTGGGTAGGGGGTGTGTGTCCCCTCTAAGGCTGGCTTAGAGCTCATCTCCCAACACTCCATCTGCCCAAACCCAGTTCCCTGACCTGGGAGTGGGGCAGGGGAGCAGGCCCCTCCATCGGGGAGGATCCTCTTCTGGGCAGGGTGGCTCTTCCCCCATCACGATGAAGGGAAGCTCAGAGGTGGCAGTTGGTGGGAGAAAGACACACCCAGGCCCACTGTGTTCCACACACCCTGATGCTGCCTAGCAGCCCGTGGGCTCCAGGCCTTTCAGGTAAGAGCAGGACAACCGCCGCTGCCCACCCAGCCACACACAGCACTGGGCACACTTTAAGCACCCGCACCAGGCACACAGTGCTCGACCCCAACGGACACACCTCATCCCCTTCGGACTCCACCTCCACTTTCGCAGCCACCCACACCCGACCCATAACTCACACCTCACTGACTCCATCCCCGCACCTGGTAGACCCACAGCCACCCACCCTGCACACACAAGTAGACGCCGTTCCACCGGTCTACACCTAAACTCCACGGGACACTGCGTCCCTTCCCCTGCCGCCCGCGGCCACAACTCCACATTCCACTTTCCACAAGCACACACGAGGCGTCCCACCCCGGGCTGGCCTTCGGGGCCACACTGCCCCACGCAGCGGTGGACACCACTTGCACGCGTCCGGCTTCCCGGCCCCGCGCGCTGCCCCCGCCACGCGGTTCGGCCCAGGCACCAACTCGGCCGCCCGTGCGCCCTGCCCCGCCGCCTGCTCCGCGCGTTCCCTCCCTCCGCCTCGCCTCGCTTGCTCGCTCGCTCCCTCCCGATTTGGGAAGGCGGCCGCGGGGCGGGCGGGGGAGGGGCGGGGCGGGGGAGGGTGACATGTGAGCGGCGCGCGCCGGTGGCAGGTGGAAAGGCGAGCGGCATGGAGCGCGTAATAAGAGAGTTGGAGTCGGAAAGAGCAGCCCCAGTCGCCGGGGAAGCGGGAGGTCAGTGCGGGCTCCGGCGGCCCCCAGGCTCCGAGCGCCCGCCCGCGGCCCCGGCCCGGCCCCTAGCCCCCGCCGCCCGCGCCCGCCCCGGGTCGCCCCTCTGGCCCCGGGTCCGAGCCATGCGTCTCTGAGCGCCCCGAGCGCGCCCCCGCCCCGGACCGTGCCCGGGCCCCGGCGCCCCCAGCCCGGCGCCGCCCATGGCCGAGGCCCCCCCGCGCCGCCTCGGCCTGGGTCCCCCGCCCGGGGACGCCCCCCGCGCGGAGCTAGTGGCGCTCACGGCCGTGCAGAGCGAACAGGGCGAGGCGGGCGGGGGCGGCTCCCCGCGCCGCCTCGGCCTCCTGGGCAGCCCCCTGCCGCCGGGCGCGCCCCTCCCTGGGCCGGGCTCCGGCTCGGGCTCCGCCTGCGGCCAGCGCTCCTCGGCCGCGCACAAGCGCTACCGCCGCCTGCAGAACTGGGTCTACAACGTGCTGGAGCGGCCCCGCGGCTGGGCCTTCGTCTACCACGTCTTCATGTGAGTTTGCGACCCCGCGCCCTTCCGCGTTTCCCCGCGCAAGCCTGGCCTCCCGGGGCACGGCCGCCCCGCCCTGGCTCCGCCTTCTACCCCCCTGCCTCAGGGCCGACCCTCATCTCTCTCCCCCCAGGCCTAAGCCCGGTTTCTGATCCCCTCGCTGAGCCCGACCCTAAGCCCTGATCTCCCAGGCCTGACCCCTGCTTGACCTCGCTTCTGACCTCCCCGCACCGCAACTGCTTATTTCCATCCTGACCGCCAATCTCTGCTCCTCTGTCCCAGGTACTCCCGACCGCCAGCTGCCTCCCCCAAGTCCGCTTGGCGAAGTCTGGGGCCCCTGGAGTGGGCGCCCTTTTCCTCTTCCCCACCCCTGCCTCCCTGTGTCCCAGACACAAAGAGGAACCCTTGGCTCCCACACGCTTCTGTCACCTGCTCCCCAGCTCTGAGCTATGAAGGGCTCCCCTCAGGGGTGCTCCTCTCCAGGGCGGCCCTCATTCCTACCCCTGCCCAGCTGACTGTGGGTGTGTGGGGGTCCCTGTGGGCCCCCTGGGCCCTGACACTCGCATATGCTGTGTCCGACTTGATCTGTGTCTTCGCTCAGTCTTCCCCTCCACCCTCAACTTCCCAGTGGCAACGGCGGCCGCCCTGCCTGCCCTGCCCTACCCTGCCGGCTTGGCCCAGCTCGCCTGCCTTGTTGGCTGGCAGCACCAGGCCTGGCTCTAGGCACCAGGGGAAAAAGAAAGAGGAGAGGGGTAGGTTTGGAAACACTGACGCTGCTGGGGCCCCCTCCTCCCTCTCACCAGGCTCCTACAACTTTCAAAAACACTGACCCCTCTTGGGTGTGAAGAGTGAATTTTGGCAGCTCAGAGCTCAGTCTTGGGGTACGGCCTGGCCCAGCCAGGAACATGAGAGGCCCCGCAGATATCAGTTGAAGGGCTGGGCCTGACGCTGGGACGCTCAGAGGTGCCCAGAGAGAGACCTCTGGTCCCTGGAAAATGTGTGGCTATTAATCCCTTTTTGCTGCCACCAGAGAGGGCCCTTTGGCGCTGGGGTCTCCTGGGTGGCCCACCTGCCTGCCCACCTGACTGTCTAGCAGCCCTCCTGCTGGCCTGGCTGTCCCTCTGCCAGCCTGAGTTTCCACCTGTGTGCGAGTTGGCCAGTCTGCTCACCCTTCCACCTAACTGTCCGCAGTCCTTCTGCTTGCCTGTTTCCATCCATCTGTGGCCTGTGCAGTTATCCGGGTGCCTGTCTGTGCATCTGCCTATCCACCTGTCCACCTGACTGTCCACTCTTCCTCTACCTGTCTTTTCCACCTGTCTCTGGGTCTGTCCTTCGGCCTGTTTCTCGGGTGCTTGCTGGCCTGCCTCTGCCCCATCTGAACTGGGCCCACATAATTTCAGAGGTGAAGGGGAGAAAGATGCGGCACAGGGAGGGGCAGGGGGGGAAGACAGCAGGGCTCTCTCGGCCATTAAGTGCGTTGGGGGTGGCAACCTTGACTCTGTGCAGAGACCTCAGCTGGGCTAGGCTGGGGCAGAGAGTTGAAATTGCTCAGGACATGAGGTCAAGCTTCGGTTCAGGGTCAACGGTTTGTAGTAGCCCAGTCCTTAGTGTCCATTGGGAGGCCTAGGATGAATATTTGTGGCTATAAAGAGGCCCGTTGGAGTGAGGAAGGCCCAGGGCTGGTGGAGTTGGGGGTGAGGGGATGGGGACTACTTCTTAGGAGTGGCTACAGAGCAGCCTCCTTGAGTGCCTAAGGAGGGTGAGACACCCCCCAGAGAACAACTGTGCCCTCCGTGGGCTCCTCTTGGGAAGGGACTTTTCCAAGGCATGGCAGGGCCTGGGGAAGCCAATAGGGCTCTGAGGTGGGGTCCTTACCCCCCCAGGCTTGGCCTTACAGCCCCCACAAGGGTCAGTGGAGGTGAAGGACCTGCCTCCTGTCCCCTGGCCAGCTGCTGTTGGTGCCTCCTTTGAAAGGACCGCCCCTTCCTCTCCAGGAGCTAATCCACTGGCACCTTTGCCCCACATCCTGCCCTTTCCTGATGCCAGGAAATGCCCTCGCCAGGGCCGTGCTTGTCCTGACCACTTGTCCCCGGGAGCCCAGGGCCAGGGCATGTCTTGGGAACTCTGGGGGAAGAAGTATGGTGTGAAAGTGTCCTGGTGTTTAAGGATCTCAGGGAATTGGTCACCCATCTTAGAGGTCAAAGGGGACAGAGGTGTCAGGAACCCCACCTCTTATGTGCTCTGTGACGTTGGGTTGATTGCTGGGCCTCTCTGAGCTTTAGGTCTGTAGGTTGTCAAAGCGGGTAGAAACCCCAACCTTGCGGCCTCTCTCTTGGATGAGGTAATAGAGTGGGAAAGAGCTTGGTAAGCTCCAGGGGCCTGTCTGAGCTTGAAAGACGGTTGTTATTATTGGGGCTGGAGGAGGGGGCCCACACAGAAGGTCTCTCCTGTTTGTGAGGAGCTCCAGATGTGGGGTTTCTCAGTCACACTGCAGGGTCTTGCCAGGAAGTACTTCCTGCTGTTGGACTCCTAGCCAGACCATTACACTTTGGGTCAAATCCTTTCTCCTCTTCCCAATCTGCCTCAGTGGCAGCCCAAGTGAGGGGAGTCCAGGGAGTACTGTTAGCTAGGACCCCCTTCCCAGAGACGCAGGCTGTGGCAGGAGGGGCCCCAGCAGAAGAGCCTGCAAGAGAAGGGCTCTGGGCGGGGCGCAGTGGCTCTCACCTGTAATCCCAGCACTGTGAGAGGCTGAGGTGGGAGGATCGCTTGAGCCTAGGCAACATGGTGAGACCCCTGACTCTACAAAATTTAAAAATTAGCCGGGCATGGTGGTGCACACCTGTAGACACAATTACTTGGGAGGCTGAGGTGGGAGGATCACTTGAACCCAGGAATTCTAGGCTATTGTGAACTGTGATTGCACCACTGCATTCCAGCCTGAGTGACAGGATGAGACCCTATCAATTAAAAAAGAGAGAGAAAGAGAAGGGCTCAGGAAGGAGGGAGCTGGGGTGAGAGGAGCGCATTCGCCCTAGGGTATGCCTCCCTCCCATCTGCCAGCCCGTCCCCTCTGAGCCCCACACAGAACCTGCATCTTTCTGGCTCCAAAAGGTGGGAGATTGCCTAGAGTACAAGCCCAGATTTGGCCTGTCCTGCGGCAGCTGCAAGCTCTGGGAAGAGAGGACTGCTGACTCCTGTCTTCTCCTGTTGGGATCCAGAATGAGGGGCCACTGAGCCCCTCTCCAAGCTTTCCCTCTCTCTGTGGACCCTCAGTCTGATCACCAAGCTGCATCCCCCTCCTATGCCCCAGTCCCTGATTTAAGCCCTGAAGCCTTCACAGGCCCTGCTCTCTGAATTTTAAGAAATACCACCTCGTGGCCCATCCTGCTCGCTGAGCCCTTATGGGGAATGCTCGCTGTCCCCTTGCTGCCCCCTCTCAAAGGCCACTCCAGCTTCCCTTGAAGTCAGAGTGCTGGAGGGGGCTGAGCAAGACCCTATCTCCCTTCATCCTCCCCAGCCACTATGAGCCGCAGGCCTGCCGCTCCCAGCCCCCAGGGCCCAGCAGACTTTCTCTATGTGAAGGTTTGCGGCTCTGTAAACATCCTCCCTCAGCCTTGTCCGTGGGGTCAGAAGCTGTGGGAATGGGGAGGGGAGGAGGTGGCAGCAGCTTCTGGGGCCCGCAGACTCCTAACCCCCGAGCCCCCGACCTCCCACCCCGGCCATCTGAGAAAGAACATCGCCTGGGTTGGAAATCATCCCAGCAAAGTGTCCTCAGAACCCTCAGGCATCCCCGCTAGGTCAGTCGGTCCTCACATTTTGACAGCCCCATTTTACTTGTAAGAAAACTGAGGCTCTGGAGACCAAAGTCACCTGGGAAATGAGTAGCAGATACAGCGGACTCTGTGCAGAGACCTCAGCTGGGCTAGGCCAGGGCAGAGAGTTGAAATTGCTCCTGCTTCCTTGTCCAGGACTGTTCGCTCCGTTCCTAGTGGCCACCGGGCTTGGCTCTTGGAGTCTGAAATGAAATCTCTGGTTGTGTGTGCAGCACCAACTATGCACAGGGCACCCTGCTGAGCTCTCTCTAAACCGGTCTCATTGTGTCCTTCTGCAGCCTTGTGAGGTGGGCACTGTTATCCTCCTCATTTGACAGATGGGGAAACTGGGACTCAGCAGAGGCCACCCAGTTAATGTGGAAGAGCCTCAGCCCGGAGCGGGGGCTGACTGGGAGCTGTTGCGCTCAGCACCACAGCCTCAGCTAGCAGCACCCCAAGTCCAGGCTCCTCAAGAACAGCACTCCTGTGTCATCTGTCCGTCCATCCCAGCACCCCGCACACAGTCAGCAGGGGGTGGGCAGTGATGGCATTTTGTGGAATTGAGTGGAAACTGCCAGCCTCACCCAGTGCAGCCACGTTTTAGTTGTAGACCACGTCACTGCTGCGTACCTGTCTGAATGTCTCACACATGCACTCACTGCAACATCGACACACATGCACAAACACACACACAGCATCCATCCAACAAAAAGAGTTCTAGTTTACAGCTGCCCCTACCTTTTCCCTGACTTCACAGACACTCACCATGGACACACACCCGGGCCCGTGGCTCCAGCCCAGACCCCTAGGACAGAACAAAGCTTGCTCCTGTCCTTGAGTTTTTGGCCTTCACCTATACACAACTGCAGGGCTGCCCTTGCGGGTCTGTGTGTATTTGTGTAGCCACCTTGGAGGGCAGCCTCAGAACTGTGGAGGAGCGGGGTGGCTGGCCTCGTAGAACTTCGCTGGCGTTTGCTCCTCCTGGGGGGTCCTCGGGGGTCCTTTGATCTGACCTTGGGGTATACTGCTGGGTACACCAAGACACAGAAAGGGGCAGCTACTCATCCAAGGTCACACCTAGTGAGTTAGTGGAGAACTGTGCCAGGAACCCAAGCCTTTTGTCTCCCAGATCAGGACTTTAGATAACAATTTTCCTAACCTAGCCAACAGGGGAGATGGATGCTCTAAGAACTTTGCCCTTGTGATTGGGAAAGTCTTTGAGTGTGACCCAAATTTTTCGTGCTGCTGTTTTTCAGCCCTAGTCCTTTTGCTTGGTCTTTGTAAGGAGCTGGGGAGACCATCCTGTTCTTATACTGCCTTCCTCCTCCTCCTTGCACTCCCCTTCACGCTCCTTTGCCTCCTTCTTCTGAAGTTCTTTGGTGTCACTGGAGCCGGTTCGATCTCTCACTGACGGCCCACCCCACCCCAACTCCATAGTACGTTCATTCTTCCATTGAAGACGCGCTGCTAGATGTCTAACTTCAATCCCTATTGCTGCCGAAGCCCTTATCCTTGGGATATTTAAGCCAGGAGTGTTTCAAGAGGTGGTTATTATTCTTGGGCTGATGGCAGCACTTTGAGTGGATGATTAATTTCAGGCTCTCTGAGCCAGTCAAAGGAGCTGGAACTGCCTGGGAGCAGGGAAAAAGGAAGGCCGAGGCCCTGCCCACAAAGGAGGCTGCCCAGGGAACTTCCCCAGACTCCCTCCTACCTCCCTAGCACCAATGTGGGTCTTTGGGGAAGGTCCGATCTTCTTGTGGGCTATGGAGCCCCCCAGCAGGGAATTCTGCATGTTTGCCCTGGGGGAAGCTCCTAGTGTGGGAGTTGAGAGGTTGAGGATGGGGGAATAGCAGGGACTTTTCGTTTCTCCAGAAGCTGTCCTGCGGGGAGTGAAGAGCACGGGCTCTGAGGCTGACAGATCTGCGTTCCTTCCTGGTTCTAGCCTTAGCAGTCGTGTGTCCTTGGGCAAGTTACTTAACCTCTCTGGGCTTCAGTTTTCTCATCTGAAAAATGGGAGTAATCATAATACCTGCCTCTAAGATTGTCAGGACTGGATGAGATAAGGCACCGAACACTGCTGGGCACTGTTAGCCATGATCATCGTTACTGTTATTATTATGCTGTTATCACTGTCCTCATTCTTCTCCTCCGGGGAGAGGTGTGGTAGGTGTGCTGGGCTCAGCAAGGTGAGTGTGTCTGAGTCTGCTCTGGAGAGAATAGGAGCTATGTCTGCCTGTGTCCTGGGGCGAGTGGTTCTCCATGGGAGCTGAGGCTGTGTCTTTTCAGCCTCCTGTGGGCCCTGCCCATGAGAGTGTCTGACTTACATTCTCTCGTGTAACGCTCACAGCCATCTTATCAGGTGGGTGCTGTCTTCTTCATGTCACAGTTGAGCAAAGTGAGGCTGGGTGAGGGGATGTCACCCAGCTCATGAATGGAGCCCAGCCTGGCTACCTAGCATGCTCACTGATTTGTTTCTTCCTTCATCTGGCAAACAGTTACAGAGCATCAGCTCCATACCAGGACCAGGGAGCCAGAGAGAGCTAGACCATGCCTGTACCCTGCCTGGCAGAGTGGGGGATTGGGGGTCACTGTGAGGAGGTCGCAGAGTCTGCCGGGACCACTGGCCTCAGCTGCTTCTTCTCCCAGGGAGAGGTTTGGAGAGAGGTCTGGTCTGTGTGTAGCTGTGAGTGTGTCTGTGAGTTATGGGGAGGACGGTGTATGCCAGAGGGCCACTGTGCGGCCGAGTTTGGGCCTCATGGTCCAACCCTGGCAGCTGGCCTGGCCCCCGAGAGATAAAAGTAGAGCCATGGTGCCCAGAGAGACAGCCAGGGACTCCTGGGAGAGGAGGGCACTCCCCCACTCTCTCCTGAGCAAATGATCATGGAGAATGAGGGCAGGGAATCCCAAGGGAGATTTAGAGATCTCAGTCCCCATGCTTACTGGGAAGGTGTCCACCCCCACTCCACCCCAGTTCCTGAGCCTCGGTATCTTCTTCTGTAAAATGGGCCTAACAGGAAAGTGGACCTCTCAGGGCTGCCTGGCACACAGTCGTGGTGGGCAAATGAGAGAGACTGCTGTCTCAGGACCTTGAAATGCATAGGGTACCAGGTAGGGAGCTCTCTTCCAGCATCTTCTCTGGGGGCCCCTCAGGTGACAGGGTGCCACTTCACAGGGCACTCAGGGGGCTGCCTGCCCCCAGTGGAGGCTCTGAGGGGCTGGAGAAAGGGTGCTGAGCCGACCTCAGTGGCTACACAGAGCCCCCAGGACTTCAGGTTCCCTGGGCAACCCTGTCCCTGGGGCAGGAGCTGCGTGCCCTGGGGATGAGGCACAGGAGGGGCAGCCCCAGGCAGCAGACTAATTGGGCTGGGAATCCGTGGGCAGCGCCTGAGGAAGGGAGGCAACAGGAGCTCAGCGATTCCCTCCCTCCTCACCCCACGGAGATTTGGGGGACAGTGGATAGAGCAGGGTCTCTAGCCTAAAGGATGGAGGGAAAATCTTGAGGCACATTCTCCTGAGACTCCTTGGACACCCAGGCCGGGAAGGTGGGACTGGAGGAAAGCTCACTGGAAATAAATGGAGCATGGTTCCCATCAAAGCAGAGGAGATGGAGGTCAGACAGCAGGAAGGACTGCCCAAGAACCAGGAGGTGAATGAGATTTTCTGGGATATTGTTTCAAAAACTTGGAGCCCCCTGTCTAGCCGGGCTGGACAACATTTACTCGAATTGTCCCTATCAAGCAAGGAATGGCTCCCTACTCCCACAGAGCGAAAGATGGAGGGGAGATGCCTGTTCCCTTTGAGCCCAACTTTGGCGGGGTGTGGGTCGGGGGTGGGGTAGGGATCAGATCGGGTACCCACTGGCTTTTGGGCAGTGGTGGGAGGGTCACAGGCTGCTCCTCCTTCTCTGCCACTTCTCTCTGGGAGCCTCGGGCCTGTCCAGGTTGCTGTCTTTGGGTTTATTTTTTGCTGGGCTTGGCTGTCCCCTGGGAGGGGAGGGGGCAGGGAGAGAAAGGAAAAGCAGGAACAGCTTTGTCAGCACAATCTCAGGCGCCTTCGCTACTGCCCGTCTTGGCCCAGCTGCCACCCTCTACTGGAGGGACCAGCCCCTGGGCACAGTGGGGA
Organism: Homo sapiens; assembly: GCF_000001405.40. Classification (NCBI taxonomy): domain Eukaryota; kingdom Metazoa; phylum Chordata; class Mammalia; order Primates; family Hominidae; genus Homo; species Homo sapiens. The sequence continues at coordinate 40,792,339 of NC_000001.11, forward strand.
TTCAGACCCTATGGAACTTCCTCGCTTAGAGGCAGGACCAGCAGGAAGGGACTAGGCCTTTCTACCCCCATCCTCTCTCCATATATCCCTGCTATACAGAACCTCAGGTCTCAGCGCTGGAGCAGATCCACGGGCTTCATTTCACAGGTGGGGAAACTGAGGCTAGAAGGGACCTGATGGCTCAAGGGCACAGCCCACACGGGGGCCTTTTCCACCTTCCCTCCTTATGGAGTAACATGGGAGAAATGCTGCCTCCCTGCTGCCCGTTCCCTGGGTGAACTCATTCACTCATCTCATTTTCCAGCCTCTGGGGATTGGTGGCAGTCTGGTGGGAGAGACGGGGGACGGGGAAAGGACAGTGTGACCCATGGCCCAGCAGAGGAAGGGAGGTACAACCTGGGGATGCACAGAGGCTAGGTGGGGGTATCAATCCCTCCCCTATATGCTTTTTATCCTAAAAAAATACATTCGCCCTATTTTACAGACAGGGGGATTAAGGTGTAAAGAAGTTAATGACTTGCCCAAAGTCAACATAGCTGACAGGTGGTAGAGGCAGGATTTGAACCTAGCATGTGCATCTCTGGGAGCCATGCATTTGGCCACTCCACCATGCTGCCTCCCCAAGGGGCCCCTGTGGGCCCTTCTTTCTTTTCTTTTCTTTCTTTCTTTTTTTTTTTTTTTTTTTTGAAGCAGGGCCTCACTCTGTCACCCACGCTGGAGTGCATGATCACTATGATCACTGCAGACTCAACCTCCTGGGCTCAAGTGATCCTTCCACCTCACCCTCCTAAGGAGCTGGGACTACAGGCGCACACCAAGACACCCAGCTAGTTTTTAAATTTTTCTGTGGAGACAGGGTCTTGCTATGTTGTCCAGGCTGATCTCCAACTCCTGGCTCCAGCGATCCTCCCACGGTGGCCTCGGGAGCCACCATGGCTGCCTGCTGGGCCCTTCCTTCTTGAATGCAACCCCCCTGGCTTTCCTCAAACCTGCCTCTGTGGCTTTTCTCTCTTGGTTCTATCAGCAAGCAGCTCTGCCTCCTCTTTCTGCCCCTTGAATGTTGGGGCTTTGTCTCAAGTCCTCTTCACAGTACATAGTTTCAGGGGGTGGTCTCATGCACTCCTACGACATCAGGGGTCACCCCTATGATGACAGCCTCCGCTCTGCAGTTTCATCCCTGCGCTTCCTGCCTGCTGACACCTCTCCTCCTCATTCCCTGGGCATCTCAAACTCAGCATCTCCCTCCAAACCTGCCCTCCTTCCTCAATCCATGTGACAGTGACTCCCCGATCCCCAGTGCCCAAGTCAGAAATGCCCTCCACACAAGCATCCTTTGCTCTCACCTAAGAAATGACTTACAGTGTCCCAAAGCATTGCGCTGTTTAGTGCTTCTGTGCTTTTCCTTCTGCCTGCAACTCCCTCCCCTCTTCTGCCCACTGCATCATCTAGCTAACTCCTATTCATCCTTCAACTCCCAGTTTGAGCACCACCTCTTCTTGGAAGCACTCCCTATCCCCATTACCCCCAGGCTCAACTGAGGGCCCTTCAGTGCCCCCAGAGTTCTGTTCACCCAGCCCTGTGCGTTTTTTGCTTTTCTGCATGGGACTATGAGAACTGGGTGTGTGGGGGTTGAACACAATTCTTGGCACATGGTCAGCAATGAGTGAATGTTTGATGAAGGTGGCATTGGGGCCAAGTAGTAAGGATGAGAAGGGTTTTGCCAACTAGAGAGAAGTGGAGAAAAGACCCCTCAGCCCTCTGTGTGGAGCACTGAGCTGTGGGTGTTCATGATTTTTATCCCGAGTGAGCTCCAGGTGAAGGGAACAGCAGAGCAAAGGCCTTGAGATGGGACTTCCTTCCCCTCACTCCTTTGCCCCAAGACCTGCAGAGCACAGGGCCTTGATTGACAGGCTGTGGAGGTGGGCCTTACCCTGTGGGCAGTGGGGAGCCATACACGGTGACAGGCCAGGGTGGGGACACTGGATGGGAACCAGGGTTTGACTCTTTCTGAGTGAGTGCTGTGCAGACGTGAGGTCATCTATTTTTTCCAGTACCCGCTAGGTAGCAGGCACTATTATTGTTCCCATTTTGCAGACAAGAAACTGGGGCTCAAAGAAGAGAAACACCACATACTAAGTTACACAGCTTGTCTGTGGTCGAGTCAAGACTCAAACCCATGTCGGCATCAGGGCCAAGCCCGAGCTCTAAATGGTTCTCAGCCTCGCCAGCTGACCCAAGGCAGTTTCCAGTGGCCTAAGGCAAAACTGAGGAGAATAAGGACGGGGTGGCGACTCTTTCATAAAGCTAAATTTATTCCACTTAAAGGACTGTCTTTTAGTATGAGATGATGTCCTTTCTTTTATGAAATGATGGGCTGGGAAAAAAATGTCCTTGCTTGGCAAAATAAAAAGTTGACAACCTTATGCAGTCCCCAAAGTGTTTTTGGAAATTTTACCGGTGGTGCGTGAAATCCCTGAGTCTGGGCGCCATCCCGGCTCCTCCCCACTGAGCTGTGGAGCCAGAAGAGGGAGGGGTCTGGTAGGGACAGAGGGATCAGGGGACAGAGGAGCCTCAGGTCCCGCACTTTGCAGTGAGGACCAACCCAAGGCTCTTTCCTAAGATTGGGTTGGGCGGGTGGGGGGGTGGGGGGCAGATCAGCCAGAATCAAGGGCTCACCCCTCAGTTAAAGGAGCACTGGACCGGGAGGCAGCAGGCTTGGGCTCAGCTCCTGCCTCTGCTTCCTGGAGGCTGTGTGATGCCAGGCAGGTGACCCAACCTCTCTGAGGCACCAGCTTCCTTATACATAGAATGACAATTGCCATCTGTCCCTGCTCACCTCACGGGGCTGCTTCCTATAGCAAGTGCTTGGTAAACTGCAAAGTGCTGTGAAGAACAGGGGGGTTGTGGTGGTTTTACCTTTTTTTTTTTTTTTTTTCCTTTTGAGACAGAGTCTTACTCTTTCACCCAGGCTGGAAGGCAGTGGTGTGATCATGGTTCACTGCAGCCTTGAACTCCTGGGCTCAAGCGATCCTCCTGCCTCAGCCTTTCATGTAGCTGAGACCGCAGGTGCACGTCACGGCGCTAGGCTAATTTTTAAATTTTTTGTAGAGAGGGGATCTTGTTATGTTGCCCAGGCTGGTTTCGAATTCCTGTGCTCAAGCAATTTTCCCACCCTGGCCTCCCAAAGTGCTGAGATTACGGACATGAGCCACTGCACCCAGCCCTGGTTTTACTGTTCTTATCTTGCCATCAGAGGATCCCACTTCTCTAGGGTCCTGGGCCCCTCATCTCACTTTCACTTTTCACTTGCACTGCTTTGAGCCCTGAGGAAGAGACATATGGGGGAGCGGGGCAGGTGGAATGACACAGGCCCTGTAAAAGCAGGGTGGCCACACTAGCAATTCCTGTCCTCAGGCTCCCCTGGAGGACAGCTCAGAGATGCCCAGGCTGGAGACCTGGGGAACTCTAGGAAAAGAATGCACGAAGCTGGAGCCAGGCTAGAGTTCTAAGCACAGACTTTGTCACTGAGTAATAAGATTCATAGTCTAATCTCTACCAGGTATTGTGCTAAATATTTTTCACACTGCTTCATTTAATCCTTCCAAGAGCCCTATGAGGTAGGTCCTATCATTATCCCCATTGGATGGAAGATGACACTGAAGCTTAAAGGTGAAACACTGCCCTTGTCACACAGCCAGGAAGTGGTGAATGCCCAAGAGGACGGGAGTTTTCTGGGCTCAGCTCAGACAACTGAGTGCCTGGAGAGGCCGAGTGTGCAACGATTCTGTGACATGAGAGGGTGGGAACGGTTTGCAGGACTGTGGTGGGGGGCCGAGGGGGTAATCAGTGCACATCAGGGGCACCGGGTTGGGGTCGGAAGGCAAGAGACACGATCCTGCTGGCTAGCTTCTAGCAGTCACCTCCCTCTCTGAGTCTCAGCCTCCCTCTCTGCTCTGGCTCTCAATAATAACAAAGATAATACTAGCAGGACCTTACTGAGTGCTTACCGTGGACCAGATGCTGCTCTGAGAGCTTGCCACGCCTTCTATCACTTTTTCCTCTCAATGACACTATGAGGTAGGTACTGTTATTATGCCTACTTTTCAGATGAGGAAGTTGAGGCACAAAGAGGTTACGTGACTTGCCTGGGTACATGTAGCAGGGCCAGGATTCTAACCACAAGAGTCTAGCTCTATAGGCTGTGATCTTACCCACCTAACTCACCCGGACTATGTCTGCCTGCTTCTAATGGGGGGTGATATTAGGAGAAGTTGAGCCTTAAAGTTCAAGGTCCTGGGCCGGGCGCTGTGGCTCACGCCTGTAATCCCAGCACTTTGGGAGGCAGAGGCAGGCAGACCACCTGAGGTCAGGAGTTCGAGACTAGCCTGGCCAACATGGTGAAACCCCGTCTCTACTGAAAATACAAAAAATTATCTGGGTGTGATGGTGCGCACCTATAGTCCCAGCTACTTGGGAGGTTGAGGCATCAGAATCGCTTAAACCCGGGAGGTAGAGGTTGCAGTGAGCCGAGATCGTGCCACTGCACTCCAGCCTGGATGACAGAGTGAGACTCCATCAAATAAATAAATAAATAAATAAATAAATAAATAAATACAGTTCAAGGTCCTGCTCCCACCCCGATTCTACCCTGGGGACTCATTCCTTCCCTCTCTCGCCCTTTCATTTGAGAAACCTTCACTTCTAAATGAAGTTCAGCTGCTTATGCCAGTCTCCCCGGGCCAGGCCCTGTGCCAGACTCTGGGGACAGAGCAATGAATCAGACCTTCCTCTGCTCCCTGGGGGAGATGGGCTGGGAAGCTGGCAGTTACCAGGCAGGGTGATAAGTGCCACTGTCCAGGCAGCACGGAGTCCAGTGGGAGCCCAGCACAGAGGGCCAAGCCCTGCCCCAATCTGGGCATGGCTGGGAAGGCTTCCCAGAGGAAGAGGCTTAAGTTGAGACTGAAAGATGAGTAGAAGTAGGAGTTAGCTAGGTGAAAAGGAGCAAGGAACAGTGTTTCAGGCAGAGAGAATAGCACAGGCAGAGACCCAGAAGTGAGGCTGAACAGGGCATTTGCAAAGAACAGCAAGAAGTCAGAAGAGCGGGATCCTAGAGGAGGCAAGAGGTATCTGGAGAAGAGGCTGGGATGCAACAGGGCCAGGCTCGGCAGTGAGGACACCGGGCTGGGGAGCTGCAGCTTCCTGAGAGGGTGATGGGAAGGAAGTGATGTCAGGAGTAACATGGCAGATTCGTGTTTTAGAAACTCCTTTCTGGGACTGGCGAGGAGGATGCTGGAGGGGTAAGGACTCTGGCAAGGAGCCCTGGGGATGCTACCAACTTGTCCCCCTTTTTCCTTTACCTTCCCCCCAGGGTCCAGCCTCCTGAGTGCCTCCTCCAGAGCTATTGACCAACCCTGCTCAGGGCCTGGCTCAACCTGACCCGGAGCCCTAGGACTTTGCCTATAGGGAAAGTTCAGCTGCTTATGCAAACTCTGGCTTGGGGGGAGATGTGTGTGGTTGAGCTGGGAGCTGGTGGTGTGTGGGGGTGGCCTTGGAAGCAGAGAGGGTGGGTGCAGGCGCCGAGGCTGTCTGGAAAGGGAGTCTGGGGATATAAGCTTGGGGTCCATGGGGGTCCCTAGAATAGTGGCCTTATAATGGCTCCAAGAGGGTACACTGGGATTTGGCCCAGATAATGGAGGGACACCCTGGCGAAGGGGCAGAGTCCTGGCAGTTCAGCCAGCCCCAGCTCTGTCTTTTTCTTGAAGCTCAACAGAGTATGGAAATCATTGGTCTCACCCAGCCCCCTCATTCTTCTGAGGGGGAAACAGGCTCAGAACAGGGCAGGGACTAAACTCAGGTCAGCAGTAGAGCCCAGACCAGAACCCAGGCTCAGTCCAAGCATCTTAGTTGTCTCCAATGATGATAAATAACAGTGAAAACCTTTCTGCAGAGCTTCCCAGGGGCTGGCCTGGGCTTAGGCACCCTCTGGATGGTCTTGGGCAGACGTTTTTCACATCTCGAGCCTTAGCTCGAGGTCCAAAATACTACCTGTACTGGGAAGGAGGTCCTCTCTCCCACTGACAGTCCACAAAGCCGTTTTAGGCATGCTGGACCCATTGTGGGCTTTACTTATTGTTTGTTCAATGAATCCCACTGAATTCATGTAACAACCCTGGAGGAAGATACTATTATGCTATTTTGTGCTGAGGCTCAGAAAGGAGAAGTGACTTGCCCAAGGTCATTCAGCTGAGAAGTTGCTGACTTAGGGCTGGACTCCAGGGGTCCAGATGCCTGTCTAGGATCCCTGATGGACACAGCCCCATTTTTGAGCCTGCGCTCTCAGCGAAAATCAGTTGGTGTCTCAACGAGACCCATCGTCAGCTGGGCAGGGTGTGTGTATATATGTGGAAGCTGGGCTGGGCTGCTGGCTGGAACTCAAGCCACACCAACCCCTGTGCCCCTGTGTTTGGACCTGGCTGCAGCTGCTGCCCGTGGGGGAAGGGGACCTTGCCACTTGCCCTCCTGCATCAAGGGTTTTTTCTCCTTGGCCTGGCTGCCTGGGCAAAGGAGCTGGCTGTGGCATGACCATGTGGGCACCTGCCAGCCCCTCCCTTGTTGGGGTCTGGTCATCTAATGCCCTTCACATGACAGGCATGGGGTGGGCCCTGGCTGGGGAGAGGGATTTGCACTCTCCTAATCCAAGGGCTGCAGCCCTCCCTCTGTCTTGGCCAGGGCCGTGGGAGAGGTTTGTCCTTGCCCCATGCCCAGCAGCCCCAGCTCAGATCCCTGGCATACACCCAGTTCCTCTGCTTGGGGCCTTCCCCTGTCCTGCTTCTGCTCCCCACCCTCCTACTCTGTGAGCAGAATCAGGAGCTAGGGGGCAATGCTGGGGCATTCAGGACTGATGGAGGTGCAGTGCTACATAGCATGTGGGACTGAAGGATGGGGGCGATGTCAGGGAGGTTTAGGGCACATGTTGGGGCAAAGTTGAGGGAAGATGATTGGGGTGCAGAGCAGGAGTGTTTGGGGCTCATCCTGGGCCACCCCTTCCTGGAAAAATTTGGCTACAAGTCAGGGAGGCAAATGTGTGGGCCATGCCCCCCCCCTCGCTAGGCAGTAAACACTGCCGTCGCCTGGGAGACAAGAAAACATCTTGGTCCCCCCACGGTTGTTTATACCAGGACTCCCTCTCCTTCTCTGGCCTGGTCTGGCCTCTCCACTCCTGAGCTGGGCTACCTGAGTTGAGGGTCCAGCCCCCGGTCATGGCAGGAGGCCCTGGCAGCACGCCCACTGGCCCCCACCAGGGACTGAGCACTCACCACCTCCTGGTGGCCTGTCCCATTGGAGGCCCTAGGTCTTATTGATCAGAAACGTGCTCCCAAGCCTTGGCCTCCACGAGGGAGGCCTGGGACTGTGCCCTGGATTTGCTCCAACCCACTGCCTGAATGCAGTCACTGGCCTCCCGGTAACCTCAGCTTCCCATGTTCAGTAGCAGGCAGGATCTAGATTAGAGCTTTTCAAACTGTTTCAAGTCATAGATCTGGTTCTTTGAATGACACCTGATACAGAAGCACAATATATAAAACAGATCAAAGTAGGGCTACTCTGGGTGGAGTCACGGGTTGGGGCCCAGAATTCTACCCACTCTATGCCAGCCTATATGGCCCTGGCATATCAACCCAGAGCCTGTACATGGTCCTCCTTGCTCTAGAACACATTCCAGGTAACCCTGGAATTCCCTGGCCAAATACTTATGCCTACTTCCAGGGTCTGCACAGGCCCTTCTCCCAGGGGCTGTCAGAGCAGCCCTAGGCTCAAGGACGGCTGTTTGTAGTGGGTATAGCAAAAGCCCGGAAGAGCAGGCTGAGGCACCCCCAGGAGTGTACCCAAGGCCCCTCCCAGGGAGGGATGGGCCCAGTGTGGGAAGAGAATCTGAGGATCGGAGGGTAGCAAGGGGCTGGCTGTCCCTTCCCTGCTGGATTCCAGCATGGGATTCCAAGGCATCCAAGAACTAAAATTCAAACCTGGTCTTCTAGGTCATTATGAAGGTATATGTGTCAGGAAGGATAGAGCAAATTTTATTTAAAAGTTTGTTAACCTGATTGAAACTTTTAAATATTTAGACTTATGGTATGTGGGTCTCCATTTATACTCTCTCCCCAGTCCTGCCAGAGTTAGGGGTGAGCTTGCATCAATCCTCCTTCCACCCACCCACCTACCTCTGCAGCAACCCCAAGACAGCCTTACCCAGAACTCTCAGGCTTCACAGGACAGTGTGGAAGTCCCACTCGCTGAAACTCAAGGCCCTGGTGACTGCATCTTTCTGTTCACTCCCCAGATACTGTCTGAGCATCAGCTGGGGCCAGCCTGGGGGTTGTGGAGGAGCCAGACTGGCCTTGCCCTAGAGGGATGGATCTCAGTGAGGAGTAAGCGGGTAGGAACACTCTCCCTCTTGTAGAATAGTGTGAGAAGGGGTGCCTGAGGGGGCCCACAGGGGCCCTGGAATCCTAACGAGGGGCTAAAGAAGCTCCTCTATTCAAAGCCGATCATGGATGGATGAGGTGGAAGAGAGACAGCCCAAGAAGGGGAGACAGTACAAAAGCCACCAAGGTGGAAATGTACAGGGAGTGGAGAAGTCGAGTGTCGCTGGTGCTTAGGATGTGTGTACAGCCTCAAACGCTGGTCTAAGGAGCTTGGGTTTTCTATTTTAACAGTAAGAAGCTGTTGTAGGATTGTAAATGGGGTAGGGGCTGAGGAAGAGGCATTCAGACTGCAAGGTAAGTGGACTGGAGGTGGGGATAGGGGGCTGGAATTGTGGTGGTCAGTGAGAGGCTGGCTGGGGGGAAGGGGAATGGGGGTGAGTCCTGGGCTGACCAGGAATGGGACTTGAGGGGCTAGGAAGAAAGAGGGGATCTTAACTCTGCTTTCTGGGACCACATCTCCTATCTCCTCCTCCTTTGTTCTGTCTCAGTTTTTGTCTTCTTCTCCTGCTATTCCACTGCCCTAGGTCTCCAGGCTGGGGAGAGGGGCACTCACCCTAAACCCCCTCTCCAAAGCAGGCCACTTCACACAAGTGGCCAGGCAAGAGGCCGCAGTTGTATAAGAGGCTTTTCTCAGCTGGCTGGACTACTCATTCGTTCATTTATTCATTCATTCACTCAACATTTATTGAGAACCTACAATGCACCAGGCCCTGCACTAGGTTTTGGAGAGAAAGTAGGAACAAGATCAAGTACCTGCATTCATGGAGCTTACATTGAGGGGGGCGGGAGAACCAGGAACTGTATCTATCCCCGGTGTCTACCATCTGGCACCTGTGCCTGGGCTGGATGCCTGGGAACAGGGACTCTTCCCATTACCTACTCATTTGTTCCAGCTGCCCTGTGTCAGCACTCACCTCTCTGGACAATGACAGAGGAGAAGGGGTCCCATGCCCAGGATGCCAGCCCCAGGGAGCACCTGTCTCTGTAAGAACAGCCTGGCCCTCGGGGCCAGGACCTGGGCTCAGGCCTAGTTCTTCCTACTCACTCCTGACTTTGAGCCCTTTGCAAGGACCCGACTTTGATTTCTTTATCTGTCAGGTGGGATTTGGGGAGGTCCTGAGGAGGCGAGGGGACCAGAATACTGGACCTCAGCTCCAGTATTCTCCCTTGGTGGGCAACTCCTTTGGCTATGATGGGAGGGGGAAGGGGGCTTGGGACTCAATATTATCATCATTACCCATACAAGATAGTAATAGTTGCTACCTATTGTGTAATTTATTCCGCACTATCTGTATGGTCGGTGTGTCTTCTCTCCCCATTTTCCGGATGAGGAAACTGAGTCTCCGTAAGGTGAAATGACTTACTTGAGGTCACACGTGAAACTACCTACTCCAAGAGCCCTTTAGGATGGTGCTGTGAGGTGGAAGGGCGAGGCCGAGGCGGCGGTGGCGTCGCGTCCCCCCTCTCCGCCCCTGGCCTCGGGGACGCGGCGGCACCTTCACACTTTCCGCTTGGCCCGCTGCTCGCCTTTCAGGCCGCCGCGTTTTCAATTGTTAATTTGGAAACGGAAAAAGTAGCCGGCCGGGCGGGGGAGGCCGCGGGGAGGTAATCGGAGCCGCAGCACCGCCCCGGCCCCTCCCGCTCTCGGGGCCTGGCATTGGCAAAGCCCCGCCCCTCCCAGGGACGCAAGAGCCCCGCCCACCATTCCCCGCCCCCGGCATGCCCCGCCCATTTCCGTAAGCCCCGCCCTCGCCGAGGCGGGCTGGGGGCACCTGGGAGTGCCGAGCAGTGGCGCCCCTGCTGAGGAGAAGGAGCCCGGGCGGGGGAAGGGGGCCGAGGGCTGTGCTGGGGGAGGAGTCCCCCAGGAGCCCTCCCCGCAGGAACCCGTACCTCTCCCGAGAAGTCGCGCAGGGTGTCTGCTTCCCTTGTCCCTACGTGAACCCAAGCCTTTCTGCAACCCCTCTGTAGGTTCACCCAGGGGAGACCCCTGCCTCCAGACTGCCGGACCAGGGATCATTGGTCCCATTAGAAAGACGAAGAAACTGAGTCCTGAGAGGGACAGTTAACTTGCTAAAAGTCACACAGCCAAGGCAGAGCAGAGCTGAATTCAAGCCCATTCTTTTGACTGAGATACATTTAGGGACTGTCTGCCTCATTTAGAAGAGGAGGGGGCATCAGGACCAGAGATACAATTTGTCCCCTTCCCCCTATCTCCAGCACGGTTTCTGTGGTTAGTAAGTTACTGGAAGTTCTGCTTATCATTATTCAATTATGGGAGGGTTTTGGAGGTAGAAGGAGGTCCCTCTAAACTTTCCATGTAAATGAAATGTAAAAGACCCTCTTCTGGGGACTCCCAGAACACAGAAGTCCCTGAGGACTGGCAGCTTCAGGAGCCGTCCACGGCCTTGCTTCCCATTAGGGAAGCTGGAATTGCCAGTCCCAGATGGATCAGCAAAAAATAGGGCCCTCAGAGACTCCCACCCAATCCCTTCCTCCCACTGAGGAATAAGCTGAGACTCAGACACAGTTTCCCAAGTCTTCAGCTGACTGGTGGCGGAGTCAGGAGACAGAACCCACCGACCCAGCTTTCTAGCTGTGTCCACGCCCTTCTGCTTCTCCCTCTGCTGCCCCCCAATCCTGACACCTCTCTCACAGCCACCACTCAGGATCCTGCCTCCATCAGCTGGGCCTGCAGGCTGGGCAGCCTTTCTCTTTACAGGCGGAGGAAACTAAGAAGAGTATCTGCAGATGTCCTCCCAGCTTCCAGTTAAAGACCCTCCCAACCACCCTTCCACCTTAGCTGTGGGTCAGGCCCAGAGAAGCTGCGCTCCTGGCCTCGAGTCACACAGCAAGCCTTTTCCAGCTTGCAAAGCCCACTGGATTCAGTCTGGCTGGTCCTGGATTTGGGGTTCCCACTGGGAGCATGGCTCTCAGGGCAGCTGTAACCAGATGCCCCAGGTGTGGCCTGTGAGTTTGCATGCTGCTTTGCTTATTAGTAACAAAGGCATTGAAACCCCTCTTCCTCATTGTGTCCCCAAACCACCCACTGGGTGGGGTCCTCAATGGCTGAGTCTACAGAACTCCTGGGCTGGGCTCAGTCTTGGCACCTGAGCTCCCCAGGGAACTCTGCCCTCCACGGTGCTCCTCTTCGACCCTGTCAGCTCTTGGTGCTCTCTCTGCCCTGGAAGTACTGAGAACCCAGTGGCAAGGACTAACTCTTTCCCTTGTCTTGGACTCTTCCCTCCCTCTCCCTCCCCCAATATAGTGCACAGGTTCTGCTGACTCAGAGGACAGAAGGCTCCTTTGAGGTTACCCTGACCCCTGCCAGGTTCAAGTAGCTGGGAAACTGGGCAATGCTTGAACCCACTGCCACAAAGTCACATGCAGCAGGAAGGGCAGGGGCAGGTCCCATCTTGGCCCCAGGATGAGGGAATTTTTGAGGTGGGAGTGAGAGGCAGGTGCCTGAGTCCTTCTACAGACAGAGGAGAAATCCAAAGAACATTGCATTAGGAATCAGGAAATCTGGGTGCCAGGCCCAACTCTGTCTCTGATCTACTGTATGATCACAGGTAAGCCAGGCCCCTCTCTGGGACTCAGTTTCCCCATCTATAAATGAGAAGGTTGGTTAATCTCTAAGGGACCTTTCAGTGCCCAGATATAGCCAGTATCTGGTCATATCTTGCCACTTCCGCTTCCCCTCATACAAGTCACCATCATCAGCTGGTAGTGGCTCATGCCTGTAAGCCCAGCACTTTGGGAGATGGAGGCAGGAGAATTGTTTGAGCCCAGGAGTTCGAGACGAGCCCGGGCAACATGGGGAGACCCTGTCTCTACAAAAAATAAATATAAATTAGTCGGGCATGGTGGCACCCACCTGTGGCCCCAGCTACTCAGGGGGCTGAGGCTGGCGGATTGTTTGAGCCCAGGAGGTTGAGGCTGCAGTGAGCCGTGATTGCACCACTGCACTCCAGCCTGGGTAACAGAGTGAGACCCTGTCTCAAAAAAAAAAAAAAAAAAAAGTCACACAGGGTGAAGTGGCATGTGCCTGTAGTCTCAGCTACTCAGGCAGCTGAGGTGGGAGGATCATTTGAGCCCAGGAGTTCTGGGCTGTGGTGAGCTATTCCAATCAGGTGTCCACACTAAGTTTGGCATAAATATGGTGACCTCCTGGGAACAGAGGACCATCAAGTTGCCTAGGGAGGGGTGAACTGGCCCAGGTCAGAAACGGAGCAGGTCAAAACTCCCGTGTTGACCAGTAGTGGGATCACACCTGTGAATAGCCACTACAATCCAGCCTGGGCAACATAACAAGACCCCATCTCTTAAAAATAAAAATAAACAAAACAAACAAACAAACAAAAAGTCACTGGCATCTCTTGCCAGGATTATACTTTCCAACTCACAATGGGGCAAACGTCATTGCTCCCTCCTCCCCTCTCCCCCACCATAGTCCGTTCACTCAGCAGCCTGTGTGATCTTTTTAAACATAAGGAAGATTGAGCTACTCCCTGCTCAAACTCCCCATCTCACTCAGAGTAAAAGCCAAGATCCTTACCATAGCCAGTAGATGGTCCGCTTTCCACCTCCCCTGCCTCTCTGCCCTCACCCCCCACCACTCTCCCCTTGCTCATTCCACTCTGGGATCACTCCTTTCCTGGTAGTTCTGGAACACAGAAGGCACCCTTCTGGCTCAGATGTGTTGGATTTGTTTTTCCCTCTGGAGGTGGGATGGGGGTTAAGGGAGCATGAGGTGGGGGCTCTGACCTAAGCCTGCCAGTCTGAGCTCATGCTCAGACACAGCATGAGTAAAGGTGGGGAGGGGAAAAGAGCGCGTTTGCCATTGTCAGGGACAGAGCTATGATAATGCAGTGCCAAGTGTCAGGTTGGGTACCGGCTAGTGAAGAGCAAGTTGGCCTGGTGGGTGGGGCTTTCCTTGCAATCATGCTAAGGGGTTTGGGCCTGGGCCCACAACTCAGTGGATTTCACACTTTTTAAAAAAACAGCAAAGCTTTTTGTTCACATGAAATTTTTTTTTTTTTTTAAGATGGAGTCTTGCTCTGTCGCCCAGGCTGGAGTGCAGTGGCGCAATCTCGGCTCACTGCAGGCTCCGCCTCCTGGGTTCACGCCATTCTTCTGCCTCAGCCTCTGGAGTAGCTGGGACTACAGGCGCCCACCACCACGCCTGGCTAAGTTTTTGTATTTTTAGTAGAGATGGGGTTTCACCGTGTTAGCCAGGATGGTCTCGATCTCCTGACCTCGTGATCCGCCTGCCTCAGCCTCCCAAAGTGCTGGGATTACAGGCGTGAGCCACCGCGCCCGGCCTCACATGAAATTTTTACGCCAAAGCCAGCATGTAAAACTGAGCCACCCGAATCTGCACGGAGCTGCTCAGTGGAACCGAGGGAAGGTTTCCACTAGCCATCTTGCTTGAGTTTCTCAAATCCTGGCTGCCTAAATTCCACCCCATGTTTCCCCTTCCTTTCAATGGCATCCTGCTTGGGAGGGCCCACACCTCCCTGTTTGAGAAGTCAGCTCTGTCTGGCCAGTCCCAACAGATGGATGCCCCTGTGTCCTCTTTGTTCCACTCTGGCTCTTGTCAACACATTGCTCAGCCCACTGACCTGGTGCAACAGGTAGGCAGGCTGGCACGGCAGAAGGAAGCAGACAGAACAAGTCGGAAGGTTTGGGGCTGGTGCAGGTGGGAGAGGAGGAAGCTATTCCTCATCAAACACCTTGTCTAGAAGACACTGCCTTTCATGTCCCGTGGGACAGAAACCATTCAAGCTGGCTCAATAAAAACTGGCTTCTGTACTATTACATTTGGGATAAAGAAAAAGAAAAATTGGCTTCTGGAGGTAGAGGACAGATATGGTAAGGAAAGAGAATTCTTTAGAGGCTTCAAGGCAGAAAGCACATTTTGGATTCATGGGATAGAGAGCAGGGGGATGAGGTTCCAGCGTAGTGCAGTCTCATGGCCCATCTCTCTGCACCTCTGCCAACTTTCCTCTGTGGTTCTTAGTTCCATTCCTGCGAAAGACAATCCGATTGGCTCAGCCCAACCTATGGGTGGGCCCTTCTTGGGTCAGTCTCCAGCTCTCCATGAATCTGTGGCGGCCAGGAGAGTGCTGTGGAGCCAACCGCAGGGCTGTCATGTGTCGCTCTGCAGTCTGGGCGCCACAAAGGGGCCGGCTGAGAGGGCTGAGGGGTGCTGGAATCCAGCCTATGCCCAGGGGTGGGGCAGCCCAGGGGAAGGGATGCCTGTGCTAATGGGTCCGTCTAGAGGGGTCAAGTTTTTATAACTTGTCAGGCTAACGGGAATGCTTTTTTTCTAAGCCATCCTCCAAGAGGGGGCATTTTTTTCATAGTTTGTTCTATGTGCTGGCGGCTGCTGTCCCTCCAGGGACAGCCTCAGGGAAACTCAGCTGAGGGCCAACTCTCTCCTTTCTACCCCACTGCTGGAGAGTCACAAGGCGGAAGGGACTTTGGCCATTACTGAGTAGTGCTCCACCTACATGTTGCAGACAGGGAAACTGAGGCTCCATCAGGGCCCCATTGCAATTTCTAAGCCCCAGCGCAAGCCTCTGGCCCAGAGAAGCAGCAGCGGCAGTGGCGGCGGCCCTGGTGTGGGGCCCTGGGTCACGTGCTCTTGCTCCCTTTGCCATATTTAGAATCGCTGGATCAGGGGAAACTTCTCCTCCCAGCCCCTGAGGATTCTTGGAAAGAGCCTCGCTCTGAGGCCTGGCTTACTGCCCCTCCCCTTATTCCCCTGCAGGAGAAAGTAAGTGCCTGCTCTCTCTAGAAGAGTCTGGGGGCCTCCAGGCTGCCCCCCTTGTCAGGAAGTGCCTGTCAAGTCTAGCTGAAGTCCCTTCTTCGGTATCAGCTCCGGTTTGGGGTTTAAGGAGCCCCTTTCTTCCAGAAGGTGATGGTGGCCATAGCTTCTGCCCTCTAGGGACCTTGGCTGAATGGAGGACAGACTGGCCTCAGGGTCCTCCAGCTGAGGGGAGACAGAGCCCTGCCTTTGGGCCCTGGTCTAGGGGGCAAGGAAAGAGTCACGCGCTCCCCAGGCCAGATGCACAAATCACTTGAGCTTGGGGGTTGGAGACCAGCCTGGGAAAATAGCAAGACCTTGTCTCTACTAAAAATCAAAAAAAATTAGCCAGGTGTGGTGGTCCCGGCTACTCAGGAGGCTGAGGCAGGCAGATTTCTTGAGCCTTGGAGAGTGATGCTGCAGTGAGCTATGATTGCACCACTGCATTCCAACACAGGCAACAGAGCAAGACCCTGTCTCAAAAGAAAAGAAATCAGGGAAACTGCTGGTGGCTGGGCAGTCCCCAGACACTGGCAGGGCTCAGTCTGGGAGGGACGCTGGAAAGACGAGGGAAGGAAGGAGGCTCTGGAGGAAGGAGGGGGCAAGGCCTGGATCTGTATTTACCTTGGCCTTGGTGGATACTTGGGGGTGGGGAGCGGTCCTCTTCTCACACAGGCTGCTTCCTACTGGATAATCAAGCCTTAAAAACAAACAGCAACAAAAAACCTAAATAAAACCCTGAAATGCATGTGTTGAGTGCCTGTGATGTTCCAGGTCTGAAGAGCCATCCTCGCTGCTGAGGATAATGGTCCTGTGCTCCCATGGGACCCCTCTCCAGGCGTGGTCTTTTCTCCCACCTTCCTCTCCCAGCTCCATACCTCCTCCATCTCTTCAGATCCCCCACCCCACCCTCCTGCCCACTTCTGAGAGTTGGGCCTTGCCTCTTCCCAGAGCAGTCCCCAGTGAGTAGGGGCTGTCGGCCTCCTCCCTTCCCACAGCCTCCTCCCACCTACATGCCTTCCTGTCCCTGTGGAAGCTGGAGGGATCCTTCCTACTCCACACCAGCTCCTCCCTGGCTCTGGATCCCAGCCTCCCATCTTCCTTGGGGACTTCATTCCATTGACTACTCACTCTGTCTCCCCGCATCTTCAACTTCTCCTTCTTGATCTCTTGGCTCCTTCCACTCTGGCTCTCTCATCTTAAAAGAAAAGAAAAAGATTCCCTATACCCTGCATCCTTCTCCAGCTACGATCTCTGATCTCTTCTTTGCAGTCAAACATCTTCAAATTGTTAAACCTACACTTACTGTCTCTACCTCCTCACTGCCCCTCCCCTTTCTCACTTTTTCTGGGCCTGTTCTGGTCTTCCTCTCCTTCTGAGAGAAGGCTGCCCTTGCCAAGGGACCCAGTGACCAATGTGTCACCAAATCCAGAGGACATTTTTCACGCCTTATCTCACTTGACCTCTTGGCAGCATTTGACACTGTTGTCTACTCCCGCTTTGAAACATGTTCTTCACGTGGCCTCTCTGACACTTCTCTCTTCTGCTTTCCCTCCCAGCTCTCTGGCTATCCCTCCCAGTCTGCGTAGAGGGCCTCTGTTCCTGCTGCACCGCTGGGGCTCCATCGGGTCCTCCTCTAACTTTGCTACAAGCTCTCTGGACTGTCTCAGCTGCTCCTGTGACCTCAGTCACCACCTCTACCCTGATGTCCCCCAGATCTGCATTTCCAGCCGGGTCTCTCTCTTCATACCCATGGAGTGTTTGCCCAGTGCCCATAGCCCTCTCTCTCTCTCAACATGCCCACCACCCAACACCTGCTCCTCCAGTGGGGTCTCCCCCGTCCCATGAAGGCACTCATGGCACCTTCATCCATCCAATGCCCAAACCAGAAATAGAGAAGTTGTTCTCCTTCCTAGTTCCCGTTTCCAGTTAATCACCGAGCCCTACTTCCTGCGGTGTTTTCCAACCCATCCACTCCTCTTCCCTGCTGCCACCACCCTGGGCCAGGCCACAGTCATCTGTCGTCTGAGCTATTGTGGAGCTTTCTTGGTCTTTCTGCTGAGTCTTATCTCCTTTGATCTATTCTGTGTACTTCCCCAAGTGGTCCTGAGATGCAAATTGGACTGTGTCATTTCCTCTCTTAGAACTCCACAATTGGCCAGGTGCGGTGGCTCACGCCTGTAATCCCAGCACTTTGGGAGGCCGAGGCAGGTGGATCACTTGAGGTCAGGAGTTCAAGACCAGCCTGGCCAACATGGTGAAACCCCGTCTCTACTAAAAATACAAAACTTAGCCGGGCGTGGTGGTAGGCACCTGTAATCCCAGCTACTCGGGAGGCTGAGGCACGAGAATCTCTTGAACCCAGGAGGCGGAGGTTGCAGTGAGCCAACACCACTGCACTCCAGCCTGGGCGACAGAGTGAGACTCCGTCTCAAAAAAAAAAAGAACTCTACAATGACTCCCCATTGCCTTTGGGATCATGTTCACAGTGCCTGAGAATGCTACTCAAGGCCCCTGGGTCTGGCCCTCTCTGGTTTTTCCACTGCCCCCTTCACTTTAGGCCACACCATCCAGAACTGCTGGCCGTTCTGGGCTGCCTCGACGGCCACATTCCCACTGCTTGCACATCCTGCTTCCTCTGCCTGGGGCACCCCGACCCCTGTCCAGTTACCTCCTCCAAGAAGTCTTCACTGATCCCTCCACTTTGGTTGTGCGGAAGGCTTCTTGGGACTCTCCCCGACCCCTTGAGTACACTGTCATGGCCTCGTCCATCCCGTCACCACTGTGTCATGTTCTGTGTTGTTAATTCCTTGGGACCTGGATTATTCATTTCTGGTTTTACAATAAACCTGGCTGAGTGTAGGTGTCTGAAGTGAATATAGCCCAGAGAGGTCAGGTGACAACCTCTTTTCTGCTGTGAGATGCCCTGCCATCTTTCCTACCCCCATCATATCCCCATCTCTCTGGCCTGGCCTCCCAGCAGCTGTCCCTCCAGGGACATGTTGGACATGTCGAGAGAGAGAGCCGTGGACACTGGGCAAACGCCCAGTGGGTATGAAGAGAGAGACCTCAGCTGGATCCAGGGACATCCCCAGAGAATCTGGAGCTGAGCTGATGGCCGATCCTCTCCACCCCACTGCTGGAGAGTTACCAAGCTACAGGGACCTTAACCATCACTGAGTTGTCCCCGACCTTTGTGTGTGTTTCTGACAGGGAAATTGAGGCCCAGAGCATTAGTAGGGCCCGGTGGTCCAGGTGGTCTTGGGCTCAGGTCCTGCGCTTATGACTTTGAACAAGTCATACCTTTCTTTTCTCATTTGAATAACAGCTTTATTGAGATATAATTCACATACAGTAAAATTCCTCCTTTTAAAGTGTTCAGTTCAGAGGATTTTAGTGTATTCACAGAGCTCTGCAGTCACCACAGTATACGCCTCTGAACCGCCCTCTCCTTATCAGGGTGATGATGGTACGGTTCCATGGGGTCACTGTGAGAACTCATTAAGAACATGCATTTAGAGGGCTTGGCACAGTGTCTGGCCAATAGGAAGCCTTTGGCCAGCAGGAGCAGTTATGGTTATTACTTCAGGTCACCACATGAGAGCCACCTCCCCAGCAGAGCTTTCCCCCTCCTGCCCTGTGGCCGCTTCTGGACAGTGACTTGAGGAGGTATAAATGTGGAGAAGGCGGTGATTGCAGTTGTTTAAAAGCCCTGAGCTGGCTAATAATTGAGTCAGCTGCAACTGCTCCCATCACCTAAGCCAGTGATTCTCAAAGTGTGGTCCCCATAACAGCAGCAATAGTATCACCAGGGACCTTTGTAGAAAGGCATATTTTCCACTTCAAACTTACTGAATCAGACACTGTAGGAATAGGTCCCAGAAATCAGTATTTTAACAAGCCCTCCAGGTGACTCTGACACCCACCGTAGTTTGAAAACCACAAATCTAAGCAAACCATTCACTTTTTCATCTCTAATCCTCTTGCTCCCTCCTGAACGAGTGGGATAGTCATGGGATGGGGAGATGGGGGAAATGGAGAGGAAAGGTTGGATAAGCCTTGTGATCAGACCAGCTGGGGAGAGCCAGCCAGGCAACACCCGCCTGTCTCATTCTGCCTCCTGGGCTGGGCAGGGAGAAAGAACATGGGCCACAACTTGCAGGCAGACATGATGGGCAAAGATGTCCTAGAAAGTGGCCGCTAGTCTGGCCTGTCTGCTGGGGAGATTAGAGAGGGCCCAGGCCAGCCAGCACCCATGTTTCATCTATATTTGTATAGATGGAGAAACTGAGGTCCCAGAGGGGGCCAGAGAGAATCCTTAGAAAGTCCTTTGTTGGATGAATGAAGCCACACCCTAGTTGTGGCAGGCATGAGACCCCAGCTAAGGGGCTCCTTCACCTTGTCTCCTCTACCCCTGACCTCCAGATACTGATCTCTCTTCTGCTGTCCCTGTGTGAGGACCACCCCCACTCCAGGAAGGCCAAGGCAGCTTGAGGGTCAGCCTGAGCTGGGGTTCTAGCTGCAGCTCTGCCACTGATTCACTGTGTGATCCTGAACAAGTCTATCCCTCCCTGAGCTCTATTTCCTCAGCTGGAAGATATGGATAATTATTCAGGTGCCTGGAACACAGGATCTTTTCTTTTTTTGAGATACAGAGTCTGGCTCTGTCCCCCAAGCTAGAATGCAGTGGCGAGATCACAGCTCACTGTAGCCTCAACCTCCCTGGCTCAAGCGATCTTCCCACCTCAGCCTCCCGAGTAGCTGGGACCACAGATGCACACCCCCATGCCTGGCTAATTTTTGTTTTGATTTTTTTTGTAGAGACAGCATCTCACAATGTTGCCCAGGCTGGTCTTGACCTCCTGGACTCAAGCAATCCTCCCACCTTGGACTCCCAAATGTTGGGATTACAGGCATGAGCCACCGCGCCTCGTCCCAGGATGTTTTCTATTAGTCCAAGTATATCCCTTCAAATGTAATGAGAGTATCAAGGGTATAGAAACTCTTAGCCAGTGGGTTAAAGCAGGGAGAAGTGAAGTTTGGGGGCTTTTTAAGCAGCGTCCGCCAAATGGAGATGGTCAAGGTCAGAGGCGTTACTTTTTAGGAAAGACATGGGGCAGCCAGAGGAGTCAGGGATGGATGTGCTTTGGGGACCTCTTCAGTGGGTACAAACTGGAGGCTTTGGCTTGGTAACATGGTGTTTTGATGTTTGGTTACAGTGAACTCCTGCTATTCATTTACTTAGTCTTTCAATAGTGCTGTGAAATCAATCAAGCAATCGGTCAGTCAGAATAAGGGGCAAGAGAGTGGAGATGAGGCCATTCTTTCAGAGAGGGGATGGCTGGGGAGGCCCCTCCAAAGAAGTGGCATTGGAACAGACCTGGGTGAGGCAGAGGAAACAGTAAAGCAGGTTCAAAGCCTGGAGGTGGAAATATGTTAGGTGTGTTCCAGGACTGGCAAGGAGGCCAGAATAAG
This sequence comes from Homo sapiens, assembly GCF_000001405.40. Taxonomy (NCBI): domain Eukaryota; kingdom Metazoa; phylum Chordata; class Mammalia; order Primates; family Hominidae; genus Homo; species Homo sapiens. The sequence goes on from NC_000001.11 coordinate 40,813,102, forward strand.
TGGGGTGCAGTGAGCCAGCAGGAGAGTGAAGAAGGTCAAGTTTGGAGGCGGGGGTGGAGGCACAGACCTTGCAGGGCCTTGTTGTCAGTGCCGAGGAGTTGGACTTTCCCTCTCTAAGTGCGATGGAAGTCCGACGAGAGTTTTGTGGAGAGCGATGGTTTCCAGCTGTGCATTGTGGGAAGATGACCCTGGCTGCGTTGAAGGGAGTGGTCACATTCAGGCACAGTGGAGGCAGGGAGGCCAGGTAGGTGCCAGATGGTGGCGGCTTGGTTGGGATGGTGCGACCTGGCCTGCCCAGGGATAGATTCTGAAGGTAGAGCCAATGGAATTTGCTCAGAAGGGGATGTGCAGGGGGAGGGAAAGGAAGAATGAAGGAGCCTGAGCCCTGGGGGAGCCGTGGTGCCGTTACTGAGATGGGTAGGCTGGAGGTGAGGAGGACTTGAGGACAAATTGAGAACTGGTGTTTGGAGGTGTTGGGTTTGAGAGGCCACCAGACATCCAAGAAGAGTCATTGAGCAGGCATTTGGACACACGAGCTGGACACCTGGGAGAGGCTGCCACATCCTCACTCCTGCTAAATGGCAGAGGCGACTGTGGTCAAGGGGTGGGGCAGGATCCAAAGTGGGCTTTTCTTGTTTTTGTTTTTGTTTTTGTTTTTGTTTTTGAGACGGAGTCTCACTCTGTCGCCCAGGCTGGAGTGCAGTGGCGCAATCTTGGCTCACTGCAAGCTCTGCCTCCTGGGTTCATGCCATTGTCCTGCCTCAGCCTCCCGAGTAGCTGGGACTACAGGCATCCGCCAGCAAGCCCAGCTGATTTCTTGTATTTTTAATAGAGACAGGGTTTCACCGTGTTAGTCAGGATGGTCTCGATCTCCTGACCTTGTGATCTGCCCACCTCGGCCTCCCAAAGTACTGGGATTACAGGCGTGAGCCACTGCGCCCGGCCTTTTTTTTTTTTTTTTTTTTTTTTGAGATGATGTCTTGCTCTTGTTGCCCAGACTGGAGTGCAATGGTGCCATCTTGGCTCACTGCAACCTCCGCCTCCCAAGTTCAAGTGATTCTCCTCCCTCAGCCTCCTGAGTAGCTGGGATTACAGGCGCCTACCAACACGCCTGGCTAACTTTTGTATTTTTAGTAGAGGCGGGGTTTCACGATGTTGGCCAGGCTGGTCTGTAACTCCTGACCTCAGGCTATCCACCCACCTCGGCCTCCCAAAGTGCTGGGATTACAGGCATGAGCCACCGCACCCAGCCTGCATTTTAAATTTTATATTAGTTTGTTATTACCGAAACAACCCATGTTTGTTCCAAACAATATATTAGGAAATACTGGCTGGGCGAGTGGCTTACATTGCCAGCTCTGGGAGGCAGAGGCGGGAGGATCACTTGAGCCCAGGAGTTTGAGACCAGCCTGGGCAACATAGTTCAACCCCATCTCTACAAAAAATTTAAAAATTAGCCGGGTGTGGTGTCATGTGCCTGTGGTCTCAGCTACTCAGGAGGCTGAGGTAGGAGGATGGCTTGAGCTCAGGAGGTCAAGGCTACAGTGAGTCGTGATCATGCTACTGCACTCCAGCCTGGTTGACAGAGTGAGACCCTGTCTCAAAAAAAAACAAAACAAAACAAAAAATAGAAAATACAGATAAGCAGAAAGCAAAACAAAAGCCAAATCACTTAATTTTACCACCCATAGATAAGCCTTGCTGACTCTGGGTACGTGTGTAAAAACCATCTCTGTTTCAAACATTGGGATCACATTGCCGTTAAGGTTTTATAATCTGCTTTCCTTTTTTTTTAAATTGTGAAGTGGAAATTTTATAGATGTGTAATTACTGACATGGCAAGAAAAGTGTTAATGATGGCCAGGCTTGGTGGCTCACGCCTGTAATCCCAGCACTTTGGGAGGCCGAGGCAGGTGGATCACGAGGTCAGGAGATCAAGACCATCCTGGCCAACATGGTGCAACCCCGTCTCTACTAAAAATACAAAAATTAGCTGGGCACGGTGGCATGTGCCTGTAGCCCCAGCTACTCGGGAGGCTGAGGCAGCAGAATCGCTTGAACCCGGGAGGCGGAGGTTGCAGTGAGCCGAGATCACACCACTGCACTTCAGCCTGGTAACAGGATGAGACTCCATCTCAAAAAAAAAAAAAAGCAAAAGGAAAAAGAAAAGTGTTAATGAAACATTCAAGAAGAAGTCCCCAGAGTGGCCCACTGCTGCCTGAGCTTCTGAGGTCAGCTGAGAAACGGGACTGGAGGGTGTCTGTCAAGGCCGGGGTAAAGTCTTAAAAAGTCCTGGCTGTGGCCATTCCCCGAGGAGAGGGCTGCATGAGATAACCTCATGAAGGACCCTTCTGGTCCTAAACCCTGCTTCAGCTGCAGTCCCGATGCAGGTACATGTGGCCGCTGCCTTTTTTGTGATTAATTATTGAACATGAGGAGCTGGTGCTCTTCTCTTCTGTTCTCCCGTACCCCGTGTTTTTGCTGACTCAGCTCTGGTCTGGAACTGGCCGAGGAATAAGCTCTTCTCGAACTCATTCACTCATAACACTTTACCGACATCTGCCACCTACCTTCTCAAACCAGGGGTATTTGCTGGGATACACTTGCCCCCCAAAAAGGTCAGGAACCCCTGTCCAGGAGGTGTAAGTGAGCCAGGGCAGTGCCACGCCCTTTGCATGTCTTCCTTCCATAGCCCCCACTTCATAGATAACGAGATGGCTCAGAGAAGGCAGGTGACAGTCTCAAAACCACACACACAAGCAGGACTGGGATCCAAACTCAGGTCTCTCTGACCCCGAGCTGCTGTCCTTAAGGTCACCACGAAACATGAATATAAATAAAGCCACATAGAAGGTGACTTGGGCCACACATAGGGAGGCAAGCATCGGGAGTTGGCAGTTCTGAAGGGGGGATAGTGGGGTGCGGGAATCAGAGGCTCCGTAGAGCTTTGTAGCATTTGTGTTCCTGTAGGCGTGGACGATGAGCAGAGTCTCGCAGGCACAGACATGAGGTGTTCTGCGTAGCATGCACCGTGCCAGCAACGGTGCAGAGGTGGGGAGACTGGGGACATCTGGGAAGGCTGGCGGGTCAGTACACAGAGATGTATTTCCAGAGAAGCCTGTTCCCTCCGGAGTCTCCTCCAGGGTGTGTGCATGTTCAGCACACCCCCATCCTAAAGAGGGGTGCTCCTGGAGGCCACCTCATTCGCCTCTGCTGTGTCTGCAGCCTGTGACCTCTCACCTCGCTCTCCTTCACCCATCCACATACCGCAAGGCCACCAGTTTCTCTCCTCATGCCCTTGGTCCTCTTCCCATCCACTGGGAGGTTGGGAACCCTGGCTCTAATCTCAGCTCTGTCCTGGGCACACTGGGCGACAAAGGGTGAGTCCTTCTTCCTCTTCGGGCCTGTTTCCTCGTGGTGCACTGGGGGATGAGGGAAGTATTGGATGTGCTAGGGTCTAAAGTTCCTTCCATTTCTATGTCTCTGGTTCTGGGCCACTCTGTAGTTTCATGCTGTCTGCAGGGAAGTTCCTGGCCTCGATGGCCCAGCTCCACACTGCCCAATTCCCCTCCCTACATCCTCTCCCTGCTGCATCATTCCTTCTCTACCTGTCCTCCATGATCCTCTTTCCTTTTCTAGCTGTCTCGTTACTTAATTCCACGAAGGCAGGGGCAGTTGTCCCAATTCTGCAGATGAGGCCAGGCTCCTGCCACTTTGGAGTGCATAAGAAAGAAGGTCCCTCCTTCATCCGCTGACCTTCCCTGAGCCCTGGGCTGACCTCTGGGGCACTTCTCCCAAGACATCTTAAAACCAAGCTGGGGCCAAGGCCACCACTTGTGGATGGCTAGACCTGGAGGAACCCTGAGTCAGTCTATTTCCACTGCCAGACCTGCTACTCACAGATGAGTGACTACCTCTCTGAGCTGCAGCCTGCAGCAGGGGGCAATTGAGATAGTTGTGAGGTCCAGTAGCTTGGGGCTTGAGGGCTGCTGCCTTTGGTGCCCAGCACAGAGCTGTAACTCCAGGGAATTCCAATTCTGATTTCCACATAATTTTCTGAAAATAATGTTCTCCTCTCTTGGCTCTGTAACCCCCTGCCAGGGGCACCTTGGCTGTCCTGTCCCTCCAACAATCTAACCCTCTCCCTCATGTTGTAATTGCAGATTTTTGCTGGTCTTCAGCTGCCTGGTGCTGTCTGTGCTGTCCACTATCCAGGAGCACCAGGAACTTGCCAACGAGTGTCTCCTCATCTTGGTAAGTGCTGGGAGTCCGGGACTGAGGGGGGCTGTGTGAGGTAGCACCTCTGGGCTGGGAGTCCGGGACTGAGGGGGGCTGTGTGAGGTAGCACCTCTGGGCTGGGAGTCCGGGACTGAAGGGGGCTGTGTGAGGTAGCACCTCTGGGCTGGGAGTCCGGGACTGAGGGGGGCCGTGTGAGGTGGCACCTCTGGGCTGAGGGCTGAAGGTGGAAAGAGGCTTCTCATACCATGGCTCAGAGAGCAGCTTGCTGTGCTGTGTTCCCTCAGCTGTGGCTGCCCCTCTCTGGGCATCATCTCCACTTTATAGCAAGTGTTGGGGGACCTCCTGCCTCTATGCAAGGGCTTATGATGGGTCCAGAATAGAAGTGAGTAGGCTCCACCCCTTCTCAGGACAAAATCTGCAAACTCCACGTGTGGTGGATTTTAGGTCAGTTTTTGCCTAAACACAAAACACCAAATGGAAGCCCCTCAGAGGGAGACAGCTGACAGCCAGCAACCCCTTTTGTCACCAGGTCAGAGTTAGGGAGTCTGAGACAGCTGGGACAGGGAGGGCCTGTTGAGGAGCAGAAAAATCCGATCAGTTCATGGGGACCGGAAGGGGAGGACACACTAGGGCTTTTAGTCTTCTTGCAGGAGGCGGAGGGGGCCACCTGCCCTCCGGAATCGTCAAGTCCAGGAAACTCCAGGAGAGGGGTCCGAGGAGGCCCTGGTCCCCCTAACCCAGGGACTCTTGGCTGGGTCCGCGCTGTGACCTGGGCCCCAGTTCTGGAGACTGAGGACCAGAACTCAGGCCCCTGGTCCCACAGGAATTCGTGATGATCGTGGTTTTCGGCTTGGAGTACATCGTCCGGGTCTGGTCCGCCGGATGCTGCTGCCGCTACCGAGGATGGCAGGGTCGCTTCCGCTTTGCCAGAAAGCCCTTCTGTGTCATCGGTAATGAGGCGCGCCCCGCCCGACCTGACCCCTGACCCCAGGAGCCAGGGTGACGCCTTTACTCCCAATCCCGACTCTGACCCTGGAGACCCGCACAGATTCAGCGGACCCTCCCCCTCCCTCCCCAGTCCCCTGCCACATCCCCAGAAGTCCCCGCCTCCGGGTCCGTGCGCGGGGTAGGCTGGCTGTGATCTCGCCGCCCCCGCCCCTGCAGACTTCATCGTGTTCGTGGCCTCGGTGGCCGTCATCGCCGCGGGTACCCAGGGCAACATCTTCGCCACGTCCGCGCTGCGCAGCATGCGCTTCCTGCAGATCCTGCGCATGGTGCGCATGGACCGCCGCGGCGGCACCTGGAAGCTGCTGGGCTCAGTGGTCTACGCGCATAGCAAGGTGAGGCCTGCAAGCCGCGCGCGGAGACCCGAGGGCGTGTCTGGGGCACGACCAGAGCGGGCAGGGCGGAGAGGGCGAGGTCAGAGGGGCTGTCTCCGTGCTGGGAAGGGGTGTGGCCTGCGGGGGTTGGAGCCCTAGCAGGAGGCGAGGTCTAAGCGGGTGGGGCGAAGTGGATTCTGAATTAGGTAGGGGCGGGCCTAGGAGTCCGGACCGGATCAGGGGGCGGGGCCGGAGAGGCGGGGCTTGAGGGTTTCCCCTGGATGCTTCTGGGTTTGAAGGGACCACTCGTACCACAAAGTGGGCAGCTGAGGTGGGACTTGAGGGTGGGGCTGGAGCGGGGCTAGGGTGGGCCCCAGGTGGAAGCCTGAAAGTGGGACTTGGGGGACGGGGCAAGGTAGGCCGGGTGCTGGAGTCCTGAGCCTGGAACCTGGAGACTCAAGGCAGGCGGGGTGAGGGTGGGGGTGGGAATGGGGGTCGGGGTAGGGGGAGTGCTGGCGGTTTCGCGAAGGCCGGGGCAGGGTCGCCGTGATGGGAGGAGCTGAGAAAGAAAAGCGAGCCTGGGACTCCGGGAGATGGGGGACCTTTATCCCTTTCCCGTGTGGAAGCCCCCCACATCTCCCAGGCAGGCACAGCGCTCCTCACCGCGCCCCTCCGCCTGCCCCGCAGGAGCTGATCACCGCCTGGTACATCGGGTTCCTGGTGCTCATCTTCGCCTCCTTCCTGGTCTACCTGGCTGAGAAGGACGCCAACTCCGACTTCTCCTCCTACGCCGACTCGCTCTGGTGGGGGACGGTGCGTGAGGGTCTTTGTAGGGCTGCCCTTCTCCCTGGGATCCTCCCTGGGAACTTCCCGAGGTCTGCCCATCGTGACTCCTGACTCAGGGTTGAGCGGGCCTGCCCCTGCCCTCTCACTAGAGCTGGGACCCCCCTGAGACCAGCCCCAATGCTAACCCCCCAACCTGCTCTGGTGGACCTGCCTCTGTCCCCAGCTAGCCCCGCACATCAAGACCTTGTGACTATACCCCTTTCCCCTGACCAGCCCAGGAGAGGGAGAATCCATCTATGACCCTAACCAGCCCCCGTGGGTGACCAGGGGCCCCTTCCCTCATGATCAGGCTCCTACCTGCCTGTACCCCCAACAAGCCGTAGGTGGCCCCCGTGACCAGTCCTGCCTGTAACCTGTTTGTGTCTCCAGATTACATTGACAACCATCGGCTATGGTGACAAGACACCGCACACATGGCTGGGCAGGGTCCTGGCTGCTGGCTTCGCCTTACTGGGCATCTCTTTCTTTGCCCTGCCTGCCGTGAGTTGCCTCCTGCTCAGTTGGTGGGGGAGGCTGAGGGTGGGACCTGCTCACCCCTGTCACACATTTGCCTGGGGAGCCTGGGGTACCTCAGAGGGGCAAGGATGGGGACACCCTTGCAGCCTCTTACTGCCCCACCACTGCCAGCACATTCCCCCAACCATGCCCTATCCCTCTAGGGCATCCTAGGCTCCGGCTTTGCCCTGAAGGTCCAGGAGCAGCACCGGCAGAAGCACTTCGAGAAGCGGAGGATGCCGGCAGCCAACCTCATCCAGGTACAAGATGCCCGGGAAGAAGCCCTAGGAGCAGGGCCGTGTGACTGCACTGGTGTGTCAACCCTGTGTGCTGACCCATGTCCCCAGCCCAACTGTGACACCACTTTGAAGCTCAAAAGGGCTATGTGACTTTCCTGGAGCCACATGCCAAGTCACACACAGAGCCAGGATGCTCACTGACAGTGCCAGAAACTTCCCCCTGCACCAAATGCCTGGTTTAGGGCTAGCCAGAACTGCCCTATTGCCCAACTCCAGCCCAACTTCACAGGGCCTGGGGAGGGGCGGAGCCCAGACAGGAGCTGGGAGGCCTCTGGTGGAGACCCACTGCTGCCCCCATCAGCTGTGCAGCAGTAAGCCTGCCCCACTTCCAGCACCTTCATTCATTCATTCATTCCACAAGCACTCACACAAATGAAGAGAGGATGGTGCAGACAGGGCTTTTAGGAATCTCAACATTTAGCAGGTGGGTGGGCCTGCAAAGTTGAGCTGGGCAAGGAGACAGAAGGAACAGCCAGAGGGGTGGGTAGGAAGCCAGGAGTGTGTGGTCTCAGTTTCCCTCTGTGCCATGGCGTGTTGTGACTGTGTGTGGGCTGAGGCCAGGGCTCTGATTTTCTGTGACCCTGGGACTAGGCCTTGGCTTTTTCTAGTCAGGGGTGTGTGTAAGGGAACTCCTTGCAGGAAATGCTTCAGGGAATACTGGCCCAGTCCACCTCTGCCTGCTCCCTAGCCTGTCACCCTCTGAGCCCCAAACCCAAGCCTCACTCAGCCCTTCCTTATCTCTCCTCCCCAGGGTAGAACCCTCCTCCCTGTCGCTGTTATCTCCAGCCACCAGCTCAGCCTTTTCTTCTTAGCGTCCCTTGGGGCACAATGGCCACTGTCCCCTGGGAGCTGGCCTTCTGAGGGGCATTGTAGGGGCAGGCGGCTGGCACTGTCCATGCCAAGAGACAGCTAGTATTGTGGTGCCCATAATTAATGAGACAGCTCTGGCAGCTGCTCCCCAGCCCATGCCAGGGGCCTAGGCAAGCAGGAAGTAAAAATATTCCTGTCTTAGGAGGGTGCCTGGCTGGTGAGGTCAGCAGTGGCAGCCCCTTAAGGACAAGAGGCATCCAAAGAAGGGAGGCGTCCAGGGCCCAGCTCTGCCTTGTCCTGCCTAGCAGCCTCCATGCCTCCCTGCTCTCACTGATGGCCACACTCACAGTCCCTCCCTGGCTCTTCCTACGTGGAGGGAGAGGGACAGTCTCTCCTCCTGTCTGACTTTCATCCCTCCTGCTGCAGAGGAAGCTCGGCAAGCCCATGGATGCTGAGGGGTTGGTAGGTAATGCTTTTCCTCCCCTCTCAGTCCTTAGTATTCCCATGGGCAGTGACAGGCAGCTGGGAAAGATGGAGTGGCATTGCTAGTAATAATAATGACATTCTGCAAACATTTGCAAAGCACCCACATGTGCCAGACACTATATTTGCACTGAGAATGCAGCGGTAACAAAGACACAGCTTGCAGTCTAGGGGGAGAGAAAGTTATCAGTCAAATACACAATGAATAGGTATTCATCAAATGTGATAAGGGGAATAACAGGAGTGTTTAACAGAGGAACCTGGCATGAAGTGCCTACTATATACCAGGCACTGAGCTTGGCATTTAATATACAACTGTTCATTTAATCCTCACAACACCCTGGTAGGCAAGTAGTGTTACATGCGTTTTACAGGTGAAGAAACTGAGGTCCTGAAGCTTTACTTAATTTGTCCTCACTAATAAGGGGCAGAGCTGGGATTGGAAACCCATGTCTGCCTGACAACAAAACTCCAGCTCTTAACCTCTATGCTCTATGGCCCCTGGCTCTGACATTGATCTGCTTTGTCCCCTCGGGGAAGTCGTTTCTCCCTAGGCCTTACTTTCTTGGCTGCCCCTGTCAGTGGCTGTGGAATTGGAACTGGCCTCTGGCTCTGGGTAACCCACAACTGGACCAAGGACTGGGTTCTTTCAGGGGAGAGGGCTGGTGGGGACTGAGAGGCCTCACTGATGCCCCATCCCCCACGTCCCCCATACCACCAGGCTGCCTGGCGCCTGTACTCCACCGATATGAGCCGGGCCTACCTGACAGCCACCTGGTACTACTATGACAGTATCCTCCCATCCTTCAGGTAGGTCCTGCTGGGGGTGGGGGTGGGTGGGGGGCTGGCAGCAATGCCCTTTGAGGACAAGTGGCTGAGACTCAACCCTGGAGGGTGGAAAGGGGGTGATGGCTCCCAGGGGAGCACCCTGGGCTGGCTCTGCAGATCCTATGTAATTCAGAGCCTGGAGTGTCCTTTATTCCACTCTGCTATGCCCAGGGAAGAGGTGGATACTGGACATAGGGCATTGGTGAAGCCCTGCCCCATGGCTGAACCCCGGCCCTGGAGTGCTGGCAGTGTGCATGCTCACCCATAGGTGATGCCATCTAGGGCAGTGATACAGCCAGCTCGTCTCCCCTCAGTCCTGAATGGGGGACAGAGTTAGTGGATATTGCAGCTGGTTGGAGAAAGTGTGGGATGGGCAGAAACATGTGTTCCAGACTTAGGTGCATGCTCCTACCCTGAACCCCCATGTAGGAATATGTGCCCACTTTTACTGGGCCAGTCAGCAGCCTCAGGGCCCAGAAGTGGGTCTGCCCCACTGGCCCGGGCCAGGCTAAGACTGCATGGGGGTGGCACCAGGAGAGGGATTATTAATAGCATCACAAAGGTGCGTGTGGCCAGGTGCCTGGCTAGGCCCTCAGGCAGGAATGAAAACCATGGAGCCCAGCTCGGTCCCACGGGCAGGCGGGCATCAAGCTTGTGGCTGGGGCAGGATGCTGTGCTCAGCGCTTCTGCGGGTGCCTTTTTTGCCTCATTAGTTCTCCAGGAGAAGCTGTTGCGCGATTCCACTCGCCTCTGCACCTGGCTTCCCCATCCCTGCGCCCTCCCAGCCCTAGGGGCTTCCCAGGGGAGAAGCAGGAGAGAAGGGGCCGGGAAGAGGGGCTCCCAGCATCACACTGGTGCCCCCACATCTCTCCACCCGGCAGAGGCAAGCTCCTACCTCAGAGTGGGAAGGTGACTAGATTAGAAGAGAGGCCTTTTGTTCAAGGCTGGGCATTCGAGAGTGGGGCAGGGCTGATTTGTAAGAAATACAATGTGTATGAGGGAAGATCTGGGGGTGGGGGTGGTCAGATGGTCTAGGACCTCTGCCCAGAGGAACAGAGCCTAGTCTGGAGATTCTGGATCCACTGGGCATCTGCTCCCTGGACCTTAGTTTGGTCATCCATGCAATGGGAAGGCAGGCAGGAGAGAGGGAAGATACCCTCCTTGGCTCATGGCAGCAGAAAATGGCCTGGAGAGTTAGGAAGAAGCCACGGTCCCGAATCTAGTCTTCAAAAACCCAGTGGCAAGAGTGAGTGCTGGAGGGGAAGGAAGCTGGGCTAGCCACCCTGTCACACCGCCCTCCTCACCTCCATCTCCCCTTAAAATCCAGAGTCAGATCTGGAGGGAAAGGATGTCAGGGCCACTGCTGGCCTCTCTGAGGAGGCACGGCACGTTCAGGCAGTCAGCTTGATGGGCTGAGAGTAAGCTCCTTGCACGGCTGCCCTTGAGCTGTGCCAGCCTTCACATCCATGCTTGGCATCCCTGGGAACTGGGGGTAGAAAGGGAGTGGGGAAGGCCAGTCTCCCACTGTCCACCCTGTCCTATTCTGGCCGGGCTGTCAGTGAACACCTCTAGAGCAGCAGGACCTGGCAAGATCTGAGCTCAGGAGCTCTGTGCCCACTGGGTGAGGGGGGTGGTGCCATGGCCCTGCCTGCCACTGATGGTGCCCTCTCCTGCAGAGAGCTGGCCCTCTTGTTTGAGCACGTGCAACGGGCCCGCAATGGGGGCCTACGGCCCCTGGAGGTGCGGCGGGCGCCGGTACCCGACGGAGCACCCTCCCGTTACCCGCCCGTTGCCACCTGCCACCGGCCGGGCAGCACCTCCTTCTGCCCTGGGGAAAGGTAGGGGCCCCGTGGGGCTGCCACCTCCTCTTGCTTCTCCTCCTCTTCTTCCATTCTCTGTCTTCATCCTCTCTCAGACCTGCCTTCAGCCACTTCGTGGGTGTCTGGGCCTGTTTGGGGGACTCCTAGGCCGTCAGAGGGCCAGACAGGTACAGACTGAGGGCCTCTCTGGAGGGGTCAGGCTGGACTCACCTTTTTGTCCTGTGGGGCTCTGAGGGTCTGAGTGGGAGAGATGTCCATGCCATCCTTTCCCATCATCTCCTCCGTTCATGGCATTGTCCTCTTTCTTTCTCTGTTCCCACGTCCCCCTTACTCCTCCATCCCTGCACCCCCATCCCTCCCGGGAAGCTGGACAGAGGAGGAGGCCACTGGCCACAGGTGCTTACGGCTCAGGTAATCGTGGGCACCATCCTGGGGTGTGAGGGCAGGGAACCCCCTCCCCCGGCATGTTGCTCTAGGAGGGACTTAGTACTGAACTCGCCTCTTGGGAACGAGATGCCAGCTGGAAAGAGAGCTCTGTGATTAAGACCTCTGTAGGACCTGCGTAAACTCAGCCAGTGACTAATGTTCCTTTCTTGTGCAGCCCTTGTCTGCAACTTTGCTAATCCCAGAGGGTCCTCTTGGGGTTCTGTTTCCTTCCTTACTGAGGTACACTTTGGCGCTCCCAGCCATCTCTTTCCCCTTGAACTGTCTCTCCTGAAGCTTTTTACAAAATCTTGAAAGAAGAACAAAGAACAAACAATGCTTACCCCCACATAAACGTTCCTAAAGAGAAGAATTTCAGGCATGTTTGGATAAGGGAAGCCCGTCCACTCACAGCATGGGAAAGTGGCTGCTCTTGTAGAGGTTTAGCTTTGAGGTCAGGGGTTAAATCCCCCTCATTCTTTTTCCCTCGTCCTTTACCCATCTCTTTGTTTTGTCTCATCTTCACACATCACCCCTGAACCAGCCAAATGGACATCTGGCCTTTGAGCTTCAATGTCATTCTGAGCCCCAGGCCCAGAACAAAGAATAGGAGAAGAGGCGAGCCGCCCAGTGATCAGCAGGGGAGGCGTGGTGGAAGCTCGCCTCTGCCACCCGATGCTGTGTGTCCTGGAGGAAGCCTTCAGTCATTCTGAACCTGTGTGTCCTGGCGGAAAATCGGCAGTGTTTAGGCTGATTGGGGCTCTGGGTACTCTAGAGTTTCTGGGCTGAAAAGGCCTAGGGAGGAGTTTTGGTGCAGAGGATGCAGGGAGCAGCCTCCCTTCCTTGTTCTCAGTGAGGGCACTTCTGGGCCAGGGGCTGAACAGGAAGTGGGTGGAGAGGGAGAGTCCCTCCAGGTCTGGGGCTGGAGGGAGGGGAAGCGTGACTGCCAGGCCAGGCTGAGAGCTCCCTGGGAGAGTAGGGCCCCTCTCAGATTCTCTGCCCGAAGGTCCCTCATTGTTACCTTCATCCCTACCAAACATAGTTTCCAGGCGGAAACTCAAGAGTTTTTGTATCCCAGCAATCCTGTCCAGGACCTGAGCCAGGGCTCTCTGTGCTTCCAGTTCACTCTGGTCTCATTTTGACTGAATAGGAAGGCAAGGGGAATGGACATTAGCCTGGGGCCTAGTACCTGTACACTCCCCACGGCTCCTTTGGTCCCTGACACCCCCAGGGCCCAGGAACAGATTACTACTAAGGGCTTGGCTGTCACTGACTCCCAGCCTCGTATCTATCTGCCTGGGAGGGGACTTGGCGAGTGTCTGGGACACAGGGTGATGGTAGTAAAGTGGCCCTTTCTCCCAGGGACCCCAGGGGGCTGAGCCATGGTTTGTAGATCAGTCACCAGGCTCAGGCCCAATGGCCGTATCGTTAATCGTGGCTGTCTAGACCGCCAGCCAGGACACCCTTCCTCCACCAAAAACACACACACATATACACACTCGGTTGGCCACACCTCTGGTGGTGCTTGGGGATGGACCTGGGCCAAGTGTGCCCACAGGAAGTGGTGCTAAAGGAGCAGGATTTCCTGGGGGATGGCATTGCCAGGGCCAGCACCTCTCCTCTTCAGGGTTTTGCAATGAGTTTATCAAACCATGGTCTCCAGACCTCCTGCATCAGCATCCCATGGAGTGTTTGTTCAAAATGCAGATACCTGGACCTGTCTCCAAGCCCACAGGATCAGAATCTCTGGAGAAGAGACACAGCCTTCTGCATATGTAACATGGTCCCCAGGGGATCCCTATGCAAAGTGTGAGAACATCTACGTTCTGGTGATGGGGCTGGAGGATGATTTAGGTGGGGGTCCTTCTTTCCCACCAGCTACCGGAGGCCGGCCCCATCCCAGCAGCTCCCCACACTCTGCCCACAGCCCCTTTCCCGCTAACCTCTGTTCGTGTCTTATTCTCAAACTTCCAGCCAGATGTTTAATAATAAACGGAGTTTCTTTCGGATCCACGCCAGCTGGAGACCGAGGTACCCCCTCGCCTGCTCCTCCTGTCCCCACTCCTCCTTGCCCCACCCAATTTGGGGGCTGGAGAGGGGACAGGATGGGCCAAGGACAAGGTGCATGTGCCTGCCGCCTGCCGTCTGCCTTGGGTGCCCAGTGAACCCCTCGCCTTTCTGGGATGCCTCTGCTAGGTCTGGGGCATGGGCCCAGGGTGCCAGGAGGGGCACGTGCAGGAGCCTTAAGGATGTGTGCTGGCTCTGCTGCTGATGCCCTCTGTGATCTTGGCCAAATTGCTTCCCTTCTTGGACCTCAGTTTTCCGTCTGTGGAATGGGCAGATTGAACTAGAGGACCTCTGAGGGTCCTTCTCACTCTGACTTTTGCCAGGCCTTGGGCTTAGCTTTCTGTCTCCCTGCTACCCACCTGGGGACCTAGCAGATGCCTGAAGGAGCTGGGTTTGGCACCTTTGCCAGCTCCAGGACCCCAGCTCTTTTAGCGGCATCTCCATGGCATTCCTTGGTACCTGCCCTGTGCCAGGACTTGCTCTGTGCACTAGGGACACGGTGATGAATAAAACATCGTCCTCGGAGAGTTGCAAAGAGTAATTGCAGCTCAGTGTGATGAGTGCAACAAAGGGAGGAAGCACAGGGGCTGTGGAGCCCGGGTCAGGCACACAACCCAGAGGAAGCCCTAAAAGCAGTGGGTTTCAGGGAGGGCATTCCAGGCAGTGAAGCAGCACGGACCCAAGCAAGGAGGCAAGAGGGAGCACAGTGTGGGGAAAAAAGCTGGCAGCCCAGTTTGGCCCCCCTGAGACTGGACATCAGAGCGAAGGTTGGGGGCAGAGCTGGGTCATGCAGAACCTAAAAGCCCAGTGTGAGCTTCACCCTGTTGGCATGCTTGGCAGCCTGAGCTCATGGAGTCCTGGGTTTCCAAAGGTGCCTCTGGGGCCCTGTGGGCTGGGGTCCCGGAGCTAGGAGATGAGTGGCAGGGCTCCTGGCTGCCCATGTGTGCTTCTGCTGAGAGGTGTTTTTTCCTAGAAACGTGGGTTCTGGACCACAATCTAGCTACTACCCACTATTCGTGTGTCCTTGGGCAAATCACCTGACCCCTTTGCACCTCAGTTTCCTCAGATGTAAAATGCAGATGTAAATAGGGTCTGCTTCCACTAAAACTGGACCTGGCTCCAATAAATATTGGCCTTATTTGATTTGGTATGTTCAGCAGTTAAGATCTTATTTACCTTAAAAGAAAATAGCTTAGAAACCATGGCTGTGGGCAATGGTTTGAGCTGAAGCGTTGAGCTAAGGAGTCTCTGGGTCAGGCCCGCCATTTTGCAAGCCTCCTTTGGCTGTGGAGGGTGTGGACAGGAAGGACACAGCCATGGCAGAGGCCAGTGGCGAGGCTGTTTCCATAGTCCCTGAAGAGGGGCTGTATGTGGCTTCAGAAGTCGTAGGCTGCCTCTGTTCCCCCAGTGAGAGTGGCCCTGGGAGGGCAGATCATGAGGCCCTAAAGAAAGTCCTTGTGGAAGTGAGTTCAAGGGGTTGGGACCAGCAGGGCAGCCTGGGCAGAGCTCGGCCTCCCCAGCAGGGCAGCCACAGTCCAGCCCACCCCATCTTTCTCCCAGGTACCAACAGATCCTTAGCCAGAGTTTCTTGACCTTGGCATCATTGACATTAGATAATTCTTTGTGGATTGCGACTATCACATGCATGGTAGGATGTGGAACAGCACCCTTGGCCTCTACCTACTAGATGTCTACCTACTAGACATTGCCACATGTCCCCTGAGTGGGGGAACTTGCTCCAGTTGAGAACCACTGCTCTACACCCTATCCTGATTGCTTGACCCAGAAAAAGAACATAGACTCTGAAGTCAGAGAAGGCTGGGTTCCAGTTCTTGCTCCATCTCATAGGAGCTCTGTGACCTTGGCCAAATCATCTCACCTCTTTCCGTGTATATAAAATAGGGATGGTAAAGACCGCCCACCACACACAGTGGCTGAGAGAACTGAAAGAACTAAGGCAGCCTGATGGGACCCTGCACGTTCTGGGAGCCTGGGAGGGGAAAGAGCTTTTTGGTGCCCACTGTGTGCCAGGTTTTCTTCCACCTTCTTTTAGCTTTCAGACTTAGAGGAGCTGATATGAGCCATTTTCTGGGCCCTGCCCAAGGAACTGGAATCCAGACCCACTCCTGGGAAAACAGTGCCTTCTTGCATTAAAAAGGAGCTCAGGGCCTCTGGCTGGCTGGAAACTTACAGAACCCCACAAACCAGACTGGAAGCTTCCTCAACCATCACAGAATCAGAGCTGGAAAGGGACCTTTCAAGGTCTCTAGTGCAAGCCCTCGAACTCCTTCCTCCATAAGTCCTGCTGAGTGCAAGCTCAGCCTTGCTTGCATTACTTCTTTTGACAGGGAGGTTGCCCTCTTCTCCAGAACGCCATTGGAGCCTTATGTGGTGGGCGCAGTGATGTGGAGTTCCAGGCCCTTGGCCAAAGTGTCAGGGCCTTCTCCACTCTCCTCTCTTCCTCTCCCTCTTGGAGGAGTGGAGGACAGGAGAAGGGGTTGCACGGACCGGGCAGGGTGGAGGGTGCTTGCCAGCATGAGGGAGCCTGCAGGAATGGCTCTGCAGAGGAAAGTTTGGGAGAGCCAACCTCAAACTTTGATTGGAATCTTTGGGATGTGTCGATGGAGTCCTGGGCCAGTGGAGAGCATGCTGGATAGTGGGAACTGGGAACTGTCCCTGTCCTTTTGATACCCTCAGGGCCCCCATCCTTGACCTATTAACCTCTCCCCTCTGGGCAGAGGCCGCCACCCCTAAGGATGGCCCTACATCCTGGCCACCTTCCTGAAGGTGCCCCTGGTTTCGAGGTCTCCCTCACTTCAGCACCTTGGCTCCCTCCCCTCCACCCCATGCCCTGGGCATGGGAGACCCCAGTTCCCACCCAATACCGAAACCAGAATCTCTTCTCTGCTCAACCCTTGATCTGAAAGCCTCTGAGAGTAGGTGACACGGTGTCCTCCCCCAACTCCTGCCCCACTTCAGGTCTCCTCTAAGGCTGGCTGGTACTCTCTTGATCTGGGGCCCCAGACATTTGGGGTGGGTCCCCCTGAACCCGAACCTGAACCTGTCGGAATCTCTAGTGGCAAACCACAGCAGGGGAGGCAGCGATGACGTCACAGGGCATGGGATGGAGGACATTTGCATAGGTCCTACCCCAACAGCCATAACATTGTCCTTGAACCTCTTGGACACAGAGTTACTCTACCAGATCATGGTTAACCAGGGCTTGTCCTGGGGAATGAGGCCTCTGCTAACTTGTTTTCCTCCAACGTTTGGGGAACGTGGTGGGGAGTTGGATGCGGGAAGGGAAGTCTGAGTGCATGTGTAGACGTGCACGTACACGTTCACATGCACACAGACTGTGTAAATGCTGTTGAACCGGGAGCTCAGTAGGCAGTATCGGGGGGTAGATCTTTAGCGGGGATCCAAGACCACACAGGCAGGATGTCAATCAAGGTGGGCTGAACTTAGGTAGGAGAGACCACAGAAGAACATGTTATCAAATAGAGACCCTCACTGAGAGGGCAGGCACCAGGCATGGCCTGGGCATACATGTGGGCCCAGCAGCTAGAACCATGGGGCCGAGGCCCTCAGTAGGCCATCACGCTGCACACCTCCAGGGCACCACTGCATGGAAGTCTGTGTGATGGAGTCCTTATTTTGCAGTGCACTGCCTGCACAGCTGTACGAGGCCCTAAAACCCTGACCAGTGTGGGATCAGATAGCCGCAGCAGTGGGGAGTGGAGGAAAATATGAAATGACACATGTAAACACACGCCAACATATGTACACACACCAGTGCCTGTACACCCACACTCGCACATGTGTGTGCACAAGGTGTGTGTGTGCATGCGCGCACACACACACACCCTCGACTCCACACAGCCTGCCCCTGTGTACAGTGAGGACTGGAGGCCTACCTCCGTGTGCATGGCCAGGTGAGCTTCCGACCCTCAGCAGCCTGTCTGTGCCCAAAGGGGTCGCCACCCCCACCCTCTGCCCACTCACCTGCGCCAGGCCCAGCTCCCACATCCTCCTGTCTGTGTCTCTGACTTTGGATTTCTCCCACTCCTTCCACTCTGACATCTGTCTCCTGTGCACCCCTTATCTGTCCGGGTGATGAGGGGTGGGATGTGGGTGGTGGGGAGAGGATCTGCTTCGACTGACCCCGAATCAGCCTCTTGTAGGAGTGAGGGCCTCCCTTACCACATCCTTGTTCCATCCCAAGAAGTCTCCGCTTGGCGGGGAATCCAGACCTAATAGCCACCCCCAAGTCCTAAGTCAGCTTTGTCCCCACTCACCCCCACCCCCAGCTCTGGCTAACTTGGCTCTCTCCCAACCTGCCTGCCCTGCCAGCAGCCGGATGGGCATCAAAGACCGCATCCGCATGGGCAGCTCCCAGCGGCGGACGGGTCCTTCCAAGCAGCATCTGGCACCTCCAACAATGCCCACCTCCCCAAGCAGCGAGCAGGTGGGTGAGGCCACCAGCCCCACCAAGGTGCAAAAGAGCTGGAGCTTCAATGACCGCACCCGCTTCCGGGCATCTCTGAGACTCAAACCCCGCACCTCTGCTGAGGGTAAGCCCCCGGGGGGCTGAGTCCGATCGAGGGCCGGCTGAGGGTGGCAGGGCGGGGACAGTCTGGGCTGGGAGCAGAAAGATCTGGCTCGCGTCTCAGCTCTGGAACTGATGGACCGTCTTTGGGCTCTGGTCTTCTCATCTGTAAAATGGGCATTATAATATTTGCTCTGCTATACAATGGACATCAGACTGTTTGGGAATCACGTGGAGGGTGGCATTTCATAGGGGTTAGCAGCACAGGCTTTGGAGCGAGACTGCCTGGATTTGCATCCTGGCTTTGTCACTTATCTTAGGCGAGTGACCTAATTTCTCTGGGCCTCATTCTCCTCATTCATAAAATGGGAACAATAATAGCATCCACTTCCTAGGATTATTGTGAGGATTAAATGAGATAATCCATGGAAGGTGAACAGAAGACTTTTGGGAATATAGGAGGTGCTCAACAAATAGCTAAACACAAATGTACTTTGGAAGCGGCAGGAATGCATCCTTGATGAGCCCTGACTATGCACTGCCCAGCACTGGCTTATCTCATTTACTTCTCCCAGTGACCCTGGAAAGTAGGTTCTGTTTTTGTCCCCACTTTACAGACGTGGGCACTGAGATCTCTCAGCTTGTGAGTGGCAGAGGTGCTCTCCTCAAGCAGGTCTATTCAGCTCCAAAGCCCAGGCCTTCTTCCTACCCCTCTTCACCCAGCCCAGGCTGCAAGTATGAGACTGTGGACCATGCTGATGTCACTTTTCTGAGTTTTGGCTCTGCTGGAGACTTCCACTGTGATTTAGGCAGGAGACTGCCCCTTTCCATGCCTCAGTGTCCTCTTCAGGAAAATGAGAGGGTTGGACCAAGCCCCCTGGAAGACTTCTCCCAGCTTTGACATACTTTAGGCCCCTGGGTGGGGAGAGGTGGGGTGAGTGCACAAGGATGGGGGATGGGGACAGCTCCCCCTTTGGCCTTGGAGGGAGGGGACCCAGCCATGCTGTTTCTGCCTGTGCTGTGTCAGCCCTCAAGATGCTGCTGGCTGACACCTCAGAGTTTACAGAACCCCATAGACCAGTCTTTGAGAGGTGCTGCCCATAGAAGCCTGGGCACAGCTGGTGCCCAGGACCTCCCTTCCCTGTCCTGGAAGCTGTCCGGGCTCTTGCCACTGCTCCTGTGAGGCAAGGACAGCATCACCTCTCTGCGCAACACAGGGCACTAGCCTCAGAGAAGCTTCTCTCATTCAGGGAAGAATGGTTTGTTTTAAGGGCCTTCCCTAGTAGCAGAGCTGGGCCTGGGAGCCAGCCACTTGGGTGTCCTTCCATCTTAGCTGAAGGAGAAGACTGTGTGCATGATTACATGCAGTGCCATCAAACCCCTTATCTCTGGGGCTCACTGTTCTGCAAGGTGGAACCAGTGGGGCTTCCTCCAGGGCTTTGTGCAACAAACTTGCCCTGGACTAGGCCAGCTGTGCCCTAAAGCAGCTCCCACCTACCCACCAGGCAGATGTTTACCCTGACTGGCCACCGGGGCAGATGGGCATGCAACACACTGGGGCTTTCCACCCTGGGGAGGGCAGTGAGACACAGGAGCCCCAAGAAGGTTCTGAGCCCTTTCTGGGCCTCTGTCTTCCTATTGGACACTCTACTGGTGGTTTGGCATACAAGGGTCGGATGGGAGGTTGGGAGTGGCCCCTTTGGTGGGCCACTTGCCCCATACCTGCCTTTTCAGATGCCCCCTCAGAGGAAGTAGCAGAGGAGAAGAGCTACCAGTGTGAGCTCACGGTGGACGACATCATGCCTGCTGTGAAGACAGTCATCCGCTCCATCAGGTAAGACTGAGGCCTGAGGCGAGCACCCCCCTCCGTGTGCCACCCACTGCTGCTCCCCATCTGGGCGGGTGGATCACTTGAGGTCAGGAGTTTGAGACCAGCCTGGCCAACATGGTGAAACCCCGTCTCTACTAAAAATACAAAAAATTAGCCAGACGTGGTGGTGGATGCCTGTAATCCCAGCTACTTGGGAGGCTGAGGCAGGAGAATCACTTGAACCTGGGAGGCAGAGGTTGCATTAAGCCAAGATAGTGCCATTGCACTCCAGCCTGAGCAACAAGAGTGAAACTGTATAAAAAAAAAAAATGTATTTTTTATGGTGGGTCTTGGTCAAAAAAGTTTGAAAGCCCCTGCTCTACTGGCTGTCTCCATGCCTCAAAAATTAAGCAGGGACCAGGGTCTCCTAGGCCACGGCCTAGGCATGGATCTGGCCTCCAAGCTCCTTGGTGTGCCGTCCTGGCCTAGTCTCCATCTCCAGCCTGCAGCTCTAGCTCCAGAAACCCCCTCAACCTCCAAGTTTTCTGGGCTCCCCACTTTCTTCCCTGGCTGATACACCTGCCCACAAGCCTCTTTTCTTGTATTCCTTTTAAAATTAGAGTCAGGCTGGGCGTGGTGGCTCATGCCTGTAATCCCACCACTTTGGGAGGCTGAGGCAAGAGAATCACTTGAGGTCAGAAGTTCGAGACCAGCCTGGGCAGCATAGTGAAATCTTGTCTTTGCAAAAAAAAAAAAAAAAAATTAAAAAATTAGCCAGGCATGTTGGTGTGCCCCTGTAGTTCCAGCTACTTGGGAGGCCAAGGTGGAAGGATGGCTTGAGTGCAGGAGTTTGAGGCTGTAGTGAGCCGTGATTGAGCTACTGCACTCCAGCCTGGGTGACAGAGTGACACCTTGTCTCTAAATAGATAAATAGATAAAATCAGAGTCAGCTGGACCTGTCCCCACTACCCCCCACAGTCTGAAGCCTCTGCTTACCCCCTTTTCACCCATCCATTCTCTCCCCTCCATGTGCCCAGTGTCAAGGACATAGTACCTGACCTGCCACCTGACCCAAGCCAGCTCTCCTGGGCCACCCCACCGACCTCTCAGCCAGCATGCCCCAAACCTGCTCCTCTTCCTGGGCTGGTTCCCATTTCAGGCAGTGGCACCACCATCCACTTGGTCACCCAAGCCATGGGAGTCATCCTGGACTCAGACCAGGGAGACTTTCAGCCCCACCTCCTGAACTGCTCCAAGCTCTTCCATATCTCCTCCCCCATCCCCTAAAGCTAGTTTCCCTGCCCACGCCTCTGCCCCTCCAGGGTATTCTCCACACAGGCTGGCAGAGCTGGCATGCTAAAGCAGAGTAACTGAGCCGGGAACAGTGGGTCACACCTGTAGTCCCAGCACTTTGGGAGGCTGAGACGGGCAGATCGCTTGAGTCCAGGAGTTCGAGACCAGCCTGGGCAGCATAGTGGGACCCCCATCTCTTTAAAAAATAAAAATTAAAAAAAAAAAAAACAGAGTTATTGATGTGCCTGCCCCACAATGTCCCATTGCCCAGTCTCTGCCAGAGATGCAGGGCTCTTCAAAGCACACCCCAGCCTCCTTCTCGAGGCTGATCTCCTGTCTTCTCATACCATGGCACCCTGAACCCCATCCTCCACCCCGGCTGGTTGATTAACCCCTTTCCATCTCATCCCTGTTTCTGCTACTTGGAGGTAGGGGAGGCTGGGAGACGCAGCAGAGGCTGTTCATGGTGGCCAAGCAGGAGGTGCCCTGGTGCTGGACAAGGGGATAGCAAAGAGATGGAGAGGGTGCTGGGAAAGAATCCCTGCTCTAACAGGACACTCCCTCTGAGCCCCCTCCCCCAACAGGATTCTCAAGTTCCTGGTGGCCAAAAGGAAATTCAAGGAGACACTGCGACCGTACGACGTGAAGGACGTCATTGAGCAGTACTCAGCAGGCCACCTGGACATGCTGGGCCGGATCAAGAGCCTGCAAACTCGGTGGGTGCACCGGGCCTGTTGGGAGGCAGGGGCAGGGAGGCAGCGACCCCAGCCCTGAATGAAGTCTGAGGCCAACCCCCGAGCACCCCCAAGGGCTCACTGCTGCAGCTGAGTTTCTAGACTGAGGAGGTCCCTGGCTTGCAGTGCCAGCCTGAGGCCAGACCCAGCACCCGTCCCAAGGCTGAGAAACAACCCAACCATAGTTTCTCTGTGAGGTGGGTCCTCTGTGCAAGCCCTATTGACTCATATGCCTTGGGGGCTTTGTTTAGAATGACTGTTTCCTGGTCCTAAAATAATCAGCCTAAAATAATCACTGACCTCCCATCTCCCAAGAGAATAGGCAAATTGTCCTCACTGCCCACCTCTTGCCTCTGGAATCCTCCCACATCTCTCTGGTAGACCCAGCATTAGGAAGAATCCTCACCCCAAGACCCACATCACCTGCACCTTGCCCTTCTCCTCTTCTGGCCTGCATTTTCACTGTCCACTCATTCATTTAATCACTCGAGAAATAGTCAGTGGGCATTTACTACTTGCCAGCCTGTGGGGATATGGCAGAAAGCGCAGCAGAGTTCCCACACTTATGGAGCTTTCATTCTAGTGGAAGGAGAATAAGTGATAAATAAGTAAAACTGGAATATGTCAGACAACGATAAATACTAAGGAGGAAAATAAGGGTCAGGCTGTTAGGGTTTGCAATTTTAAATAGGTGAGAAGGTTCTAGAGGGAACAGCAAGTGCCAAGGACTTGAGAGGGGCAAGTGGCTGGAGTGTTGGCTTCAGCACAGCAGGGAGCCTGGTGTGGCTGCACTGGAGTGAGAGGTAGGAGGTGAGGTCAGAGGGCTAACGGCACTCAGAGAGTGTAAAGTCCTGTAGGCCCCTGCAAAGACGTTGGTGTTCATCCAGGATGAGCTGCAAGCATTGGAGGGTTTTGTGCAAACGACTGACAAGATCTGAATTGTCTTTTAAAAGGATCACCCTGGGTGCTGTGTTGAGGATGGACTTAGCGGAGTGAGGGTGGACACAGGTAGACCAATGAGAACCTGCTTCAGACTTCCACGCATGAGACCGTGGGGACTTGGAACAGAGTGGCAGCTGCAGAGGTGGGACAAGTGGTCAGATTCTAGATACATTTTGTAGGCAAAGTTGACAGGGTTTTCTGATGGGGTGTTAAGAGAAAGAAGAGAGTCAAGGATGAAGCTAAGGTTTTTGGCTTCAGCAAGAGGAAAAATCGAGTTGCCATTTGTTGACATGGAGAAGGCAATGAATGGAGCAAGTTTCGGTCAGGAGATTTGGGAGGTGCCGGGTTTGTGATGCCTATCTGACATTCAAGTGGAGTGTTGATCTGGCAGTTGAATAGAGAAGTGTGGAGTGCAGAGCAGAAGTACAGGATGGAGATGAAGATTTGGTGTCGAAAGTGTAGAGGAATTGAAAATTATGGATCTGAAGACATCAACTAGTGAGTGGAGTAAATAGAGAATAGAGGTCCCAAGAGTGAGCCTTGGATCCTGCAGTGTTTCCAGGTTGCAGAGATAGAGGAGGAACTAACAAAGGAGACTGTAAAGGAGAGGTCAGGGAAGTAGGAAAAGAACTGGGAGAGGGTGGTGTTTCAAATGAAGAAAGGGTTTGCTGGAAGAAGGGGTGATCAGATGTGTTGAGTGCTGCTAGTAAGTCAAGTAAAATGAGGACAGGAGTTGATCAATGGATTTAGCAACATGGGGTTATTTGGGAGCTTGACAACAGTAGTTTTGGTGAAATGGCAGGGGTGAAAGCCTGACTGGAGTAGGTTTAAGAGAGAAGGGGAGGAAAGGAATTGGAGGTAGAGGATAGAGATAACACTTTCAAGAATTTTGCTGCAAAGGAGAGCAGAAAAATAAGGTGAGGTCAGTTCTAGCCTTGTCCACCCACCTTAAAAGTCACATTCCCACGTGTCTCCACTCCTCCCATCCTCTTTCCCCTTTTCCCCAATCCATCTTTTCTTTTCTTTTCTTTTCTTTTTTTTTTTTTTGAGACAGTATCTTGCTCTGTCGCCCAGGCTGGAGTGCAGTGGTGCAATCACAGCGCACTGCAGCCTCGACCTCTCCGGCTCAAGTGATCTTCCTGCCTCAGCCTCCTAAGTAGCTGGGACCACAGGCATGAGCTACCATGTCCAGCTAATTTTTAAAAAATTATTTTTGTAGAGAGGAGGGCTTGCTATGTTGCCAAGTCTGTCTCGAATTCCTGGGCTCAAGTGATACCTCCCTACCTAGCCTCCCCAAATGCTGGGATTATAGGCATGCGCCACTGCGCTGGGCCTCCTAGTCCACTATTTCCATTCCTCTTTCACCAGACGGTTGTTTTACTTGTCAGGTTCGTGTGTGGTGCCTTTGCTTGGCCAGTGGAGAACCACCAGAGCAGGGGCCAGTCCCTCCACCCTCAACTCAGCCTCCATCTGGCAGGGCAATGGCCCCTTCCCTCAGATTGCCTGTCCCCTCGTGGTGCCTTCTCCTTCATCAGGCAACCTATAATTCTTGTGGAAGGGAGGGACGGCGTGTCCCCGGGCCCTCTGATGGTTCCCTTACCCTTAGGGTGGACCAAATTGTGGGTCGGGGGCCCGGGGACAGGAAGGCCCGGGAGAAGGGCGACAAGGGGCCCTCCGACGCGGAGGTGGTGGATGAAATCAGCATGATGGGACGCGTGGTCAAGGTGGAGAAGCAGGTGAGTGTAGGATGGGGTGGCGGAGCTGGCCATACCAAGAAGCTCTGGGGGCCGCGGTGACATGGGGAGGATGCGTTTCCCACAGCCACAGCCCAAGGGTCCCCGAGAAGACCTAAGAGCCCCCTCCCCGGCCGAAGCCCCCGCCCTCGCCGCCAGACATTCCCATAAACCCGCCCTCTCCTGCTAAGCCCCGCCCCCAGGCTGCATAAGCCCGCCCATAACCTTCAGATAAGCCTACCTCAGTTCCCCCTACTCCATTTGACCCCGCCTCTCAGTTGTCGCTGTAGCTCGCGGACTATCCCCATCGGTCACACCTAACCACCCCCCGGGTTATGCACCAGTGCCCAGCTTCGCCCCTCGCTCTAGCCAAGCTCCACCTTTCCAGGCGGGATTTGTGCTTCCCAGATAAGCCCCGCCCACTCCACCGGCTAGGGTCCGCCCCGAGACCCAAGCCCCGCCCCCGGCCGCGTCCCCTCCGGTCCCAGGCCCTGCTTCCCAGCTGCGCCCCGTCCCCAGGTGCAGTCCATCGAGCACAAGCTGGACCTGCTGTTGGGCTTCTATTCGCGCTGCCTGCGCTCTGGCACCTCGGCCAGCCTGGGCGCCGTGCAAGTGCCGCTGTTCGACCCCGACATCACCTCCGACTACCACAGCCCTGTGGACCACGAGGACATCTCCGTCTCCGCACAGACGCTCAGCATCTCCCGCTCGGTCAGCACCAACATGGACTGAGGGACTTCTCAGAGGCAGGGCAGCACACGGCCAGCCCCGCGGCCTGGCGCTCCGACTGCCCTCTGAGGCCTCCGGACTCCTCTCGTACTTGAACTCACTCCCTCACGGGGAGAGAGACCACACGCAGTATTGAGCTGCCTGAGTGGGCGTGGTACCTGCTGTGGGTGCCAGCGCCCCTTCCCCACCTCAGGAGCGTGAGATGCCAGGTCGCACAGAGGGCAGCAGCAGCGGCCGTCCCGCGGCCTCTGGGCCCCCCAGTGCCCTGCCCACTCCATCAAGGCCCTATGTGGCCCACCTGGCAGGGGCACAGCCCCGGGAGTGGGAGCGGGCGCTGGGGCCCTGGGCCCTGACCCAGCTTCCAGCTATGCAAGGTGAGGTCTCTGGCCCACCCTTCGGACACAGCAGGGAAGCCCTCCCGCCAAGTCCCCGCCCCACTTGGGGGTGGGCCAAGGTGCCCCCACAGGTACCCACAAAGCACAGGACCCTGCCACAAGGCAGGTGGACACCATATATGCAAACCATGTTAAATATGCAACTTTGGGGACCCCCATGGGGTCTCTCTGTCCCTCCCCCATTGGGAGCTGGGCCCCCAGCAGTAGCTGGTCTCAGGCTGCTTGGCCACCACCCTGTCCCTATTCTTTGGCTTATCACTCCTTCCCCTCCCAGCATGGGGCCTGTTTCTCCCCTGCCCTCTCCTAAGGGCAATGCCTGGGCCTTTCTTCCCATTTGCAAGTGTCAGCTCCCAGGGGCTCCCTCCTCCTGCTGGGTGGCCACTCCCCTCCTTGGCCCTCCAGACACCACTCATAGTCAGCACAGGTTTCTGTATCCTCCCCAAAACTCCCAGACAGTGCTTCGTGGACGATCGCACAAACATAGCCTTTTAGTTTCTCCAGACAGGAAGAAAGCCTCTCACACTTAAACATGCAATGACGTGACACACTTGGAGACATGAGTGCAGAGCCACTCAGCCGCTCCTGGGCCTCTGCAGCAGATGCCAGTGGACTGGCCTTGCAGGGTGACGACCACTAAGAGGAAGACCCCCAACTCCATCTGAGCAGGAGAAGGAGCTTTGAAGTAACCCGAGAGCTCTCCAGGCCCCACCCAGACCTTTACCCGCTCCCCTTCTTCAAGAAGATCTCCTCCTCTCTGGTCCAGGAGCCCTAACCCACTGCCTCTGCCTGTCCCCAAGGGCCCGCCTCCGTGTCTCCACAGCACAACTCGGGCCCAGGCCTGACACCACTGGAGAGACCCCAGGCCCACTTCTAGCCAGGCCTGTGCCTTCCTAGTCACTCTAACTCCCAGAGAGAATAAGAATGCATGTAATAGCTATACCAACCGCGCATCCGGCTTTCACATGCACTGTCTCCCCTCCCTCCACACCCCACTTCTTCACTTCAATTGGCAGCGCCACATCCAGGCGTCAGCCCCCATTCACTCCAGGAACACTTTCTTATCCCCACCCCTTTGCTCCTCTTCTGCAAAGCCAATGCAGGTGGCAGGAAGGTGAGGGGTAGTGGACCAATGGCAACCCTCTGTGGGAACAAGGGGCCGAGGCCACGCTGCCTGCATCTCGTGCTGGGGACCTGCATGCGCCAGCACCAGGGCTTGGACTGGATCTTACTCAGTCCATGGTGCCCAGCCTCTGCCCCAACATGCCCTCTGCATGTGACCGTCATGCCCTGGATGGAGCCACTCCTGGCTCACCCCACCTGCACTGCACTGTCCCCAGAGAGCCACCCCTCCACCCACTCAGAGACAGCTGTGGAGAGGGCCAGGAGAATGGGATTACCCTATGACCAAGGAGACATGGGAAGAAGCCCTCCTTCCTTCCACGATCGAGGTTCCGCCATCAACTCGGTTCTCGGATATGCAAGTACCTCACTTTGTTAACTTATTAACTTATTGGTTTCATTAAAGTTTTCAAGAGGAGGTGATTGTTCTTGGTTTTGTTCAGTGGCTGTGAGGTGAGGCTCCTGGTTTGGGGGTGGGGACAAGGAGATTTGGATTGGTCGGGACTCTTTGTTGTATACAACAAAAACCCAACCCTGTATGGTTTAAACAGACAAACAAAAAGAAACTTATTGGCACAGAGAACTGAGAAGTCCAGGGGATAGATTTGGTTTCATGCACAGTGAGATCTAGATGCTTAAACGTGTCAGGACTCTTGTTTCCTGTAAGCCTTCCTTTCTGGCAGGCTGACCTCTCATGGTGACCAGTAAAATTGGCCACCACTTTCCTAATAGTTTGCATCAGTCAAGATCAAGTCAGGAAGGCAGAAACAACACTAAGTTTTTCAGCAAAAGAATTTATTATAGGTAATGGGTTACACTGATGCAGGAGGGCTGAAAGAACAAAAGAGAATTTTCTCTAGGTGATTCTGAGATAGCCTAGAGAAAATAACTGCAGAAAGCAGTTACCACTCCCAGAGCTGCAAGAGTATAGGAAACAGGTTGGGGTTATCAGAACCCACAAGCTTGCGGAGAGGGAGCCCGGTAGTGTTGGGGCTCAGAGATCTGAAAAGGAGGTACTCCCTGGCTGGTGCTAGTACCTCTTAGGGGACACAATGAGGCTTGTCTGGGAGTATGGGAAAAAAGCCGAAGTCTGGGATCAACTGTTGCAACCTGGCTGTTGCTGATAAGGATAGGAAGCAAAGGAAGAGAGAAGTCTCCACTTTTCTTGCCTTCCAGTCTTCCCCTAGTACCCCTTATTGTCAAAGCTAGCGAACAAAGGAGTGATGTGGTTTGCAGAGTCCCAGCCCCAGTATCACAGAGTTAGAAGGCTGCACTTGGAACTGAAAGACAATAACATGGGCACGGGCCACCCCTTTGGACACACAGTTTCCACAAACATCAATCCATACATACTTGAACCGCCATATAACGACAGTAGCTTCCACCTAGTAAGATGAAACTGTCCTTTATACAAATGAAGACACTCTAGTCCCCTCCCCCTAAATGGGAAAAACACAACGTCCCACGGTTCAACAGATGCATCCATCTCCAGGGGTTAGTCACTGAATCCATATTTGGGTTAAGTATTCCTCTAATTCAGGCACAATTCCACCTACAACTAAACACTAAAGTAAAGTTGATCATCACATACAATGTTTATATAAAATATGGGAGAAAGGAGGAGGGAGGAAAAAATAATATGTACAGTGCACACACACACATGCACACACATCCCAAGCAAGGAAGGAAGTACGCATAGCCGCAATCGACCTCTTTCTGGTATCTCTGGTCACAGTGCCATGGTTGGTATGAATAATTTCCTTATTCCATTGCCCTTCCATGTTTCCTTTGCCCTCAGCCAACACCTCAGCTTTTTAGGGACCTTTTTTTTTTTTTTTTTTTGAGACAGAGTCTCGCTTGGTTGCCAGGCTGGAATGTAGCGGTGCGATCTCAGCTCACTGCAACTTCCACCTCCTGGGTTCAAGCGATTCTCCTGCCTTAGCCTCCCAAGTAGCTGGGACTACAGGCATGTGCCACCACACCCAGCTAATTTTTGTATTTTTAGTAGAGATGGGGTTTCACCATGTTGGCCAGGATGGTCTTGATCTCCTGATCTCGTGATCCACCTGCCTTGTCCTCCCAAAGTGCTGGGATTACAGGCGTGAGCCACCGTGCCTGGCCAGGGATCTTTATATGGTGGAGTGACCCAGATAATCATTCCTGAAGGGTCTGAATCCTCAGCGGTCCTGCATGGGTGGGTGTCACAGCTTTTCATTGACTTTTGCTATCATACATGGAAGTACTTATTATAGAAAGGCCTTAGAGAATCCCTTGGGTTCCAGACTTAGTCCTCCTTGCCCTGTTGTGTGGCAGCAACCAATTTCCGCTCGGTAATGAAGATCAGTCATGCAGCCAGTGTATTAACTCTTTATTTTTCCTGCTGGTTGAGTGGCATGAGGAGCCCACAATGGCCTGGTTAAAGTTTAAACCTCCAACGTAATGAAAACTATGTTGCCTCCCTTCCCTTGAAAACTAAGACCTCCAAACTAGCAGAGCTCAATGCTACAGGGACCAGAGGCAGAAGTTTTGTGAGTGGGTGGAGTAGGCTGAATAATAGCCATTCAAATATAGCAAGTTCTAATTTCTGGGACCTGCAAATGTTACATTATAAGGAAAAGGGGCCTTTGCAGATGTGATTAAATTACGGATCATGATATGGGGAGATTATCCGAGACTGTCTGATGGGCCTAAATCCAGTGACAAATGTCTTTTTAAGAGAGTGGCAGAGGGAGATCAAGTCACACAGAAGAGGAGAAGGTGATATGAACATAAAAACAGGGACTGGGGTGATGCTGCCACAAGCCAAGGAATGCCAGCAGCCACAAGAAACTGGAAAAGTCCAGGAATGGATTCTTGCCTAGAGCTCTGAAGGGAGCACAGCCCTGCACACACCTTGATTTGGGCTCAGTGAAACTGATGTTGAACTTCTGGCCTCCAGAACTGTGAGAGAATAAATTTCTGTTGTTTTAAGCAACCAATTTTACAGTAATTTGTTATGGTAACCACAGGAAACTAATACGGCGGATTATTTGGTGTCATAGTGAGAGAAGCCACTCTCACCAGCTCCCTTGGATTCCTGGAACCTTATATCCTGGCTATGTCAATGAGGATAAACATACCTGCTTCATGATGGAAAGGGTCCAGTGGGATCGACCTGGCACCAAGTGGCTAGGTGGACCCTTGCAGAGGGATGATATACTAAGTACTTAGCATTTGTCTTGGCTGGAGGCAGGTTGGACATACAGTGTGGCATTAGTCAGATCAGCCTTGACGAGTTACGTTCATGTTGTTGAACCTGTAAATAGTCTCCATTCTGGCCACCATGACCACATTGTACATAAACATATGGAGAATGCGCTGGAGAGACTAGGGAGAGAGGCTGGCTGACATCCATCCAATGTGCCATCTTGTCCATCGAATTATCAAGAGCTGCCTCTGCCATGGATGACTTTGGGTGAGATTTTACTTGGAATACAAATATCTTCATATTCTGTGTCATTTCTGAAAGTCCATCTACTAGTCTCTCCCAGTTTTTCTTATGGCCAGTCCTCCAGTTCTGTGCTTTCTGAACCCCTGACCATCCAGCCAAACCATTAGCCACTGCCCATAAATCAGTGTAGATCCATACTTCTTGTCATCTCTCAATCAGACAAAATGGACAACCAAATGTACTGAAGGACAGGTAGGATGGAGCCAGGCCTGGGAACTGGGGTGGTGGCAGTGGTGGTGATGTTCCAGGAAAAGGCACAGTATGTGATAGGGTCCAGAGGCACCAGTGAGTGTGGTAGATGAAAGGAACAGAAAGAAATCCCGTGGCTGGTCCCAGACAGCAACGGAGAGAGGGGTGCAAGATGGGACTTTAGAATTAGGGGTCAAAGTTTACAGGATTTCATTAATCATTCCAAAGAGATAGGACTTAGCCATGATAGCAGTGGGGAGACAATAAAAGATTTTTCTCAGGCAGCACACTGGGGTAGATTTGCATTTTAGAATTTTTTTTTTTTCCTGGGATGGAAGATGTATTTGAGGGAGTAAGTGTGGGTGTGGGGAGAGCAGGTAGGAGACTGCTGCAGTCACCCGAGCAGGAGGTGCTGGTAACCCGAACAAGTCCCATGACATTTCACTAATTGAGTTAAATGTCTATTGAGCACCCGCTATATGCCAGACCCTGCCTCAGCACAATATACAGGATGAACAGACACGGGAGAACAAGTTACAGCCCTGAGGTCATCCAGCCCCTGGGGGAGACAGATGCACAATTAACCAATGCACAGCTACTGTTTATCTTCTAAATTTGCCTGGCTCAGCAAGGAGAGTTTGCAGGTGGCTCTGGGAGTCCCCAAACTGTCATCAAATACGGCCTTGACAGCAGATACAATTTTAGCTTGGTGTGTCATTTATCTATTGCTTTGTAACAACTTATTTTAAAACTTAATGGTTTAGGACAGATGTGGTGGCTCATGCCTGTAATCCCAGCACTTTGGGAGGCCGAGGTGGGTGGATCACTTGAGGCCAGGAGTTCAAGACCAGCCTGGCCAACATGATGAGACCCCCATCTCCTAAAAATTACAAAAATTAGCCTGGTATGGTGGCGTGCGCCTGTAGTCCCAGTCACTCAGGAGGCTGAGGCAGAGAATTGCTTGTACCCGGGAGGTGGAGGTTGCAGTGAGCCAAGATCATGCCACTGCACTCCAGCCTGGGCAACAGAGCAAGATTCTGTCTCCAAAACAAACAAACAAACAAACAAAAAACCACCAACAAAAAACCTTAATGGCTTAAAATAACAACTATTTTATTTTATTTACTCTTGATTCTGTGGGTCAGCAATTTGGGGTGAACTCAGCTGAACAGCTCTGCTGGTCTCACCTGGGGTCACTAATGTGCTTGCAATCATCTGGCATCAACAGGGTCTAGATGGCCCAAGAGGGCCTTCCCCACGTGTCTGCAATCTGGTGTGAGTTGGTCTGCAGGCAAGACGGCTCATCTCTGTTCTATGGAGCTTCTCATCCTCCAGTAGATTAGACTGTACTTCTTCATATGGCAAGAGGGCAAAAGCAGAAGCCATCAGGCCTCTGGAGGCCCAGGCTCAGAAGCTGTACCAAGGGGCTCAGCTCACTTTGATGGGTGCTCTGAATACGTTGCGATGTTTACACTCTTGTAGATCTAAAAAAACCCATGCAGTTATTTCTCTATTTAGATAATTTATTTCATGTACTTTTGTTTTTTTGAGAGTGCAGAGTGCAGTGGCCACTGCACTGGGCCATATTTCACGTACTTTTGACAGCTCCAATTGTTAAAACAGTTTCGTTTTCCCTCTGAGAAGCTGAGAGGCACATCTTCCCCTACCACCCACCTCTGTGTATAGCAGGACCGTGATAGCTGCTACCACGGTGTGTTGGTCTGTGTGGGATGGCATAGCAAATATCATGGACTGGAAGGTCTAAACAACAGAAGTGCATGATCACACAGTCAAAGTTCTGGAGGCTGGAAATTCAAGACCAAGTTATCAGCAGGGTTGGTTTCATTCTGAGGCCTCTCTCCTATGATTGTAGAGGCTGCCTTCTTCTGGTATCTTTGCATGATTATCTCTTGTTCTCTATGTACACAGGTCTGAGGTCTCTCTCTGTGTCCTAATAATCTCCTCTTCCTCTTCCTCCTCCTCCTCCTCCTCTTCTTCTTTGTGTTCCTAGTTTTCTTTTTCTTTTCTTTTTTCAAGTTTTATTTTAGGTTTGGGGACACATGTGCTGGTTTGTTACTAAGGTATATTGCATGATGTGCATGATGCTGAGGTTTGGGATACGACAGAACCTATCACCCAGGTAGGGAGCACAGTACCCAACAGGTCATTTTTCAACCCTTGATCCCCTCCCTCCCTCTCCCTTCTTGTGGTCTGCAGTGTCAATTGTTGCCATCTTTATGTCCATGTGTAACTAATGTTTAGTTCCCATTTATAAGTGAGAACATGCAGTATTTGGCTTTCTGTTTCTGCATTAGTTTGCTTAGGATAATAACCTCCAGCTGCTCAAGTTGCTGCAAAGGACATGATTTCCTTCTTTTTATGGCTGCATAGTATTCCATGGTATATACGCACCACATTTTCTTTATCCAGTCCACCATTGATGGATACCTAGGTTGATTCCATGTCTTTGCTATTGTGAAGAGTGCTACAATGAACATACAGTTGCATGTGTTTTTTTGGTAGAATGATTTATTTTCCTTTGGGTATATATCTAGTCATGAGATTGCTGAGTGGAATGGTAGTTTTATATTTAGTTCTCTGAGAACTCTCCAAATTGCTTAACTAATTTACATTCTCACCAAGAATGTATAATCATTCCCTTTCCTCTGTAACCCCGCCAACATCTGTTATTTTTTGACTTTTTAATAATAGCCATTCTGACTAGTGTGAGATGATATCTCATTGTAGTTTACGTTTGCATTTCTCTGATGATTAGTGATGATTGATGCTGAACATTTTTTCATGTTTTTTGGCCACTTGTATATCTTCTTTTGAGAATTGTCTGTTCCTATCCTTTGCTCACTTTTTAATGGGGTTGGTTTTTGCTTGTTGATGTATTTATCGCCTCTTCTTATAAGGATACCAGTAATATTGGATTAGAGCTCACCCTAAAAAACCCATTTTAACTTGATTACCTCTTTAAAGGCCCTATCTCCAAATGCAGTCACATTTTGAGGAACTGAGGGTTAGAACTTCAGCATATGAATTTTGGAGGGATGCAATTCAGCCAATGACACCTGCAACAGGGATTTCACCCACCAACCTGACGCATTTTCTGCTGTAAATGCACAGGATCTGAGAATCACTCGGGTTTGCCCCATCCCAACTGGCAGAGCTGAACAGAGCTATAGACATCATGGAACCAAGTGATTTGAAAACCCTTTTTTGAAGGCCCAGGAACCTTTGCTACAGCATAACCTATTTGGAATCCTAATATACAAAATATAATCAGTGCAATAAAAAATGGGAACCTCCCAGAGGTGGCCTCAATTCTCCCCTTACATACACATTGAGCATGTGCCTAGCATTTTGCTGCAGGCAAAATAGATCTGTCTCTGTGATGTATCCTTTATGTAACTATTGTAGTCGATTGTATTCTTTGTCTGAAAGTCTTCCTTCCTTCCTTGCCATTGCCATGGTTACCCTTGCATGGTGTGTACTTGCCTATCTGTCTTACAGCAGGTTTCCTGGAAACCAATTCCGAGACAGAGAGTGGTGTGCAGAAGGTTTTTAGGGGAGTGTGCTCAGGAGATTCATCTATAAGGAAGGTAGGAGGTAGGATTAGACAGAAGGAGAGGTTGATCTACTATGCGATAGCAACTGAGGTAGCTGCTGATCCTCAGGAGCCCTAGAGCTCATCTATCCCCGAAGAGTTGTGCTAAACTGAAGGAAGAAGGCAGGCCTTTGTTTTCCTTCAAAGGAAACCATCAGCCAATCATTAGCCAATCATGGCCATGACTGTGGGTGAGGCAGTTCCCTGTGGCCAAGGGCAATTCCCAATGAGTGACACAGTTGTGAGCCAGCAGAAGATTCCCAGCAGGCTCTGAAGGGTGGATCTGGGTGGAACCCCATAGCATCCACTCTACCAACCCCCTGACTTTGGGCTTGGCCATGGGATTTATTTTGGCCAATCGAAGGCAGGTAGGAAGGACAGTATGCTTTTTTTCAAGCGGAAGCCATACAGTCATGGCAAAGTTCTTCCACCTCGAGAGCCTCGGATAGCCGTTGTTTCTTCATCCTGGGTCCGGATGCAGGCATGTGGAGCAGACCTGACCTAGACTGAATTCAAGAGTCCAGCCTGGCCCAGCCAGCATCAGCTGAACTGCAGTTGACTTGGAGACTTAGGAGTGTGAAATAATCATTGATTTTGTAGGACACTGAGATTGGGGGTTTGTTTTCTTCATGGCATTATCACGGCAAGACCTGGTTAAGACAGCTAGTAAGGTGGATTTTACTGGAAGCAATGTCATAGAAGACTTACATTATACATCACAGAGGATTTTAAAAATCCTCCTTCAACATCTTTGTTTTTGTCCCAAATGGCTTCTCTGGGCATGAGGCATATCCTCTTCTCTTTCTTTTTTTCCCAAACAGGCTCTAAAATGAGTGGGAGATGTGAAGGATTTCCTGGAAGAGGTGGGAAGACTGCTGTCAAACAGATACCCTGGCAGAAGGATCTGAGGCCTGAGACCCAAGCTGCCCCGCCTGCCCAGAACTCGGATGGGGTCTGCCCTTACTTCCCACTCGCCCCTGCCAGACTTCCCCTAAATCCTCTCCTGGACCCCACAATCTTGCTCCTTCCCCTGGTGTGACTTCAGCTCCTGGAGGACAAGAAACACATCTGTGGCCAGTTCACGGTGGCCCACACCTTTAAACCTCAACACTTTGGGAGGCCAAGGAGGGTGAATCACTTGATACCAGGAGTTCAAGGTTGTAGTGAGCTATGATCGCGCCACTGCACTCCAGCCTAGGTGACAGAGTGAGACCCTGTCTCTAAAAAAGAAAAGATATGCATCTGCTGGGGTCATCACTCTCCCCAAAGCAAGGCTGGGCACACAGGTGATTCGTATATGCTGGCTGGAAGGGAGGGAAGCAGAGCCACCTGGGATTGATCATCTCCCAGTGAGAATACACCCAGTCCCTGTTGTGTGTCCCCACGGCCACAAGGCGTCAGTAAAGACCTTGGCTTGGAGTTGTCTGGAGCCAGGAAAACAGACTGGACTTTGAGGGCAGGACACCTCACCTGAAGGTGCTTTAGTTAGGTTCAGCACATCTGAAAGAGAGAGAGAGAAATAGGGGTGGTAGAACTGAGCAGTTGACAGAAGGGGACTCCAGGACTTGTCTCAGAGAGTAAGGGGCTGTGTTCTCTGCCCTTCATTCACTTATTCTACAATTGTTTGTTCATTTCTAGTACATGCCAAGCACTATTTTAGGTGCCAAGGTCCTAGCAGCTCACTCACAAAGTCCCTGCTCACATAGAGTAGATAGTAGATTACTGTCTAGACAGAAAACAAACAAAAAAAACACGATAATTTCATGGGGTGATAAGTGCCGTGAAGAAAATAAAATGGAAATGGAATAGTGACTGTGTTGCAGGGGGCGTCTTTCAGAGAGATGGTCAGGGAAGCTCAAGGGGAATCCAAAGCCTTCATAAAAAGTCAGAGCTGCCAAGGCTCCCAAGG
This sequence comes from Homo sapiens, assembly GCF_000001405.40. Classification (NCBI taxonomy): domain Eukaryota; kingdom Metazoa; phylum Chordata; class Mammalia; order Primates; family Hominidae; genus Homo; species Homo sapiens. Next base: position 40,849,236 of record NC_000001.11, read on the forward strand.
GACCACTGGTCCCATAGCCTCATTTTGCAGCTGGGAAAACTGAGGCCTAGTAAGCCAAGGCAGAGCCCAGAGCTGAGCCCGAGTCTCTCGACCTCCAGATGGCTGGATGGCTTCCTCCTCTCCTCCCCTCACATCCTTAACCTCCCCCATGTCATCTTAGGGGGAAGGAGCAGATACAGGGGTGCTCTCAGAACGTGGGCATTAAACAGGGACCAGGGGAGTGAAGGGCAGCAAACAATACGAAACCACACAACAATGGGAAAGAAGTTCCACGAAGTTCAGATTTTTCCCATGCTGCAATTCTGAGCCTTTTTTTTTTTTTCAAAAATATTATGCATCAAATTCTTCTTCTGAAGTTTGGTTTTGGTGCCTCTGCTTTGCCTGTTTGAGGGGTATGACTGTGGAGAGTCATATGGGAGCCTTGGTTCCCTCACCTGCAAAATCCGAACCCAACTTTCCTGACTCCAGCAGTACTGTTGTGTGCAGCCTTTGTAAAGACCACAGGCACCCCCTCCCCATGGCTGTGCGGGTCTGGTCCCTTCCCTCTGCTTCTGAGCCCATCCCCGCTTGCCCACCCCAGCCCTGAGTCTGTCCACAGGAACATCCGACACAAGCGCACTTTGTTACAGACTCACTGTGACACCATGAGGTGGTTTTGGGTTTGTTCTCATGCCCGATTTGCCAACCAGGAAGCAGGCTTGCATGTGTGAGAGGGCTTGCTGAAGGTTGCACAGCCAGTAAGTGACAGAGCCAGGACTTGAACAGAAAGTTCCATTCAGTTTTCTCTACTCAAGGCTTCCATCCAAAATGACAACAACAGCAACAACCACCACCCAACGCTTTGGTGTTTGGGGATCTAAGCTTCATTTCTCTGAAAATGCACTGATGTGCAATGTGGATTTCGTGTTGGTCGAGGTGTCCAGGTGGTGTCACTTGGTGTGGTGCTGCCACCTGCCGAGAAAAGATGGGTGTTGCATCCCATCTCAAGCAGGCGCCGTCCAGGCCGAACCCAACTGTAGAGGCCTTTTCAATGCTTTTAAGTCCACTAAAAAGCGCAGCAAAGAAGCCCCAGACATGGGTCACTTGACCCATGGAAACACTGAGGTCCAAAAAGATCCTTTAAACAATTCATCTACCTTTGTTGACCTGACTTCCTCTTTTCCCATTTCCCACTGACCATGGCATCCTGTCTCCTGCCTCTCCACTCCCCTGGAATTGCTCTGGCAAAGTCATTTTGACTTTCTGATTGCCCAATTGAACAGCCTCTTTTTAGTCCTCACTTTACCTGACTTTTCAGCAGCATTAGGAACCCCTGACCACGCCCTCCTTTGGGAAACATCTCCCTGGGCTTTCAGGACACCTTTCTGCTGTTTCTCTCCCACTTCCCCAGCTGCTAATTCTCGGCCTCTATCCAAGGTTCTGTCCTTGGCCACATTCTTTTATCACTGGGCATCATCATTCCCAAGGCAACAATGGATGTGCTAATACCCCCCCAAACAAAGTTACTGTCAGTCCAGACCTAATTCCTGAGCTCCAGACCCATTTATCTGGCCCTCTTCCTCCTAGATGTCCACCTTGGATGGCCTGATGTGTCCATCCTAATCTATCCTGCTCCCTACAGCCTGCTCTTCCTGCTAGGATTCACCTCATGGAAGAGTCACTCTGTGCCCCAAGCCACACCCCTGGGAATCATTTTCCACTCCTTTCCTGTAGCCTCCACATCAGTGGGTCATTATCGTGACTGCAGGATCCATTCCCATCTTCTTCCCAGTAGCAGAACCTCTGAATTCTGCTTACACATATGGCCACCCAGAATAAAGACTACATTTCTGAGCCTCTTTTGTAGTTAGGGGCAGAAAACTTCCAGAAAGTTCACGACTCCTCTTTTCTCTTTTTTTCTGGCTGGAATGTTGATATGGTAGCTCGAGCAGCCTTTTTGGATCATGAGGTCTAACCCACAAATGACAAAGCAACAAGGTGGTGGGGCCTAGATGCTGACACTATGGATAACTACACCCATTCTGGACTACCTACCTGGTTCTTTTTATTTAAGCTACTGTTTTTCTGTCACTCAAAGCCACGTGCATAATCCTAAGTAATCGAGATAGAGTCATTCATTCTTCAAAAGAATATTCATGTATGCTAGACATTGCATTTCATGCTTTCTCAGCGCTCTCCATTTCTCCCACCTGCCCCTCTCAAATCCATTCTACTCACCACAGCCAGAGTGACCTTTCCAAAACACAAACCCAACTGTTTCCACTCGGCTCATGTCGTCTGTGACTCCCCATTACTAACAGAATCAAGTTCAAGCTCCTCAGCCTGCCACTAAGGGTCACCCCTCTTTGACCCTTGCCTACTCCGAGCACAACCCTTCCCCCGCTGACCATGCACCCTACACACTAACCACCCCGGACTTGTTGCCTTTCCTAGTAAAGTCTTATTCATTCATGTCACTCGGCATTTGCACACATTGTCACCTCCCTTGGAATTTCCTTCTTTCACGTGCTCATGTTCAAATTCTACCCCATCCTTCCCACTGTGTAAGTACCTAGTATGTGTTATGAACTGTGGTCAGTGTTTTCACAGCAGCAACTCATGGGTAAGGCCCCTTACTATCCTCATTTTACAGACAAGGAAACTGAGACTCAAAGAAGGGAAGTGAGTTGCCACAGATGAGTATTCATAGTGATGACTGCTACCAGGTCTACTAAATCTAAACAGTTCTTTTTTTTTTTCTTTGAGACAGAGTCTCGCTGTGTCACCCAGGTTGGAGTGCAGTGGTGCGATCTCGGCTCACTGCAACCTCTGCCTCCCGGGTTCAAGTGATTCTCGAGCCTCAGCCTCCCGAGTAACTGGGACTACGTGCCACCATTCCGGCTAATTTTTGTATTTCTAGTAGAGACAGGGTTTCACCATGTTGGCCAGGCTGGCCTCGAACTCCTGACCTTAGGTGATCTGCCTTCCTCGGCCTCCCAAAGTGCTGGGATTACAGGCGTGAGCCACTGTGCCCAGGCAACAATTCTCTTTATGTAGGACTCAGGCCTCTGATATCTTCCCCATCTGTACCAAGTACTCTGGGGCATAGGAGACTTGAGTTCTAATCTCAACTGAGCCACTTATTACTGTCACTTGGCTGTGGTGGAGGCTGCTGGTTGTCTACCAAAATCCATTTCCCCTCTTCCAGAGTAATTAAGTTACTGATGAACACATTGTCGCCAGCTAGAAACCGTATTTCCCAGCCTTCCTTACTGCAAAGTGTGCTCATGTAATTAAATTCTTGTCAAGAAAATCTGAAAAGTGACATGAGTCACTGGGCCTTAGAACACCAGGTGTGCTCACCTCCTCAGTCTCACCTTCCTGAGAGCCAGACACAAAGATGTCCATGACCCAGATTCCGCTCTGCAGAAAAAGATAGAAAAGGAAAGAAAGCCAACTTGGACTTTGAGGAGACATCTTGGCCCACGAGGTTGGAGTCATGAAAAGCAGAGCAACAGGAAGCAAGCAATCTGGGTCTGAATGACGGAGTGGAATCAGAAAGAAGTCTTTTCTGCTCTGCAAGCCACTTTAACATCTTTCTGGGCCAGGTACGGTGGCTCATGCCTGTAATCCCAGCACTTTGGGAGGCCCAGGCAGGGGGATCATTTGAGCCCAAGAGTTTGAGATCGGGCTGGGTAACATAGTGAGACTCCATCTTTACAAAAATTAAAAAATTAGCTGGATGGCGTGGCGTGCGCCTGTAGTCCCAGCTACTTGGGAACAGGAGGATTGCTTGAGCCCAAGGAATTCAAGGCTGCAGTGAGCTGTGATTGTGCCACTGCACTCCAGAGTGAGGCTCTGTCTCAAACAAAACAAAATGAAATCCACTTTTCTTGTTCTCTTTGTTGTAGCAGCTAACACTTAAATATTTCTTACTATGTGCGAGGCACCATCCCAATTATGTTAAATATTTTAACTCAATAAATTACTAGCTGTGTGGAAGCAGGCAAGTCATTTCGTCTCTGTAAGCCACAGTTCCCTCATCTCTCTATAACCTGGAATAATAATGCGCTAGCTTAGATGACAGCGAGTCAGGTGAGATATCATGAGTCAGTACTGAATGACCTAACAAGCAGACAGCTCATGTGTTTAAGGTACTAGCTGCAAATTTGAAAGACTTTGATGCGAAGAAGAAAAAGGGGAGGACGAGGAGGAGAAGAAGATAAAGTATTGCTATTGCAAAATAGCCATGGAAAGATTTGGGGCTTCCTTACACTGATTTTACAGCTAAGCAGTATTTTATTTTGAATCACATACAGGGGAACAAGAAAACTTACCCAAGCTACGTGGGCTATAAACGAGGGAGAGGTGGTTTCCCAAAGGAATTTTTGGGAAACCTTTTATCAGGAGAAGGGTGACTAAATCCTGGAAGGCATAAATAGCAGACGCCTACTTCTGCCCTTGGGTCTTTCTCCGCTGGCTGAAGAGCCCCGTCCTTCAGCCATTTGCGTGGGACATGGTTTGAAGTCCTCCCTGCCCACCCTGGACCCCTTCTCTGGACATACTCACAGCTATTGCTGACTCAGCACTGCTGTGCCAAGTTGGAAATAGCTATTGCTATTGGGAACTTACTGCATGCCAGGCACCGTGCTAAGTACATCAGCCAATAGCTCGTTTAATCCCATCTGTTGAGTGTGTAAGTATTGGAACATATTTTAGTTTAGAAACAAAAACAGAGGCTAACAGTGGTAAAGTGGCTTTGCCAAATGTCATGTATGTAGTTTGGAGCCAGATTCAAACCCAGAAGGGCCTGAAAGACTCAAGCTAGCAGCAGGGCCTGAGAGACAAGCCCAGGTCTGACGCCAAGTCTCTCAGGCCCTGCTGCTCGTCTGTCTGTGTTGCTGTCTCATTAGGGGCAGAAGCACCACTCCACAGACGTCTCTGAGGAGAGCCGGACCACCCCTGTCCTTCGTTTAAATCCAGAAGCTTGGCTGGGCGCAGTGGCTCCTGCCTGTAATCCTAGCACTTTGGGAGGCTGAGGCGAGCAGATCACTTGAGCCCAGGAGTTCGAAACCAGTCTGGGCAACATGGCACCCCGCCCCCCCGCCCCCGCCCCCCACTAAAATAGGGAGCTGAGCGCAGGACCCATTGAAGTCTGTGTGACACTCAAGATTCTAAGGCGTTGTTTTTTTTTTTTTTTTTGATACAGAGTTTCGCTCTTGTTGCCCAGTCTGGAGTGCAATGGCGCAATCGCGGCTCACTGCAACCTCTGCCTTCTGGGTTCAAGCGATTCTACTGCCTCAGCCTCCCGAGTAGCTGGGATTACAGGCGCCCGCCACCATGCCTGGCTAATTTTTATATTTTTAGTAGAGACGGGGTTTCACCACGCTGGCCAGGCTGGTCACGAACTCCTAACCTCAAGTAATCCATCCACCTCAGCCTCCCAAAGTTCTGGGATTACAGGTGTGAGCCACCGCACCTGTCTGGGGATTGTTCTCATTTGTAGAGTCACGGAGGGTAGATATCCACGAACATCAAGTCCAGGTATCTCCGTGAAGCAGAAGTGTGGCCAGGGATGGAGCAGGGAGTCCTCCACAGCCCATTAGAGGGTGGTCTCCAGCGGGGCTCATTTGTATGCCTCTTCCCACAGAGGAGCTCAGGCTTAGGGCTTTGCCATAAAACGGGCACATCAGACAGCAGACTGCCCTAGCCCAAGAAAGGGTGTGAGCCAATCGTTTTGTTTCAAACAAACACATGTTTTTGGTCAAAATAAATATACGCTTAAGACAAAATAATTTTCAAACAATGTAGAAAGCACAGAGTAAAAAGTCAGACCACCCCCACACAAGACTTTTCAAACACACACGATTCCATTATACTACACATACGTTACATACATATACATAATACACATCTCTTTTTTATATAAATAGGATTATAATATTTTATTTTATTTTATTATTTATTTATTTTTATTATTTTAAGACAGAGTTTCGCTCTTGTTGCCCAGGCTTGAGTGCAATGGTGCAATCTCAGCTCACTGCAACCTTTGCCTCCTGGGTTCAAGTGATTCTCCTGCCTCAGCCTCCCAAGTAGCTGGGATTACCGGCACCCACCACCACACCCAGTTAATTTTGTATTTTTAGTAAAGATGGGGTTTCACCACGTTGGCCAGGCTGGTCTCGAACTCCTGACCTCAAATGGTCCACCTGCCTCGACCTCCCAAAGTGCTGGGATTATAGGCATGAGCCACCACGCCCAGACTATTTTTATTTTTAAAAAATTATTTTGAAAATTTGTTTTGCCAACCTTAGAGTTAACTACACCTCATAAATAAAAAATGAAATTTTAAGTTTAAAATGTATTAAAATTTTCCTGGACTCAAGTGATCCTCCTGCCTCGGCCTCCCAAAGTGCTGGTATTCTAGGTGTGAGCCACCATGCCTGGCCCAGCACTTCCTAATGCCCTCTGAGCCACACAGGGGGCGATGGTGAGCCTTACAGTCTGGTGGAGAAAGACCCCTCAGCGACTCTGACACACAAGGTAATAGGCCTTTGGATGTGGAAAAGGCCCTATGGAGGGCATTTCAGGCTGAGGAAATGGCACAGGCAAAGGAACAGAGGCTTGGCGGCACGAGGAACATCGTGCATGAGGAGCCTGGGGTGGCTGGAGTTGAGGGTGGGAAGGCACTTGGAGGCTGGGTGGGGCAGGGCTCTGTCCTTCTCGTCCCTGTGGTCATATTTCCCAGCCACAGCTCCACCTGAGCAGCTCACGGGTCAGGCACTTAACATCACCTTGGTTCATTCTCACAAGAAGCTTATCGTGTCTCTATTTGACAGACGAGGGGACTGCACTCAGAGTAGCTTCCTTTATTTCTTCTATCCATCAGGGCACACTTTGGGCCCTGGGCCTTTACTCATGCCCAGTCCCCCAACCTGTGTGTCCTCCCCAAGCTGACCCACATCCCACTCTTTTATCAGCACCAGCCCTCAGGGCCGTCCAGACGCTGAGCTGCTCAGCAGTGCCTCCTTAGAGCCCTCAACATGAGACTCTACGTTGCATGCTCCAGGCTGGCCAGATCTCAAGCCCCAAAGTATATGCAGGTGTCCTCTTCCCAGACCAGCTACAGGATAAGGGCCATGGTTGTTCAGCCACAAACCCACTTTGGCCAGGCAGCACTGCACTGCTTGCAGTGTGCTCTCAGAAACCCAGCCTCATGTGAATCTTTGCACACACATTCTTCAGATGTTGGAATTATTCTCTCCATTGGATGGAAGAAGGAATCAAAGCCTAAGGAGGCCCAGTAACTTCCTCTGCAATTCACAGCCTCAGAGTGGCAGATCAGCTCTGGGACTCTGCTCTTATCCCACCCAGGCTCAGGTCCTTGGCCAGATCCAGCCTGGGAAGGGGACAGGCCCTGGATATGGTGGGGTGGACATGCTCACCTCACCTCTTACTGAGGTGTGACTTGGAGTAATTCTCTGAGTGCCCCAGTTTTCTGACCTCTGGAATGGGGATAAACTACCTAGCAGTGCTATTTACAGGGTTGGGCGGTGATTAAAGAGAGACTGGAAAAGAAAGAGTGCCACTGGGCACTCCCCGTCAGTTCCCACCATGCCTGCACGCAGCAGCCACTCAGTAAGCACTTATTTGGTCTTATAGTTGGCACTAATCTTGTCCCAGCACTTCTAACAACAGGGTGGCATGAAGAGTTAGGCCACGATGGATTAAGGAATTCAAGAGGATTACTTAGTAATCAGCTAAACCACTTAAGCTGCCTGGGAAAAGGCTAGGATCAGACTGATCATTAATTTATTCGATAAATGACTGTTGAACACTTATCTGACCTGGAGTGATGACGATGATGATGACAATGACGATGATGATAATGATGATGACAATGACGATGATGATGACAATGACAATTATGATAGTGATGGCAGCGCTCAGTTATTGAGAATCTACCATGTGTGGGGTATTTTGTATAGAGTCTCATCACATCAAACCTGTAAGGTTGATACATTTACATTTTGTTGTTTTTGTTCTGTAATGGGGAAGGTGCTGGTCAGGTCTGAGACTAAGGTGAGGCAAAAGAGATACCCAGGGCATAAATTTAAAGAGTCCCTTGCTGTTGGGAACCAGAGTCCCCACCCCAGTGCTTGTGGTGAACACTGTGATGTGCCGCCCAGAGCCCCCTTCTATGAAATCATTGCCCTAGTCTGGGCACGGTGGTGCATCCTGTAATCCCAGCACGTTGGGAGGCCAAGGCAGGCAGATCACTTGAGGCCAGAAGTTGGAGACCAGACTGGACAACATGGTGAAACCCCATCTCTACTAAAAATACAAAAGTTAGCTGGGTCCGGTGGCACATACCTGTAACCCCAGCTATGCAGGAGGCTGAGGCAAGAGAATCACTTGAACCCGGAAGGCAGAGGTTGCAGTAAGCAGAGATCGCGCCACTGCACTCCAGCCTGGGCGACAGAGTGAGACTCTGTCTCAAAAAAAAAAAAAAAAAAAAGAACAAAAGAAAAGAGAAGAAAAGGAATCATTGCTCTAGCCCCCAGGAGTGCTGCTGTTGGTAGACAGCCGTACCCTGGCAGCTCCTCCAGGGATGAGCTTAGCTGGGGACAGCTGCCTTGCCCACAGTCACACCACTTCTCTGGGTGGCTCACATCCAGTGACTGATGGAGGCAGGAGTATAAAGGATTAAAATGGTCCAACTCAGGCCAACTCTGAAGGGCCCTTCTAGCTCCAGAGCTCCCAGCGGGGCTGGCTGAGGCTCCTGCTGGGCCTGCTTTGTAGCTTCTTAGCTCCTTCTGTCCCCTCCCTTCTGCAGCTGCTGATCCTGAAGGCACTCCCTAATACACCTCTTGCTAGCTGAATGTCATCTCAGAGTCTGCTTCCCAGGGAACCCCACCTGTAACAGTGTTGCTTGTTGGAGTAACCCCTTTCTAGCTGGTTAAAACACAGCCTTTCTAATATTCTAATACAAAGGCATCTCCAAAAAGTGCTGTTATCAGGGATAACAGCACTTACTACAAACCACACTGCTCTCAATACTTTACCTGCACTAACTTGTTTAATCTCCACAGCAGTTCTGCAGGGTGGTACTATTAGCATTCCCATTGTAGAGATGAGTTCAAGGGAAATTATACTTTTCTTGAAGGAAAAAAAACCACACACACAAATGACAGCTTGTTGATAAAATCCAGTCAACCAAAAGATAATTCAAAATAAAGAACATCAGCCTGGAAACTTTCATATGAATAGGAAAACAAAACAAAACAACAACAACAAAAGGATGGGAAAATGACTTGTGTCATGACTCAGTTCTCAACCCTGAGGAAGCCTGATTTCTGACCCCCAAGATCCAGCCTAGGTATAAGAGAGAAATCCACAGCACCCTTTGGCAACAGGTTGCTTTAGGAGGCAGCCCTGGGGGAGACATGAGCGACACCCTGTTGGCACCACGGAAGCTCGTGTGATTATCTTAGGAGAGCCAAGATGCGGGAGGTGTGGTGGCTTCCTTGAGGTCAGGCAGCTAGTAAGAGTTGCTTCTGAACTGGACCCTGAGGCTGTCAGACGACAAGCCCATTGCTCTCCTCACTGTCTCTACACGTACTCTCTCTTCCCCTGGTAGGGGATGGTAGGGTCAGAAGCCTCCAAACAGTATCAGGGATTTGGGGATCCAGGCTGTGGGATGCCCCAGCCTCATCTTCTCCCCTGTCCATCTGTCTGCTGTCCAACTTGTCAGCAGTCCCTTTTGGAGGGATGCAGGAGGGAAGAGCTCAGCAGCTGGACTCTCTCCTCCGCTTCCCCCTTAACTCTGGAAAGAGGCAGGTGTTGGGGTTTTCGTTGTAATCCCTTCCATATGGAGAGCACTTCAGAGTTTGCCAACTGCTTATCAACCCATCTCTGAATTTGTTCCTTACTAATTGTGAGGGTTATTGCTTTGTAATGTAGCAGGGCAGGGATATTAGCCCCATTTTACTGGTGTGGAAACTGAGGGGAGAGAGAAGAGAATCAGGGAAGTGTTCAGCTCAGGGTCAAACCCTCCTGTACTAATTCAGCCCTGTGGTTTCTGTCTCTGGCCTGGGGTTCTGGGCAAAGCAGCGGGGCGGTGGGGTGGGCAAATGCCAGCCCCTCTGAGCCCAGAGCTCAGGCCAGTCCCTTCCCAGAAGGCTCTCTTCCTTTCTCTCTTCATCCTGTCCCAGAAATCCCATGATCTTAGGGAGACCTTTATTCATTTGCCAAACACCTCCTGTCACCAGCCACATTCCATCCTGGTAGCTTCAGAGCACAGTAGGTCCTGGGAGAACTCACAGGTTGGTGGAGGGTCACATCCACAAAAAAGCCTGGCTTGAGAGTCAAGCCCAGCTGCTGGGGACAGAAGGTCTCAGCCTGGTGTTCCCCTCCAGTGTCCCTGGAATCCATGCTCTCCTAGAGAATGCCCCACCACCGCAGCGTCTCTGACCCGGCCTCCTCCCTGACTTCAATCTCTTTCCCAGCTTTTCTCCCACATCTCAGAAGCACCTAGGGATTTTTCCAGAGTGAACTGCAGAGGGTGGCCAGGAACTCACGCTGGTGCTCAGGACTCTGAGGCCAAATCCTGCCAGGCCTGGGCACACTCCACAACCCTCATGTGTAGAATGAGGACTGTGCTTGCCTCACGAAGTTGTCGTAAAGCCATTCGACCTTTCTTGTACCTTCTAGACACCCCACACCTTCCCCAAACATTCATCGTACTTGTGTGCCTTCCTGCCTTGAAACAGGCTCCTCTCCTAAAAACATATTCATCACTCAAGGCTCTGTTCATCACGTCAAATGTCACCGCTTCCCTGAAGCCTGAACTGACCCCAACCTCAACTATTAATAGCTGAAACTGCTCCCTTCTCTGGGTGTGCCCGCTTGGCCGGTCTATTGTCCTGGCTGTACAATCCCCCCCAGAACTATTTTCTTTTTTCTTGAGGAGTCTCGCTCTGTTGCCAGGCTGGAGTGCAGTGGCATGATCTCGGCTCACTGCAACTTCTGCCTCCTGGGTTCAAGCGATTCTCCTGCCTCAGCCTCCCGAGTAGCTGGGACTATAGGCGCGCACCACCATGCCCAGCTAATTTTTATATTTTTAGTAGAGACGGGGTTTCACCATATTAGCCAGGATGGTCTCGATCTGTTGACCTCGTGATCTGCCCGTCTCGGCCTCCCAAAGTGCTGCTTAGCACTGTTTTCTAGAACTCATCACAGTCTTCCTTGCAGCAAGATTAGTTTGTTTTCAGGCCTATCACCCACCTCCTCCCACCTGGGCTGTGATTCCATGAGAACATGCACCAGGTTGACACAGGGCCTGGAATAAAATCAGCACCAATTTGTAGAATAATAATTGCCGTCACTTACTGAGAACTGCCCAGGTATTTGGCACTGTGCTAAAGGCAGCGTAACTACCTGAGGAGACGGGGACCATCTCCCTCTGGGAAACCGCCTCAAAAATCAGAACGGATGGTGTCTTGGGCAAAGGAGAGAGTCAGGGTCCAAAGCTAGGCTGTCTGAACTCGGTGCCACCCAGCTCCTCTCTGGCAGAGCACCAAGCTCCCCCCACCCTACCCTAGGAGCTGGGAAGCCCAGTGGGTTACCCCACCACCCAGTGGCAGCCTCTGCCCTCCAGGTTGTGACATAACAATTGCACAACCCACGAGATATTTTTGAAAGAAACTGTCGGTTTCCTCTCCTGGGCACTGCTGGGGACTGTGGCCCCCATGCCATCCAGTGTCTTCAGCAACCTTGGGACTTTGGAAGCTAAATATAGTCAGGGCTCGGGGTGATAAGGAAATGAAAACGGCAAGACTGTAAAGTGACCCAGTTTTATTTTGGTTTTGGAGGCCAGACAGGGCATTGCTCCACGGGTTCGGGCTGTACAACCTTCCCCTCCTTGAGGTGGGAGGCCCAGCAACCACAGGGCCCAGGCAGCGGGGTGGGAGGCTCAGGAGATGGTGGCTCTGGGGACCCGATCCCGAGGAGAGAGGGGGCAGCAGGCAGAGGCCTGCAATGGCTCAGATTGGGGGAAGAGGGCGGCGAGGGGGAGAGGACACGATCCAAGAACCAGAGTCCGAAAGCTGAAGCTGGTCCGGTCTCTTTCACTTTACGGCCGAGGCTGGGGTCAGAGAAGTGAAGCCAAACTGTCCTCCCGCAGGAGGCAAGGCCTGGAGGGACGCCAGGGTCCCAGTCCGGTGCCGGGCCCTGCGCACACAGCCGCCGCCTCCACCCTCGCGGAGGGCGCGCGCGGGGCCCAGTCGCTGGGTGCAGGGTCCGGCGGGCAGTCGGGCCCTTTCTCCTCTCCGGCACGCCGGGCGGGCGCCGGCCGCCCTCAGCAGCTCACGGAGCCGGCGGGCGGCGCGGACCCCAAGTCCGAGAAGCAGTCGAACTCGCTCTGGCCCAGGAAGAGCTCGGGCAGCTCGCGCACGCGGTGCAGCCCGAGCTCCAGCTCCAGCGACGTCAGCGCCTCCTCGTCGATGAGTTCGGCGTCCATGCCGCCCAGGGCGTGCGCGGGCGGCGGCGGGGCTGCGGCGCTTGGCGCCGGCTGCGGGCCCGGGGGGCCTCCCGGAGCGTTGGGGGGCGCGGCCGCGCGGCCGGGGTACGGCGTCGCCACAGGCTGCAGGTGCGCGATGCCCGCGGCCGGCGGAGGCACGGCCGGAAAGGGCTGGAAGGAGGACGGCGGCCCGAAGGCCCCGTACGCCAGGGCCCCGGGTTGGCGGGGCGGCGGCGGCCCCAGCGGAGCCCCCCGCGGCCTCAGCCCACTGTCCAGGCCCGGGCCCGCGTACGGCGGCAGAGTCCGGAGCGCATGAGGGCCATGGGCGGCCGCGGCGGACGGCGGCCTCTGCACCAGGCGGTAGCCCTCGGCGAGCATCAGGTGGTCGGCCATGGCGGCAGGCCGGCTGCCTGCGGGGACAGCGCGCGGTGGTCAGCGCCGGCTCCCCCGGCCCGGGCCAGCGGCTGCTCTGCGGCGGGAGACCCGGGCACCGTGCGGTCCCTGCAGCTCGGCCGGGCGGAGCAAAACCAAACCCGACTGGTGCCCCGGCCCAGCCCACTACTGCGCACCTTGCGGCCGCAGCCTGGGGTCACAAAGGCCCGCAACCTGTAGTGCTCCGAAACCTCCGCGTCGCGTAGCTGGGCTCGGCGTATTCTTATACCCAGAGGCGGGGCTTCCCCGCCCTCGGACGCTCATTGGCTGGGCGAGACGCTTCTGGGCGGGCCGCGCACGCCTGCATCTAGGTCTTGGCCCCGCCCCTCCCACTGGAACCCCGCCCCTTGGGACTCCGGCCACGCCCCAGGCTCTGAGCACCGCCCTGGGGCGGGGTATTTGGCACTTTCGGAGGGATTCGGTCTGGCCCTCAGGGCTTCGGAATCGGACTTGGCTGGGGTAGAGCTTGAACTGACCAGAAGGTGGGGTGGGAGGGCCAGAGTTTTAGGCCCCCCAAGAGCTGCAGGATGTCAGGCCTACGCAACCTTTTAACTTTCCAGGTAGAGACCGAGGCTCAGTGGCGGAAGAGGCTTCCTGGAAATACACAGCAAAGCCTTGATCAAAGTGAGACTGCACAGCTACACAGGGCGCATGCACCTTAGCGGTGCAGGGTCCCCGCAGGAGGTCAGCTGTCCATTCCCATAACCCCCAGGAGAGCCTGTTGCTCCCCCTCTAGTTCCCACTGCACCTTGTCTGTTGAAGCATGTACTTAGTTGTTATTAATTTATGGGCACGTCTCCTGAAGGACTTGTTCATCTTCTTCTTCTCAGCACTTGGCCCAGAGCCTGGCCCAGAGCAGGCTTTTAGTAAAAGCTGAGTGAATGAACTAATGATGGAATGAATTGCAACTCTCAGCTGAGCCTCAGTTTCTTCATCTGTAAAAGGTAAAGAACAGCAGCACTGACCCTTTGTGAGGGGTAAGTGAGGGCATGTGTGCACAGTGCCTAGCACAGTGCCTGGTATGTGGTAGATGCTCAAAAGTGTCCCTTAGATGAAAGAAAGGCTATTTAAGTTCTTTTTTTTTTTTTTTTTGAGACGGAGTCTCGCTCTTTCGCCCAGGCTGGACTGCAGTGGCGCTGTCTTGGCTCACTGCAAGCTCCGCCTCCCGGGTTCACGCCATTCTCCTGCCTCAGTCTCCCGAGTAGCTGGGACTACAGGCGCCCGCTACCACGCCCGGCTAATTTTTTTTGTATTTTTAGTAGAGACGGGGTTTCACCGTGTTAGCCAGGATGGTCTCGATCTGCTGACCTCGTGATCCGCCCGCCTCGGCCTCCCAAAGTGCTGGAATTACAGGCGTGAGCCACCGCGCCCGGCCAAGGCTATTTAAGTTCTGTCCCAAAGGGCCTTCTCTTGATAACAGCAATAATAACTTGGACTTTTAAAGTGCTTTACATTCTACAAGTATTTTGTTGGGGGCAGGGCATGGATTATCAGCCCCATTTCAGTGATAAGGAGAAGCACACAAAGAGAAAGTGGCTGTCCTGAGGTCACAGGCAGCCAGAGTTAGCGTGTGAATGCCATGTGTTTTCCAAGTCCTTAGGGCAACTGGAGTCTTTCCTGTGGCCAGGAGACAGCCTCCCAGAACCTTACCCTCCACGCATTTGACACTCTCTCTCCCTTCTCTGACCTTCCCCCGACCTGTGGCATCCTTGGGACTTCCTGGAACTTGGGTTTATCCAGTTGATGTAGAGGGGAGAGCCCTAGAGTGAGAATTCAGGGGCCCAAGGTCTTTTCTTCCCTCTTTCTTCTTATTTTTTTAAATAGAGAAGGGAGCGGGGGGGAGGGGCGGCGTGGGGGAGTGAGGAGGGCCTCAGGCTTATCTCGAATCCCTGGCCTCAAGTGACCCTCTCACCTCAGGCTTCCAAAGTGCTAGGATTACAGGCATGAGCCACTGCGCCCAGCCAGAGGCCCAAGTTCTAATCATATCTCTGCCACCCACAGGTGTGTGACCTCCACCACCAACCAGCTGTGACTGTTGAGTGTTGAGCGGGGAGTATTACTTGATTCCCCAGGGCCTCAGCTTTCTGCTCTGTGAAAGGGAGACGGTGATCTTGCCTGGTCAGCCTGAGAGCTTGTGGGTAGTGATAAATGACCATGGGTGTGGTCACATTTTTGCAAAGTGTAAAAAGCTACACCCTGGAATTTATTCTCCTGAATCTTTCTCTACAGGTAAGGCTTCTCACAGAAATTCTTAAACCTGGCCATGCCTCACACTTATCTGGAGATGTGGGGGGTAAGGGGTGGGTGAGTGGGGGCTTTGATAAAGACGGAAAATCTGCCCAATTTGGGAGATGAAAGTGAGAGGATTGCTTGAGCCCAGGAGCTCAAGACCAGCCTGGGAAACATAGTGAGACCGTGTCTCTACAAAAAGTTAAATAATTAGTTGGGCATAGTGGCATGTATCTGTAGTCTGAGCTACCCAGGAGGCTCAGGTGGGAGGATTAGCTGAGCCCTGGAGGTGGAGGCTGCAGTGAGCCATGATGGCACCACTGCACTCCAGCCTGGGCGACAGAGATCTTGTCTCAAAAAAATCAACAAGCAGGCCAGGTGAGTGGCTCACGCTTGTAATCCCAGCACTTTGGGAGGCCGAGGTAAGTAGATCCCTTGAGCTCAGGAGTTTGAGACCCCTGTTTCTGAAAAAATAAAAAATTAACTTGGCATGGTGGTGTGCACTTGTAGTCCTTGCTACTTGGGAGGTTGAGGTGGGAGGATCACTTGAACCTGGGAAGTTGAGGCTACAGTGAGCTATGATCACACCACTGCACTCCAGCCCGGGTGATGTAGGGAGACCCTCTCTCAAAAAACAAAAAAAAACAAACAAAACAAACAAAAAATTATTCTGCCATCATTGGTCTTAGGTCACCAGCATTTGGGAGCCATTGCACCACCAGATGATTTTCCATTTAAAAAAAAATGTGTGTGTAACTAATGTTTAAGAAGTTCTTTAGGCCGGGCATGGTGGCTCACACCTGTAATCCCAGCACTTTGGGAGGCCAAGGTAGGCAGATCACCTGATATAGGAGTTTGAGACCAGCCTGGCCAACATGGTGAAACCCTGTCTCGACTAAAAATACAAAAATTAGCTGGGTGTGGTAGCACACGCCTGTAATCTCAGCTACTCAAGAGGCTGAGGCAGGAGAATTGCTTGAACCCAGGAGGCGGAGGTTGCAGTGAGCCTAGATAGCGCCACTGCACTCCAGCCCCAGCGACAGAGTGAGACTCCATCTCAAAAAAAAAAAAAAAAAAAGAGAAAAGACAAAAAAAAAAAAGGAAAAATAGAGTAGGAAGGAGGTTGGGGTGCAGGGGAGGAGGGGAGCAAGTTGTAGTATTAAGTGGGGTATCTGGGGCAAAAGCGGGCTGGGCGTGGTGGCTTACGCCTGTAATCCCAGCACTTTGGGAGGCTGAGGTGGGTAGGTCACTTGAGGTCAGGAATTTGATATCAGCCTGGCCAACATGGTGAAACCCCGTCTCTACAAAAAGTACAAAAATTAGCTGGGTGTGGTGGCACGCACCTGTAGTCCCAGCTACTCAGGAGGCTGAGGCAGGAGAATCGCCAGAACCCAGGAGGCAGAGGTTGCAGTGAGCCGAGATGGTGCCACTGCACTCCAGCCTGGGCAACAAAGCAAGACTCTATCTTTAAAAGAAGAAAAAAAAAAAAAGCCGTATCAGCAGAGAGAACGCTGGAGCAGCACTTCTAAAACTGTAGCAACAAGTCCTGAAGTGTCAGCCTTACCAGGGACCCCATTAGAAATGCACATTCTAGGACCGTACACCAGACTCAAATCAGTTTCTGAATCAGAAACTGGGCTGGAATTCAGCATCTGTGTTTTAATAAGCCCTGCGGGTGATTCTGATTAAGGACCTCTGAGTTAGGGGGAAGCCTTAGGCAAGGGTGAGCCGCAGCCCTAAGGGAGTGTGGACAGAGTGCAGTGGGGCTAGGAGGGTAGCAGGGAGGCCAACTGCATTGAGGCCTTGCAAGGACTTTGGCAGAGGAGTGACATGATCTGGCCTTTGTTCTGAAAGTGTTGCTATGGTCAGACCTCATTTGTTTCTAGAGTTTCCATAAACTGCTTCCTCCAGGCTCCTTGGATGCCCCAAGCACATTTGCTTCTCAGGACTCTTGCTGTGCCCTCTGCCTGGAATGCCCTTCCTTCAGACAGCCACAAGACCTTCCCTGACCACCCTCTATCCATTCTGTCCCCTTACTCTGTTTTGCTTCTGTCCTTAGCACCCACCACCATACAGTCATGCCCTGCATTACATTTGGGTCAAGACAATGGTCCTATAAGATTACAATGGAGCTGACAAATTCCTATCACCTAGTGACCTTGTAGCCACTGTAACGTCATAGCGCAACACATTCCTCACGTGTTTGTGGTGATGCTGGTGTAAACAAACCTACTGCGCCCCCAGTCATATAAAAGTATAGCACATACAGTTATGTACAGTACACTTGATAATGATGATAAACAACTATGTTACTGGTTTACGTACTTATGATATGTTTTATTGTTATTTTAGAGTGGACTCCTTCTACTTAAAAAAAAAAGTTAACTGTAAAGCAGCCTCAGGCAGGTCCTTCAGGAGGTATTGCAGAAGGCGGTTATCACGTGAGATGACAGCTGCATGTTACTGCCTCTGAAACCTTCCAGTGCGCCAAGGTGTGGAGGTGGAAGACAGTGATATTGATGATCCTGACCCCAGGCTAATGTGTGTGTTTGTGTCTTAGTTTTTAACAAAAACAGTAAAAAAAAAAATATTGAAAATAGAGAAAAGCTTATAGGATAAGGATATAAAGAACAAAAACGGGCTGTGTGTGGCGGCTCACGCCTGTAATCCCAACACTTTGAGACGCTGAGGCAGGAGGATCACTTGAGCCCAGGTGTTTGAAACTAGCCTGGGCAACATAGCAAGATCCTTGTATCTACCAATAATAAAAAAAATTAGTCAGGCATGATGGCATGCACCTGTAGTCCCAGCTACTTGGGAGGCTGAGGTGGGAGGATCACCTGAGCCTAGGAGGTTGAAGCTGCAGTGAGCCAGGATTGTGCCATGGCACTCCAGCCTAGGTGGCAGAGTGAGACCCTGTCATAAAAAAAAAAAAAAGAGGGCCAGTCACGGTGGCTCATGCCTGTAGTGCCAGCACTTTGGGAGGCCCAGGAGGGCGGATCACCTGAGGTGAGGAGTTCGAGACCAGCCCGGCGAACATGGCGAAACCCCGTCTCTACTAAAAATACAAAAATTAGCCAGGCATGTTGGTGCGTGTCTATAATCCCAGCTACTTGGGAGGCTGAGACAGGAGAATCACTTGAACCCAGGAGGCAGAGGTTGCAGTGAGCCAAGATCGCACCACTGCACTGTAGCCTGGGCAACAGAGCAAGACTCTGTCCCAAACAAATAAATAAAGTGAAAGAAGGAAAGGCTGTACAATGTGTTTGTGTTTTAAGCTAAGTGCTATTACAAAAGAGTTTAAAAGTTTTAAAAAGTACATAACGTTACAGTAAGCTAAGGTTAATTTATTATTAAAGAAATAAATCTTTGTTATAAATTTAGTGTAGCTTATAAAGTCTACAGTAGTGTGCAATAATGTCCTAGGCCTTCACATTCACTCACCACTCACTCACTTACCCAGAGCAACCTCCAGTCCTGCAAGCTCCACTTGTGGTAAGTGCCCTATATAGGTGTACCAGTTTTTTAAAATCTTTTATACTGTTTCTTTTTTTTTCTTTTTTCTTTTTTTTTTTTTTTTTTGAGTCACAGTCTCTCTCTGTTGCCCAGGCTGGAGTGTAGTGGCACAATCTTGGCTCACTGCAACCTCCGCCTCCTGGGTCCAAGCAATTCTCCTGCCTCAGCCTATGGAGTAGCTGGGGTTATAGGTGTGCATCACCATGCCTGGCTAATTTTTTAATTTTTAGTAGAGATGGGGTTTCACCACGTTGGCCAGGCTGGTCTCAAACTCCTGACCTCAAGTGATCCACCCGCCTTGGCCTCCCAATGTCTTAGGATTACAGGCGTGAGCCACTGTGCCTGTCCTATACTGTATTTTTATACCATATTTTTACTATACCTTTTCTGTGTTTAGGTACATGAATACTTACCATTGTGTTAGGGTTGCCTACAATGTTCAGCCCAGTAGCATGCAGTACAGGTTTGTAGCCTAGGAGCAATAGGTTATACCACATAGCCTAGGTGCATAGTAGACTGTGCCGTCTGGGTTTGTGTAAGTACACTCCATGATGTTTGCACAATGATAAGATCACCTGACAACATGTTTCTCAGAACATATCCACATTGTTAAGTGACTCATGACTGTATTTCAGAGAATGATTCCCCACCACTAGGTCAGCTCCCAGAGAGCACAGGCATTGAATATCTTGCTCTACACAGTCTTTCCAAGGCATCAGAACAGTGCTTGACACATAGTAGGGACTTAATAAGCATTGACTGTATGAATAAATTAGGCACAGAAAAACTTACTATCCTTGTGGCTTATGCCTGTAATCCCAAGACTTATAGTAAGTATCCTTATCCTTACTGTCCTTATATTTGAGCAAAGACTTTTTGACAGAGAAGGAAACTGAGGCCCAGAAAATGGTTGGAATTGCTGAGGTATGTATGTGGAGTGTATATCTGCGGTGTGTGTGTGGTGGAATCAGGAGTGGAGGCAACATTTGTAGCCCTTGGAGCAGAGCCTTTCACACTGACCTAAGCTGCTTTTACCCTAAGCCACACCTTTACAAGCACGAGTAGACAGGACCATAGTAGACTTTGGCCCAGGTGGGCATTGACCAAGGAAAGGCACTGGGCCCTGAGCTCCATCTTGTGCTGCGGGGCAAGGGTGCAGTCCCTTCCTCTCCCTCCCTGTGTCCAGTCCCCCTTCTGAGGACACACCGGAGGACCCATCCTAGGTGGCTTCTACCTCCCTCAAAGACCTCAGGTCCTGACTGGCGTGGACACTTGATTTGCTACCTCTTGGGTTTTGCTCTTGTCCACTGCCGCATTTCCAGCACTCAGCAAGGGACTGTCTAGAGGTTGACTGAGACTGGAGGTCTCATGAGAGGGTGTGGGGAGGACCTCATTCTCGAACTTCTGAGCTGGTTTCCTGGTCCATAGCTGACCAGGCTTCCAACCCCCCAGGCAGCTTAGCCGACTTACACCCAAACCTGGTGGCTTCTCTGATGCTGAGGTCTGGGCTGGCTGGCAGGCAGAATTTGTCTCCTCTGCCACTTTTTCTCTATGTTGCAGAGGAGAGGAGATATTGCTACCACATCCCCCAAGGGCCATGTCCTCTAAGAGACCCCAGCTGGTGATCTGCACCATTGTACCTGAGGCTCAGATGAGAAGAATAGGCTACAGGTTGGACGCAGTGGCTCATGTCTGTAGTCCCAGCTGCTGGAGAGGCTGGGGCAGGAGGATCACTTGAGCCCAGGAGTGAGCCATGATTACACCACTGCACTCCAGCCTGGCTGACAAAGTGAGACCCAGTCTCAAAAAATTAAAAAAAAAATTTAAAAAGATTGAGGCTACAGCATCTGATTGTAACAAGAATAACATTAGTTAATGTTTACTGAATACAGTATACCAGACATGGCCTGCATGCTTTACAGATACTGTCTTATTTAATCCTCATAATAAACCTATGAATAGTTACTACTATCGTTCCCATTACACAGAGGAGGAAACTGGGACTCAGAATGGAGAGTGACCACAGGGCCACACAGCTAGTGATGGAGGACAGGCATGTGGAAGCTCTGCTAGTTGCCTCTCAGGGGGCACTTTCCTCTTTCCCTTTACCTGCATGCACTCCAGCCCCAACAATATCAGCATAAGAGAAAGGTAATATTTGAGCAAAAACCTAAAGGAGGTGAGGGAATTGGTCAAGCAGACATGGAGGTGAGTAGGAGAGCATTCTAGACAGAGGAAAGAGCCTTCCGTATCTGCTTGGCCAATATTACCTTTCTCTTATGCTGAGCACCCTATTTAATTGTAGTGGTTTTCAAATATGTCTGCAAATTCTTTGATACTTCTCCCTTAAATTTCCCTCTCCTTGAATGTGGGATAGACTTAGTGACTCACTTCCAGCTAAGAGAATACAGCAGAAGTGATGGTGTCATTTCCAAGGCTAGGTCATTAAAGATATTGTGGGTTCCTCCTTGCTCTCACTCTGGAATCACTTGCCCTGGGGAAAGTTAGCTGACATGTTGTGAGGATACTCAAGCAGCCCCTTGGGGAGGTCCACATGAAAGGAACCGAGGCTTCTTGCCATCAGTCAGTGAGGAATTAAGGCCTTTTGCTAATGGCTGTATGTGTGAGCCATCTTGGAAGCAGCTCCTCCAGCCCCAGTCAAGCTTTCAGATGACTGCAGCCCCAGCCAACATCTTGTTTGCAAACTCATGAGAAACCCTGAGGCAGAATGACCTAGCTAAGCTACTCCTGGATTCCTGACCCACAGAAACTGACATACTAAATGTATGTTGTTTTAAACTGCCCAGTATTGGGGTAATTTGTTACACAGCAATAGATAGTTGTCCCTTGGTATCCATGGGGGATTGGTTTTAGACTCCCCATGGATACAAAAATCCTCATTTGCTCAAGTTCTCAATATAAAATGACATAGTATTTGCATATAACCTATGCATTATCCTTTGGTATTCCTTAAATCATCTCTAGAGTACTTATAATATTGAATACAATGTAAATGCTATGTAAATAGCTGTTATACTCTATTGTTTAGGGAATAGTGGCAAGAGGAAAAAGTCTGTACATGTTCTGTACAGATATAATTTTTTTTTTTTTTGGACAGGGTCTTAAAATGCAGTGGTATGAGCATGGCTCACTGCAGCCTTAACCTTCCAGGCTCAAGTGATCCTCCCACCTCAGGCTTCTGAGTAGCTGGGGCTACAGGCATGCACCACCATGCTTGGCTAATTCTTTTTTCTTTTTTGTAGAGACGTGGTCTTGCTATGTTGCCCAGACTGGTCTTGAACTCCTGGGCTCAAGTGATCCTCCCACCTTGGCTTCCCAAAGTTCTGGAATTATAGGCATGAGCCACTGCACCTGGCCTAGTCACAATTTAAAACAATTTTTTTTTTTTTCAATTTGAGACTGGTTGAATTCACAGATGTAAAACCCATAAATACTGGTCAACTGTATATTAATATAGTAACCTGTCTCCTTTCCATCCCCCAAATGGGCTTTACCTTGCTCTACTTTCTATTTCTTCTCAGCATTTATCATTGACTAACACACTAAGTAATTTTTTGTTTTGTTTTGTTTTGTTTTAGAGGCAGGGTCTCACTGTGTCAACCAGACTAGAGTGCAGTGGCACAATGCAATCTCCTGGGCTCCAGCAATCTTCCAGCCTCAGCCTCCCAAAGCACTAGGATTATAGGCGTGAGCCACCGTGCTTTGCCTCATTCCACATTTTAATACTTAGAGAACTTACAACTATATTTTATTGATTCTAAGACACAAAAATCTTTTTTCACACTAACTTTTCCAAAATAAAAATCTTTTAGGCCAGGCATGGTGGCTTATCCCTGTAATTCCAGTATTTTGGGAGGCCAAGGTGAGTGGATTGTTTTAGCTCAAAAGTTGGAGACCAGTCTAGGCAACATGGCAAAATGCTGTCTCTACAAAAAATTAAAAAATTAGCTGGGCATGGTGGCATCCGCCTGTAGTCCCAGCTACTTGGGAGGCTGAGGTGGGAGGATGGCCTGAGCCCAGGAGGTGGAGGTTGCAGTGAGATGAGATCGTGCCAGTGCACTCCAGCCTGGGCAACGCAGCCAGACCCTGTCTCAAAGGAGACAAGAATCTTTTAAAATTGATAACATTTCATATTAATGAGATACAGTATGAATCAGGCACTGGTCTAGGTGTCTAAATGAAACAGGCAAAGTTCCCTGCCCATGTGGAGCTGATATTCTGATGGTAGAGAGATAAATAATTAAACATAATAAATAAGTAAATTAGGCTGGGCCCGGTGAATCACACTTGTAATCCCAGTGCTTTGAGAGGCTGAGGCGGGAGGATTGCTTGTGCCCAGGAGGTTGAGGCTACGGTGAGCCATGATCATGCCACTGCACCCCAGACTGGGTGACAGAGCAAGACTCTGTCTCAGGGAAAAAAAAAAAAAGTAGAATGACAGATGCTGATTTTGTTTAGGGCATCAATTTGCCCAGCCAAAAATCAGACACATTCCTGGCCAATGAGGTCTGAGCAGAAAAGGCTGGGTGGGGCTTCCTGGAAAGCTCTTTGAAAACAAATGGGATTATCCAGAATAAGTAAACTCACAGAGACAGAATGCAGACTGGTGGTTACCAGGTGCTGGGAGGAAGGGAGAATGGGGAGCAACTGCTTAATGCATACAAGCGTTCCTTTACGGATGATAAAAAAATTTTGGAACTAGATAGAGTTGGTGGTTGCACACACATGGTGAATGTATTAAATGCCACCGAATTATTCATTTTTAAATGGCTAATTTTATATTACATAGATTTCCCCTCAATTGAAGGGAAAAACAGACGGTTTCAGCCAGCACTCACTTTCTATGCTTTGCCTTTCCTCTTTTTCTGACAGGGATGAGGATGTGATGCCTAGAAAGGCAGCAGCCATTTTTTCAGCGTAAGGACAGAATAATAGTAACAATAACAGCTAACACTTATAGAGCACTTAATATAGAGCCAGGTACTGTTTTAAGCTCTTTGCATACATCTGGTCATTTAATATTTACAACAATTCTATAAGGAAGATACTGTTATTCCCACATCATAAATGAGAAAACAGGTACGGAGAAGAAAAATCATGGTCCATGCTAAGGATGGCAGAGTGAAATCTAGTTGAAGCCTGAACCCTCCATGCGCCATGGAAACTCTGTAGCAGCCCTGGATTCCTACCTTGGTCTTCTTAAGTATTTGAAAAAAGCACTCCCTATTTAATTAAACCATTTTAGTTGGATTTGTGTTCCACACATCCTGAGATTCAAAGCCAGGTATGTCTGACATCAGTGCAAGTGTACCTAAGCACTCTGCTCTCCTAGCCTGCAAATAAGTGGTCAAGTGCTTTTCAGCCTCTCTGATCCCAATAGATGGTGGCCCTCTTGAAGGTGGAGGGGGGTCTTCCTCCACTGTGAAGTCCCATCATTGAGCACGGGTCCTGGTCCAGATGGAGCAGTGCAGTGTGGTGTTGGGATTAGCAGTTTGGACCCAGAGAAGGGGCTCAGAGTGCGGTGAGGGAGACATTCACTGGTGTAGAGCAGACATCAAAGATGAAGTGAGCCCAGAGGCAGGGGAACTTCACGATGGTCAGGATCTGGACAGATGAAGAAGGCAGGAAATGGGCTTTCTAAACAAACAGCACAGCTTTTGAGGGAAAGCACCATGATGTGAATGTACAGAGTGATGTTCAGGAAGTACCAGTAGCTGGGTGAGGCCGGAAAAATGGGTGCTGAGAGAGGGAGAGATCAGTCCTGAAGGGTGAAGACCCTTGAAAGTCAGGACTCAGAACATTGAAAATCATCTGTGCAGAGCTTTCTGTGTCATCTCACTGCAACAAGGAGAAATGGCAGGAGGTGTTTCTCCCATTTTACAGAAAGGAATTGATGTTCAGAGAGGCTTAGTTTGGCTAATGTTGCCTCGCTAGCAAGTGGCAAGAGTGGGACTTGAACTGGGGTCTTTTAACCTCATGCCCTACACTTGCCTGCTCAAGCAAGCGATTGTCAGCCTGCCTCTGTGGGTAGGGAGGGACAACGGAAGCATTCCAAGCGGGAAAGGGATGCTCCTTCTACGGAACTTTTGCCAGTGGAAAGTATGGAATGGATTTGAGGTGACTTGCTAGGGCATGGCAGTGAACCCATTCATTCATTCATTCATTCATTCATTTTTGGAAGCCCTGAGGCTGGAGGGCGGTGAGCTGAGCATTGACCATCAAGCAGGTAGGCACGGGTCAGATTGTTGGGGCACCAAGTCAAGAGTTTGGGTTGTGTCACGAATGGGATGGTAAGCCACTGGAGCCAGGAGGTCACCCTGCATGACCCCAAACCCTGTGACCCTGTGGAAGAGGGAGATTAGGAAAGGCAGGAGGGGCTCAACCAGCTGCAATGGAGTCACATGTAAAGGAGGCAGGGGCATTAAGTTCTAAAATCAGCAGGTAAGGCAAAAGTCATATGCAGTCCTTAAGAACTCAGTAAGGAGGCTGGGTGGTGCAGTGCCTCATGTCTATAATCCCAGCACTATGGGAGGCTGAGGTGGGTGGATCACTTGAGGTCAGGAGTTGGTGACCAGCCAGGCCAACATGGAGAAACCCCATTTCTACTAAAAATTAAAAAAAAAAAAAATAGCCAGGTGTAGTGGCATGTGCCTGTAGTCCCAGCTACTTGGGAGGCTGAGGCAGGAGAATTGCTTGAACCCAGGAGGTGGAGGCTGCAGTGAGCCAAGATCATGCCACTGGGTGACAGAGCAAGAGTCCGTCTCAAAAAAAAAAAATTCAGTAAGGAGCTTATTACATTTTTGTGAATTCAATCCTTATAGTAATAGGTATGTTTTTATATATGCTACATGGTAATATGCAGTATATGGAAAATGCATATATTTACACTATATACAAAGTGTATAATTTAATATTGCTTTTTTTTTTTTTTTTTGAGACAGGGTCTTGCTCTGTCACCCAGGCTGGAGTAATGGCACAGTCATATGCCAAGTGGAAAAATCATATGCCAATGGCACAAGTTGCAGCCTTGAACTTCTGGGCTCAAGCCATCCTCCTGCCTCAGCCTCTGGAGTACCTGGGACTACAGGCATGCGCCACCCACCACATCCAGCTTTTTTTTTTTTCCTTCCTTCCTTCTTTCCTTCCTTCCTTCCTTTCTTTTCTTTCTTTTCTTTCTTTTTCTTTTTCTTTTTTTTTGTAATAGAGATGAGGTCTTGCTATGTTGTCCAGGCTGATCTCAAATTCCCAAACTCAAGCAATTTTCCTGCCTCGGCCCTCTAATATTGCATTTAAACACATAAAAGAGAGAAAAATGAGTTGGCTTGTGCCTATAAAGTTGTTTGTGTGATTTATAATGTAAGTACACCGAGACTCCCCAGAATGGATGCTGTTGCTGCCCTGTCCAGATCCCCTTTCCCAGCTGCCATGATGTAGACTACTAACAGTCACAGCTGCCCGCTTCTTTTGAGAATTGTTCTCAGCCAAATAGAAGCTTCCCATCTCCCCCACCCTAGTCCTTGACAGTCCTGGGAAGAAACTAGTAAGGGGTATAAAAGGCTGGTCCTCTTGCCTCAATGTGAGACTGACTCTGTGGAGTAATTGGCTGGGACCTGTTCATCTTTCCTCCTTCCTTTCTCTCTCTCTCTTTTAAAAATTATTATTATTATTTTTAGATACAGGATCTCACTATATTGACCAGGCTGGTTTTGAACTCCTGACCTCAAGCAATCCTCCTGCTTCAGCCTCCCAAAGTGCTGGGATTACAGGTGTGAGCCACTGCATCTGGCCAGATGATGACCTTGACCTCTGATTGCTGCCACATAACTGGAACTCAGAGACCTTCTTGCACATCTGTGGAAAGGGGAGTTTGCTTTGAACTGCATTTCCTCACCAGCGTCACCCATTCCTTAAGAGTCAGGTTGATAAACGAGTCAATGCTGAGCCCAAACCAGGCAGGATTAATCATTTCCTCCTCCACATTGCTGCTGCTGCTGCTGCTGCATCCTGTGTCTGAGTCATTTCCTCATCTTTAATAGCTAACATGATGCCCAGTACAAAATAGGTATGGGGGAATATTTACTGAATGAATGTCATTGAATCTGACACCGTTGGATGTTGGATCCACTCAGTCCACTTGGCCACAGTTTAAGCAGCGTGAGGGTAGAGCCAAGTTTTTTTGTTTGTTTGTTTGTTTGTTTGTTTTTAGAGACACTATGCAAATAGGTAGAGCTAAGTTTTACTCTTTGGTGTGGGAAGGGCAGGATGGTGCAGTGCAAGAGCATGAGCTCTGCAGACACTCAGGAATCCTGTGCTTGAATTCCAACTCTGTGCCTCTGGGTCTTGAAATTTTAGGCAAATTATTTCTCTTGGAACCTGTTTCCTCATCTGTAAAATGGGGGTGATATCAACAAGAGTTATGTGCCAGGCAATTAGGAGGATTAAATGAGATAATGCAACTAAAATTTCCATCATTGGCCTAACACAAAGTAGGAGCTTGGTAAATATTAATTTTCTCTATTCTGGTATTCCCATAGGACCTGGAACATGGCAGACAGTCAGTAAGTGCTGGGTCACCTTCAGGCCACCCTGGACCATCCAGCTCTAGCTAAGCCATCAGCTGACTACAACTACATGAATGAACCCAGGAGATAAGAGCAGAAGAATCACCTAGCTGAGCCCAGCCAAACTGCAGCATATAGTATCATGAGCTAATAAACAATTCCTGCTTTAAGCCCTAAGCCCTAACAATTTGAAGTCCTTGTTACACAGCAAATACTGTTGCAAACAATGACGTTTTAAGAAGAGCTGGGATCGAGCTGGTATTTAGGAGCAACTGAAACCAGGACTCTCTTGTTCTGTCTCATGTCTTTCCTATTTTCTGCACGTTATCTTCCCTCTCTTTCATAGCACATTGATTTTCTTCATGGTGCAGAGAAAAAGGTTGAGTTTTATAGCTTGCATCTTCAAGATAATGGAGAAAAACTGATTCTGTTTTCTGCATCTCAGATCTAAAAATCCCTGGGAAAAGACTCATTGGCCCAGCTTAGGTCAAGCCTCCCCTTGGACCAATCAACTGGTAATGGAGTAGGGAGGGCACTCCATCACAACACACACGTTAGATGACATATGAGCAAAACTATCCCAGGCACTGTTTTAAGGCTTAACATGTGTTAACTGACTTCATCCTCATAATACAACAATCCCATCAGAGCTATTATTGTCTCTGTTTTGAAGTGAGGAAACTGAAAACAAGCCACAGAGAGGTGAAGTAACTTGCCCAAGACTACACAGCTAAAAAGAGGTGCAGCCAGGACTTACACCACAGCTATCTGACTCCAGAATCCACCCACTTAATGACCACAGTGGTCTGCCTCTCATATTGAGTTCCTGGGGGGTTCCAATAGATTGAGGGGTGGGCAGGATGGAGGCACTCCAAGGAAATATCTGGAATGCTAACTCAGAGAAGGTAAGCCTCTGGGGGCCCTTGATCTCACTGTCTTCAGGCCTCTAAATGACTCTCACTAGGCAATGGCAGTGGAAGGTTCTGGATCACCTCAGAAAACAAATCTAGGATCAGTGGGTGGACACCACTGGAAAGTGGGTTTCAATTCGATGGTAGGAATTTCTTCAGAGTCAGGGATATTAGTGCTCAAAGTCACACAACAAGCTGAACTGGGGTTTAAACTTATGCCTGAAGGAGTGCTGAGGCTTTGCTGTTAACCACTGTGCCCCATCTTCGTTTCCTTCTCAAAATGAGGAAAAGAATATTGGTGGAGGTGAGGCAGGGAGACACAGGGCCTACATCTACCCACATTTCATTAAAGGCCTGCTGTTTCCCAGCAGATGGAGGCTGCTTATGTGATCATCTCCAGTTACCCCGTGGGTTTGCCCCGCCCCCTTGGCTGGTGTGTAAATTCCCTGTGGGGAGAGTCATGTGCCCTCTTAAATGCCCAGTCTTATGCTGTCCTGGCTGGGGCCTGTGGGATGGGGGAGCTGGGAGGACGCTTCCTGTAGTTCCTCAGGTGCCTCCCAGCATGGCTTAGACTTTGGGGGCAGGGTTGGACCAGGCAGGAAGGGGCAGCTGGGGGTTTCCTCTGGGTGCGACAGCCTGGCTCTTGCTGGGCTGGAAGCCAAGCCTGGGAAGGAATTTCCCAGTCCTGTCTGAATTCTGTTTTCTCTTTTTATTTTATTTTTTTAGAGACAGAGTCTCCCTCTGTCACCCAGGCTGGAGTGCAGTGATGCGGTCATAGCTCACTATAACCTCAAACTTTTGGGCTCAAGTGACTCTCACCCCTTAGTCTCAAGAGTGGCTGGGACTACAGGAGAGTGCCCCCATGCCCTGCTAATTATTATTTTTATTTTTATATTTTTTGTAGTGACGAGGGTCTCACTTTGTTGCCCAGGCTAGACTCAAACTCCTGGCCTCAAGTGATCCCTCCACCATAGCTTCCCAAAACCCTGGGATTAGAGACAAACCTGAGCCACTGTGCCTGGCCTGAATTCTGTTTTCTTTGTGGAGGGAGGGAGAATAGTGTGAGAAGATGAATCCTGTTCCTCACCTCCCCAGCAACTAGCCTTAAGGTAGAAGAGGAGAATTGGGGTAGTCTTTATTTGGGAGGAGGAAGCAGCACTTTCTCATAAGGCATCAGGGTTTGGTGCTTCTCTGCTAGGAAAAGAATAATACTCTCACACCCCCAAAGCTAATAGGTGCCCAGGGAAGTCTTGGCTTAGTTGGGTGACCGTGCTGAGAAATAGAAATATAAATGTGGGCCAGACGCAGTGGCTCACGCTTGTAATCCTAGCACTTTCCGATGCCGAGGCAGGCGGATCTTAAGCCCAGGAGTTCGAGACCAGCCTGGACAATATAGCGAAACCCTATCTCTAGTAAAAAACCAAAACAAAACAAAAAAACAAAAATTAGCTGGGTGTGGTGGTACATGCCTGTAATCCCAGCTACTCAGGTCACTGAGGGATGAGAATCATTTGAACCTGGGAGGCGGAGGTTGCAGTGAGTCGAAAGTATACCATTGCACTCCAGCCTAGGCTGTGTCTCAGAAAGAAAGAAAGAAAGAGAGAGAGAGAGAGAGAAGGAAGGAAGGAAGAAAGAAAGAAAGAAAGAAAGGAAAGAAGGAAGGAAGGAAGGAAGGAAGAAAGAAAGAAAAAGAAAGAAAGAAAAAAGAAAAGAAGGAGGGAAAGGGAGGGAGGGAAGGAAGGAAGGAAGGAGAAAAAAATATAAATGTGAGTCATATATTAAATTGGGAATGTTCTAGTAGCCACACTTAAGAAAGTAAAGAGAAACAAGTGAAATAATTTTAATAAATTTTATTTAACCCAGTATGTCCAAAATAATATCATTGAAACCTGTAATTAATATAAAAATGATTAATGAGGGATTTCACAGTTTTTGTACTAGATCTTTGAAATTCAACGTGTATTTTTTACTTACATCACAATTTTTTTTTTTGAGATGGAGTTTCGCTCTTGTTGCCCTGGCTGGAGTGCAGTGGTGTGATCTTGGCTCACTACAACCTCCGCCTCCTGAGTTCAAGTGATTCTGCTGCCTCAGCCTCCCAAGTAGTGGGATTACCATGCCTGGCTAATTTTGTGTTTTTTAGTAGAGACGGGGTTTCACCGTGTTGGCCAGACTGGTCTCGAACTCCTGACCTCAGGTAATCTGTCCGCCTTGGCCTCCCAAAGTTCTGGAATTACAGGCATGTGTCACCGCACCCGGCCTTATACCACAGTTTTGATTAGCCACATACCAACGGCTCAGTAGCCACATGTGGCTCATGGCTATCATATTGGACAGAACCATTTCAGATCACAGATTCTGGAAATGAAGATCCAGAAATCTCAGCATTTCTGCATCCTAAGATTGCTTCTGGAAGGACTTTAAGGTCATCTGGTCAAGCCCCTCACACACAAGGAAATGACTTCTCGAGGAGACCCACTGCTCCTAGCAAAGTTGATGTCCTCACATGTGCATCCCAGTCTGGGAAACTCCCCCATTCCAGCAGCCTCCTGCCAATGGAGATGGGCTGCTCACAGCCAGCCTCAGGGCATAAAACAGGGGCAAGAGGTGAGGCAGGAAGACACTGGAAGGACGTAGAATGGACCCTACCCTGGCAGACTTCCTCTCCTCTGTCACCTTCTCCCTTTCTGGAGGGAATGTCACCGCCTGGGCACAGAGCGGGCAGGAATTCTTTTGTTAACTTCCCAAACTGGAACATAGACTCAGGCCCACCCCTTCCCTTCTGATTCTCCTTTCTCCATATTCATGGCTGCCAACAATGAGCTAGACCCTGCAAGCTACAAAGATAAGAGGCAGAGGCCCTGGGAAGGAGAAACTTTGCTCAGACTTCATGGGGGAAGGAACAGTTAATTCTGCCCGGGGACCCAGGGCAGGCCTCCCTGCTGGAGGAGGTGTCTGAACAAAAGGAGCAGTGGGGTGGGGAGGCTGGGGGTGGGGTGGGGGATGTTAGTGATGATGAGGGACAGCAGCTGAAGGGAAAGGGCATCCAGGAAGAGGGTGACAGTCCAAGAAAGGGGCAGTATGAGGGAGCTGGTCTCCTATTTTCTCAGGGGCCATGGCCACTGCTGCTCTTTCTCCTCCCAGAAGTTGCCTTGACTTCCCCTATAAGAAAGGGAAAGGAGATTCCTTTTTTTTTTTTTTTTTTTTAAAGAGACAAGGTGTCCCTTTGTTGTGCAGGCTGGTGTCAAACTCCTGGCTTCAAGAGATTCTCCTGCCTCTTCCTCCCAAATTGCTGGGACTACAGGCTTGAGCCACTGTACCTGGCCAGAGAGTCCGTTTAAGAAGAAAATCTGTCTGCTTCACCTGAGTTCCTAAAAAGACCAGCACATGGTGGATAGCCAATGAAGGCTTGTTAGTGAATAGAGGAGAGGGCAGAGAGCAGATGAAGGGTCTATTAGGCTGAGACTAGGCCAGCTGGGGCACAGAGTGCATGATAGGTGGAGGGGCAAGAAGGGGACTGGTGTGTTCTGAGCATCTGGTTTGTCTCCACATCTTCAGAATCTTATTCACTCCCCCAATAGTGAGAGGTAGGTGGTATTGCTCCCATTCTACAGAGGAGGAAAATGAGGTTCAGTGACCATCTGGGATTACGGCTCGTTCTGTCTGATTTCAAAAGCCCATCTTTCTAGGTGCTTTCTGGCATGTCCTCACCTGGTTATTGCCAAGAACTCAGCAGTGACCAAGTTCTTGGTAGGCACCCACGCCTTTGAATTCCTGGTGAAGTGGAGGGTTCCTGGAAAGGCCTTCGGAAACAGAAGGCCACTACCAGGCTTGGTGATCACCCAGCCACATTCCTCTCCACCCCCAGGTAAGGACAGGAGGCAGTTCTGAGAGGTAAAGCGGCTTGCTCACATGGGGAGTGGGTGGCTGGAGGTGGGATTGACCACCCTGCCCCTGGGCACTGACTCATGGCAGCTGCTGTGGGAAAGCCACTTCCAGCCTTGGCTTTCCCAGCCAGGCAATGGCCAGGATTGCTTTGCCGAATCTGCCTGGGCCTGGAGCCAGGGAACTGGGAAAAAGCTGAGCACAGCATATTGCCAGGGTACCTCACCCTCTCCCTGCTCCCAGTGACAACAGCTTGCATGGGGCATACCTCCCCGTGTGCAGGAGCCTTTCCAGTTTCCAGAGGGATCAGGCCAGGCCCGGGCCCTGATGCTCCTCAAATCCCCAGTACCCAGCACAGGCAGGGTGACCCACCATCCTGGTGTGCTGAGGACTGTCTTAGTTTCAGCATGTCCTGCATCTTGGGAACTCCTCAGTCCTGGGCAAACCTGGATGGTTGGTCTCCCTAGCCCTGCACCAAATTCATAGTTGGCACTGAAGAAATGTTCTAAGTAGGCCAGGTGTGGTGGCTCATGCCTGTAATCCCGGGACTTTGGGAGGCCGAGGTAGGAGGATTGCTTGAGCCCAGGAGTTTGAGATCAGCCTGGGCAACATAGGGAGACCCCATCTCTACAAAAAATAAAAAGATTAGCCAGGTACGATAGTGCGTGGCTACAGTTCCAGCTATTCAGGAGACTGAGCCAGGAGGATCACTTGAACCCGGGAGGTCGAGGCTGTAGAAAGCTGTGATTGCACCACTGCACTCCAGCCTGGGCAACAGACTGACTCTGCCTTAAAAAAAAAAAAAAAAAAGAGAAAGAAAAGAAAAAAAAAAAAAGAAAGGAAAAGAAATGTTCCCAGTAAATGAAGGAAATTAGCAAACTAAAGAACAACAAATGGGCAACAGTGCTGTGAGGGAAACAGAACAAGGACTGCTGAGCTCATTTTGTAGCTGAGGAACTGAGGCCTGAAGAGTTTAAAAGTTCAGGCTCCCCATCTCTATCTTATGCCTTTCCTCCGCACCAGATCTCGAAACTGTTCCCTGATAATTTTGAGCTGGTCCCTGGGGTGAGAAGCAGCTGGGCCAAAGAGAAGGCATTCAGTGGCTCTGTGCCTAAGCTTAGGCAGAAAGGACACTGAGAGATGGGGAGGAGGGGGGGCTGCTCTACTTTTTTTTTTTTTTTGAGACGGAGTCTCGCTTTGTCGCCCAGGCTGGAGTGCAGTGGCACGATCTCGGCTCACTGCAACCTCTGCCTCCCAGGTTCACGCCATTCTCCCACCTCAGTCTCCTGAGTAGCTGGGACTACAGGCGCCCACCACCACACCCAGCTAATTTTTTTGTATTTTTAGTAGAGACGGGGTTTCACCATGTTAACTAGGATGGTCTAGATCTCCTGACCTCGTGATCTGCCCGTCTCGGCCTCCCAAAGTGCTGGGATTACAGGCGTGAGCCACAGCGCCCAGCTGGGGGGCTGCTCTATTTCAACTGCATAGCGAAGAGCCTGGGTGGCCCTGCCTGGCTTGGTGGGTGCAAACCTGACTTCAGCCACTGCTAACTGTGTGGCCTTGAGCAAGTGACATATTCTCTCAGCTTTAGTTTCCTCATCTGTAAAATGGGAATACCATAATGATGCCCAGCTCCTGAGGTTTTTGCAAGTATTAAATGAGATAATGCATAGAAAGTAATTAGCACAGTGCCTGGCACAGCATAAATACTCCAGAAATATCGGCTGTTTTTCTTATATATATATATATATATTTCTTTCCTATTAATGTATTTTTAATTTTATTTATTTGTTATTATTATTTTGAGACAGGGTCCCACTCTGTCACCCAGGCTGGAGTGCAGTGGTGCAATCTTGGCTTACTGCAGCCTCAGCCTCCTGGGCTCAAGCAATCTTCCTGCCTCAGCCTCCCAAAGTGCTGGGATTACAGGCATGAGCCACTGTGCTTGGCCTTTTTAATTTTTTTATGGTCAATTGCAATAGTGTTCTTTTTCTTTTTTATGTTTTTTCTTTTTTATAGTAATTATTTTTATTATTTGGTGCAACAGGCATTAACTGCATACTCACTTCGTGGTGTAGTGGGAGCTGCTTCAGAGGACAAAAGTCTGACACTCCTGTTATTTGGCAAATCCCATGGCTTCTCTGCGACTCAGTCTCCATGTCTGTAATATGGGGTTTTACCTAATTCAGGGCTGCTGTGAGAAGTGTGAGCTAGTGTGTATTTGGAGAGAACAAGTACTTAATAAATGAGCCATCTCTTTCCTCCCCATGCCCGTCTTAAACTTTAGAATGATCCTGTAAAGTTCATATTATTATTATTTTTATTTATTTATGTATGTATGTGTGTATTTATTTTTTGAGACAGAGTCTTGCACTGTTGCCTGGGCTGGAGTGCAATGGCACTATCCCAGCTCACTGCAACCTCTGCCTCCTGGGTTCAAGCGATTCTCCTGCCTCAGCCTCCTGAGTAGCTGGGATTACAGGCGCCTGCCACCACACCCAGCTAAATTTTTGTATTTTTAGTAGAGACGGGGTTTCACTATGTTGGCCAGGCTGGTCTCGAACTCCTGACCTGGTGATCCACCCGCCTAGGCCTCCCAAAGTGCTGGGATTACAGGCAAGAGCCACCGCGACTGGCCTACATAGTATTATTATTCCCAACTTACAGAAAAGGAAACAGTCATTAGAGGATACTTAGAAAACGTCTGTGTCGTGAATAAATGAACGAGTGACTGAGTGAGTGGATGCGTGGACGAACGAATGGATGAATGAATGAGCGGATGTGCGTGGACTCTGCGGGCGGGGCGCCCGTAGTCTCCCTCCTTCGCACCCCGGGCGCCTGGGAACCTCCTCGCGCGTTTGGCCACTCGCTGCTCCTGGCAGTAGGGGCTTCGGGCCCCGCCGCTGTCCCCACCCAGGTATGGGGATGCGGAGTTGATGGGTGCGGGGCGCTGGGAGGGGGCAGATGAAAGGGGCAGTCGAAAGGGGGCCATGCGCGCCGAGCGCAGCCGGGTCATTAGCCGCGGGTGTGAGCGGCGGGGCAGGCTTATCGCCCATCCAGGCCTGGCGGGCGGGCGAGTCCCCGACGCGGCTGCCGCCGCCGCCCGCGGCAGAGGGCACGGCGGTTCCCACGCTCGGGCCCTGGTTCGGGGGCGTTCTCGGGACGGCGTGGCCGCGCTCACCACCACCGCGGAGGCCGGGCTGTAATTAGGATAATTGCGCTGCTCCCAGCCTGGGGCAGCTCAGGACCCCGGCTGCACCGCGCTGGCCCGGGACGGGCGGGGGCAGGGGGTGGCGGGGCCCGAGCGATACAGCCCCTGGCGCAGTCCGTTCCTCTAGACAGGTGAGTCAGCACACCTGGGCGGCCCCAGCCACCAAGGGGCTTTGTGGGGAAATGAGGGAAGGGGAGAGAACTAGCCTGGACGGAGCACCTAATGTATGCCGGCGGTGTGGATTAAACTATTCCATTACGGCTCAACATTGGGGTATTGCGGGAGTAGGTGAGAACATCTGTCCTGCCCGGTGGTGCCTGACCCAGAGAAGATGTGCAAGACGAATAGCATCTTCATCTGCACAGCAGTTTAGCAGGTGGGCATCAGGAGGCCCAGAGGTTAAGTCTCAAGACTACACAGCCGGGAGATGCATGCTTCAGAAAGGAGGACGATGAAGACCTGCCTGGAGTGGTGGCCCACAACTGTAATCCTAGCACTTTGGGAGGCCTAGGCGGGGGAATTGTTTGAGTTCAGGAGTTCGAGACCAGCCTGGGCAACATAGCAAGACCCAGGTCTCCCCCACCACTCCATCTCTACAAAAAATACAAAACAGGCCTGGCACGATGGCTCACGCCTATAATCCCAGAACTTTGGGAGGCCAAGGCGGTCAGATCACCTGAGGTCAGGAGTTCAAGAGCAGAGCTGGCCAACATAGTGAAACCCCATCTCTATTAAAAATACAAAAAAATTAGCTGGGTGTGGTGGCAGGCGCCTGTAATCCCAGCTACTCATGAGGCTGAGGCAGGAGAATTGCTTGAACCCGAGAGGCGGAGGTTGCAGTGAGCCGAGATTGCGCCATTGCACTCCAGCCTGGGCAACAAGAGCGAAACTCCATCTCAAAACAAACAAACAAAAATATTACCTGGGTGGTGTTGTGCGCAGGTAGTCCCAGCTACTCAGAAGGCTGAGGCAGGTGAATTGCCTGAACCCGGGAGGTGGAGGTTGCAGTGAGATGACATTGTGCCACTGCACTCCAGCCTGGGTGATGGTGTGAGACCCTGTCTCAAAAATAAAAAGAAAAGAAAAGAAAAAAGAAAGAAAATGAAGACCTGACCGTCCTGGCTAACACAGTGAAACCCCGTCTCTACTAAAAATACAAAAATTAGCCGGGCACGGTGGCGGGTGCCTGTAGTCCCAGCTACTCGGGAGGCTGAGGCAGGAGAATGGCATGAACCCCGGAGGCGGAGCTTGCAGTAAGCCGAGATTGTGCCACTGCACTCCAGCCTGGACGACAGAGCGAGACTCCATCTCAAAAAAAAAGAAAAAGAAAAAGAAAAAGAAAATGAAGACCTATGCCCAGCGAGCTTTGGCTTTGCTCCCTCAAGTACCTCATTTTTACTGCATCTTGGATCCCAACCATAAAGCCCATTCCTGATCCTTAGGTTCTTGGCAGGCCTAATCATAACTGCAGATCTTTATCACTGATACAAGCCACATGAAATCCTTCTGGAAAAGGCAGGTTAAAAAGAAATGATCTGATTTCAAGATCTAATCTCTAATCCTAAACCCAACCTAAACCTTAACCCTGCTCCTCCATACCTAACTCCCAAATTAATCTTCACCTTGGCCCCTGCCCATGTCTCCAAACTTCTCCCCGCAGTGATCCTCTGCCACTCCTCCCACCTCCCCAGGTGCCCTCCTTTCAGTGGTGGTTTCAAGTCTCTGGGTCTTTGCATATGCTGCAGCCGCACGTCAGGATATCCTTTTCCAGGGCCACCTGGTAAACTCCTCTCACCCTTCAAGGTCCTCCACAAGCCCTTGGTGTTCCTTTCCCGGCCCTGTGCTGCCTTGTTTCCTGACCAGGCTCTCCTCAGATTCAGCTCTTAGGAGGTAGGGTCTTAATCTGCTGGGAGTAAAAATTGGAAGTAGAACAAATGATTGATTGTGAATGAGTGAGTGAGAGAATGAATGAATGAATGACTTACTGAATAAACAAGTGAACACTGGCCAGGTGCAGTGGCTCATGTGTGTAATCCCAGCACTTTGGGAGGCCGAGGCAGGAGGATCACTAGAGCCCAGGAGGTTGAGACAGCCTGGGCAACATAGGGAGACTGGATCTCTACAATTTTTTTTTTTAAACAAACAAGTGAATACCTATTCTGAATCTAAATCCTTAACCTTCTCCCTGGATCCATTCCCAAGAAGGGAACAATTGGAAGATCAAGAGAACCCCCAGCCACCAGGTGCCCTGAGATTGTTCTGTGTGTGTGCGTGTGTGCGTGTGTGGGTGTGTGTGTTTTCCTGTGTGCATGCCCGTGCATGCACATGCGCTTGAGTCAGGAACTTTGAATCAGACAAGCCTGGAGTCCGCTCCTGGCCACAGGGTTCACCAACTGAGTGACCTGAGCAAGTACCTGCACCTCTCTGGGTCTTCATGAACTCAAACATGCTAACAATAAAAAACCCATCATGGAGAATCAGCTCTTCTTCCTTTGTTCATTTACCCTCCCCCAGCCCCTTGCCTATGGCAGGCTCAGTGTTTGGTGCTGCGGGAACAGGAGTGGAAGGAACACATTTTTCCCCTCAAGGAGCACTAGTAAGGGTAGGAAGCAGGTCTGCAGGGAAGAGGGAACAGCCCCTGGGTGGAGAGGGAAGCTTCTTAGAGGATGTGAGAATCACTTGGGTTTGCTGCTGGACAAGTCAAGGCAGAGGCAGCCACATGTTCAAAGACAACAAGCTGTGAACAAAGGGTTCCCTATTACTGCTGGAGAATGAGGTGGGAGGTGGGGGGTGGTGGCAGAAATTGGGGCTGGTGAGGGTGACAGTGTCCAGATCAGGGAAGGCTTTAGGGGCAGTCTGTGAAGTCTATGAAATATGCACACTTTATTCTCTAAGCAATAGGGAGCCATTGCAGGTTTGGGCAGGGAGGGATGGGCAGGTCTGTGCTGTAGAAAGCTCACTCTGACCAGCAGTGTGGAGGCCATCATGGAGGTGGCTGTGGTGAGAAGCCGGTGGGGGAGTGCAAGGGACATGAAATGATCTTGGTAATAGCCGACCTTTATTGAATGCCTACTATGTTCTAGGTGCTTAACTCATCTAATTCCCACAACACCCATCTGAAGTAGATTCTCTCATGAGCTCCTTCTAGAAATGTCATCAAAACACTAAAGTCTCCAATGTTTCTATCTCCAGCCTGAACCTCCCTTCTGAATTCCACACCTATATGTGCAATAGCCGGTTGGCTTCTCTACTGAATGTCTAATAGGATCTTAACCTTAACGAGTCCGAAAACAATCTCCCCAAACCTGCTTCTCTCAGTCTTCTCCATCTCAGTCAATAGCAGTTTCACTTTTCCAGTTGCTCAGGCTAAAAATGTTGGAGTCATCCCTGTCCACCCTCCACTTCTTACTTCCCATATCTGATCTATCTGCAAATCTTGTCGGTTCTAACTTCGGTACATACCTTCTGGTCTTCTCACCCCTCTCCTCCAGACTGCTGCCAGGTGGGCCAAGTCCCCACTGTTTCCTACCTGAATTACTGCAGCGGCCCCATTACTGATGGGCTCCCTGCCTCTGCCCCTTCGACCTATTCTTCACGCAGCAGCTGGTGTGACCTTAACATACAAAGCTAGATCAGGTTCCTCCTGCTCAAACCTTTTCCCAGCTCCCTAGAGTCAAAGTCCTGATAATAGCAGAGAGATCCCAACATGATCCAGTCCTTGTCTCCCCAGCCCCTTGTCAGACCTCTTCCCACATGCTTCCCCCCAACTCCAGCCACACTGACCCCCTTGCCAGCTTTCCCATTAACCTCAGAATTATTGCACTTGCCATTCCTTCTACCTGGAATGCCATCTTCCCAGATATCCGTGTCATTTTCTCCTTCAAATTTCTGTTCAAATGTCATCTTACTAGTGAGATCCTCCTTAACCACCCCATTAAAAATAACAACTTGGCTGGGTGCAATGGCTCACACCTGTAATGCCAGCACTTTGGGAGGCCGAGGTGGGAGGATTGCTTGAGGCTAGGAGTTTGAGACCAGCCTGAGAAACATAAGGAGACCCCCCCATCTATACGAAAAATTAAAAAATTAGCTGGGCATGGTGGTGCGTGCCTGTAGTCCCAGTGACTCTGGAGGCTGAGGCAGGAGGATCCCTTAAGCCCAGGAGGTTGACTCTGCAGTGATCCATGATCCTGCTGCTGCACTCCAGCCTAGCCAACAGAGCGAGAGCCTGTCTCAAAAACAAAACAAAACCTCACCTTCCTCCCCTACCCAGGCACCTTGTATCCCCTTCCCTGTTTATTGTTTATACTACATGTCACCATCTGAAACATTTTATAAATTATATTTTACTTTCTGGTTTATTATCTTTCTCTTCTCCTCTCCCCTTCCCTCCCCTCCCCTCACCCCACTAGAATGTCAGCTCCACAAGGACAGAGATTTTTCTTTATTTGCTTCACTGCCATATCCCCAGTGCCTAAAGTATTGTAGGTGCCCAGTAAATTCTTCTGAATGTTGACTATGGAATCTGTGTGCTACAGAAACTAAGGCACAAGGAGATTAAGTAAACTTGCACAAAGTCACACACTAGTAAGTGGTTGGATTTGGATAATGAACTCAGAATATAGGCAGTGACAGCAGAGAATGAGAGGAGGGAATGAAAGAAAACAAGGACCTGACAGATGGGCTCCAGGTCCATGGGCTGATGTTGCACCAAGGGGTGAGGTTGATGTTGTGAGACCTCCGGGGGTTGACATGAAGATTAAATGAGCTGAGACTTGAAAACACATTGTATATATAGGGAAAAGAGATTTTAAGAAAACTATTATTCCATGAATTTTGAATTCCCAGCCATGTTCCTGGCCTTCTCCACCCTTGCTGCTGAGGCATCTGTTGCTTCCAGTCGGGGGCAGATTCAGCAGCAGATGAGCAGCTCATCCTTAGCTTTGCCTTTCTAAATGGATTTTTTGAAAGAGTAGAGGAGACCTAACAGTGTCAGAATCCAGAATTTCAATGTAAAGGCCTACACAGTTGGGAGAGATACCCAAAACTTCCTTTTAAATGTCAAGACCTGGGCTGGGCGCAGTGGCTCACGCCTGTAATTCCAGCACTTTGGGAGGCTGAGGTAGGTGGATCACCTGAGGTCAGGAGTTGAGACCAGTCTTGCTAACATGGTGAAACCCCGTCTCTACTAAAAATACAAAAATTAGCTGGGCGTGGTGGCGTGCGCCTGTAGTCCCAGGTACTCGGGAGGCTGAGGCAGGAGAATCACTTGAACCCGGGAGGCAGAGGTTGCAGTGAGCCGAGATTGCATCACTGCATTCCAGCCTGGGCTACAGAGTGAGACTCTTGTCTCTAAAAATAAAAATAAAATCAATGTCAAGATCTGGAGTCTGGCCAAGGTGGGGCCTGGACTTTTTACTATGAGCCCTGGAGGGAGGGAAGGTATGAGACAAAGCAGTGATTCTCCAATTTGAGTGTGCATCAGAATCATCTGGAGGGCTTGTTTCAACAGGGATGGCTGCCTGGGCCCCACCTGCAGAGTTTCTGATTCAGTAGCTCCAGGGCGGGGCTGGAGAATTTGCATTTCTAACATCTTCCTAGGTGATATGAACCACATATATATATATATATATATATTTAAGAGGCAAGGTCTAGCTCTGTCACTCAGACTGGAGTGCAGTAGCCTGATCACAGCTCACTGCAACCTCAAATTCCCGGGCTCAAGCAAGCCTCTTGCTTCAGCCTCTGGAGTATCTAGGACTACAGGCATGTGCCACAACACCTGGCTAATTTTTTTTTTTTTTTGTAGAGGCGGGGTCTCGCTGTGTTGCCCAGGCTAGTCTCAAACTCCTAGGTTCAAGTGATCCCCCTGCCTCAGCCTCCCAAAATGCTGGGATTGCAGGCATGAGCCACCGAGCCTAGCTCTAATACCAACCACACTTTGAATAGCCCTGATGTAAGGGTTGTTCTCAGTTCCAGGGGC
The DNA here is from genome assembly GCF_000001405.40 of Homo sapiens. Classification (NCBI taxonomy): domain Eukaryota; kingdom Metazoa; phylum Chordata; class Mammalia; order Primates; family Hominidae; genus Homo; species Homo sapiens. The sequence continues at coordinate 40,890,487 of NC_000001.11, forward strand.
AGCCTCGCAGAGCCCATGCCCTCCAGGATGGAGGTGTGAAGAGGGAACCCCAGGAGGTGGTGGGGGTAGGTGTATGGAAATGCTCAGGAAGACGGTAGGCAAGAAGAAGGTTGGGGTCAGAGGAGAGGGTGTGAAGACTGTGGCCAGGAACATAGTTGTGGGCAGCAGAGGCCAGGGGACCTGCCCAGAGGACAGGTGGGACGTGTGCCTCAGCCACACTGCAGAAGGCAGACACTTGAAAGAGGAAGCAGTACTGGGTCAGAGGCCCCTTCCCCAACCATGAGACTATCCAAGCCCCCAACTCCATTCCCCTTCAGATGTCACCCTGAAGAAGGGACAGATGGGGCTGAGAAGTGGTGAAAGATTGAGTATTTTCTCCCAAAGAGCCTGAGGGGACTTGGGATGGCACAATTTAGAATGTCTTGCAACAACATCATGAATTAATCCCTCTGCTCCTACCAGGGTATGAAGAAGTGGCCCCAAAGTTGCAGTGCAATGGTTAAGAGCAAACATTTCCTGGATGCGCAATCCTAGGCAGGAGACACCCTCTCTGAACTTCAGTCCTCAAATCTAAATCGAGGATGAAATTATCATCCATCTCATCAGATTGAGAGGTTTAAAAGAGACCATGCATATAGTGGAGTGTTGAGCTAGAGCCTGGCAGAGGGCAAATATTCAATCAATGGTATTTATGATGATAGGTTTTAAAGGCTGGGCATGGTGGCTCATGCCTGTTATCCCAGCACTTTGGGAGGCTGAGGTGGGTGGATCACTTGAGGTCAGGAGTTCAAGATCAGCCCGGCCAACATGGTGAAACCCCGTCTCTCCTAAAAATACACACACACACACACACACACACACACACACACACACACACACACATATTAGCCCAGCATGGTGGCGGGTGCCTGTAATCCCAGGTACTTGAGAGGCTGAGGCAGGAGAATCACTTGAACCTGGGAGGCTGAGATTGCAGTGAGCTGAGATTGTGCCACTGTACTCCAGCCTGGACAACAGAGTGAGACTCTGTCTCAAAAAAAAAAAAAAAAAAAAAATTCTTCCCTGCCTTCAGTTTGTTCTCTCTTCCTCCCTTCCTCAAATACTTATACTTACTGGGACCTACTGGCCCCTGACATGGATTTTGCCTCCTTGGAACTCACATCAGGAAATCAGACCAGTCAACAGGCACTTAGTAGCTGACTGTGGGCTGGTGCTGTGTTGGGGTAAGCTCGGGGCACTGGGACTGGGGACGCTGAGAAGTCTTTCTGGAGGATGAGATGCATTGCTTATTTAGGGGGCTTTATTGAAGCTGATAATAAATTAAAAGTATATATATATTTAAAGAATAATAACACTTGGGGCTGGGCATGGTGGCTCACACCTGTAATCCCAGCACCTTGGGAGGCCAAGGCAGGAGGATGGCTTGCACCCAGGTGTTCAAGACCAGCCTGGGCAACATAGTGAGGCCTCGTCTCTATTTTACTTAAAAAAGAATCACTCCTGGGAAGGAAAGAGTGAAAATTATAAACTTTCTCCCTCAGTCAAGGTTCAGAAATATAATTATAGTGCGCAACACTTTATAATGGGAGGCAGGAGAGCATGGTTGACTTTGGAATCAGACGAGCTGGAATCCAGATTCTGAGGTTTAACAAATGGTCTGACCCTGGACTACTTAGCTTCTCTGAGCCTCGGTTTTCCTTATCTGTAAAATGAGACTAAAGGTAGCTACTTGACATGTGGGTTTGTGGTAAGATTTAAAGGACGCAGATTATGTACAGCACCTAGCATATATTATTTGCTAACTAATTCTGAGTCCAGGGCTGGAGAGTGGATCTGGGCTTTTTTCCTCTCCACCCTGTGTCCTGTCACTTTCTGTTTCTCCCTGGTTTTCTGGATCATAATGAACTGATTGATGACCCACCTGTCTTCTCCACCAACCTGGGTGCTCCTTGAGAACAGAGTCTGGTTCAGGGTCTGTTTAGTTTATCCCCCGCTTTTTTTTTTTGCTCAGAGACAGTCTTGCTCTGTTGCCCAGGCTGAAGTGCAGTGGTATGATCATAGCTTACTGTAACCTTGAACTCCTGGGCTCATGTGATCCTCCCACCTCAGCCTCCCAAAGCACTGGGATTATAGGTGTAAGATAACATGCCCTGTCGCTAGATATCTTCTTTGGTGAAGTATCTGTTCAAGTATTTTGCCCCTATTTGCATTACTTATTTTCTAATTATTGCATTTGGAAGTTCTTTTTATATTCTGGACACAAGACTTTTATCAAATATATTGTATTAGCCGATTTTTACACTGCTATAAAGAACTACCCGAGACTGGGTAATTTATAAAGAAAAGAGGTTGACCAGGCGTGGTGGCTCATGCCTGTAATCCCAGCACTTTGGGAGGCTGAAGCGGGCAGATCACGAGGTCAGGAGTTTGAGACCAGCCTGGCCAAAATGGTGAAACCCCATCTCTACTAAAAATACAAAAATTAGCCAGGCGTGGTGGCAGGTGCCTGTATTCCCAGCTACTCAGGGGGCTGAGGCAGGAGACTCACTTGAACCTGGGAGGCAGAGGTTGCAGTAAGCCAAGACCATGCCATTGCACTCCAGCCTGGGTGACAGAGTGAGACTCCATCAACAACAACAACAACAACAACAAAAAAAAAAAAGAATAAGAAGAAGAAGAAAAAGAAAAAGAAAAGAAAAAAAAGAGGTTTAATTGACTCACAGTTTCACATGGCTGGGGAGGCCTCAGGAAACTTAACAATCATGGCAGAAAGTAAAGGAGAAGCAAGGGCACATTTAACATGGTGGCAAGAGAGAGAGTGAGGTAGGGAACTGCCACACTTTAAAACCATCAGATCTCAGGGGAACTAACTCACTGTCATGAAAACAGTAAGGGAGAAACCTGCCCCCATGATCCAATCATCTCCCACCAGGCCCCTTCTTTAACACATGGGAATTATAATTCCAGATGGGATTTGGGTGGGCACACAGAGCCAAATAAGATCATTTGGCCCATGGCTCCTCCAAAATCTCATGTCCTTTCACATTTCAAAACTAATTATGCCTTCCCAACAGTCCCCAGAAGTCTTAAATCATTGCAACATTAACTCAAAAGTCTAAGTCTAATGTCTCATCAGAGACAAGGCAAGTCCCTTCTGCCTATGAGCCTGTAAAATCAATGGTGGTACAGGCATTGGTTAAATGTTCCTGTTCCAAATGGGAGAAACTGACCAAAACAAAAGGGCCACAGGCCCCATGCAAGTCCAAAACCCAACAGGGCAGCCATTAAATCTTAAAGCTCTAAAATAATCTCCTTTGACTCCATGTGTCACATCAAGGGCACGCTGATGCAAGAAGTGGGTTTCCAAGGCCTTGGGCAGCTCCACCCCTGTGGCTCTACAGGGTATAGCCTCCACAACTGCTTTTAAAGGCTGGCATTGAGGACCTGAGGCTTTTTCAGGTGCATGGTGCAAGCTGTCAGTGTATCTACCACTCTTGGGTCTGGAAGACAATGGCCTTCTTCTCACAGCTCCAGTAGGCAGTGCCCTGGTGGGGACTCTGTGTTGGGGCTCCAATCCCACATTTCCCCTCCATACTGCCCTAGCAGAGGTTCTCCATGAGGGCTTTGCCCCTGCAGCAGACTTCTGCCTGGACATCCAAATGTTTCCACACCTCCTCTGAAATCTAGGCAAAGTCTCCTAAACTCCTGCCTTCTGCACACCTGCAGGCACAACACCACATGGAAGTCACCAAGGCTTGGAGGTTGCACCCTCTGAAGCCATGGTCTTAGCTATACCTTGGCCCCTTTTAGCCACAGCTGGATCTCCAGTGGCTGGGATGCAGGGTGCCATGTCCCAAGGCTGCATAGAGCAGCAGGGGCCCTGAACCTGGCTCATGAAGCCATTTTTCTATTCTAGACCTCTGGGCCTGTGGTGGGAGGGACTGAGGAAGATCTCTGAAATGCCCTGGAGACATTTTCCCTACTGTCTTGGTGAGTAACATTTGGCTCCTTGTTACTTATGCAAATTTATCCAGCCAGCTTGAATTTCTCCCCAGGAAATGGGTTTTTCTTTTCTACTGCTTGGTCAGGCTGCAGATTTCCCAAACTTTTGCTCTGCTTCCCTTTTAAACATAAGTTCCAATTTCAGACCATCTATTTGTGACTGCATATGACTGTATGTTGTTAGAAGCACCCAAGCCACCTCTTGAATGCTTTGCTGCTTAGAAATTTCTTCCACTAGATATCCTAAATCATTTATCTCAAGTTCAAAGTTCCATGTATCTCTAGGGCAGGGGTAAAATGCCACCAGTGTCTTTGCTAAAGCATAGCAAGAGTGACCTTTGCTCCAGTTCCCAATAAGTTCCTCATCTCTATGTGAGACCACTTCAGCCTGGACTTCGTTGTCCATATCACTATCAGCATTTTTGTCAAAACCATTCAACAAGTCTCTAGGAAGTTCCAAACTTTCCCACATCTTCCTGTCTTCTTCTGAGCCCTCCAAACTGTTCCAACCTCTGCCTATTACCCAGTTCCAAAGTCACTTCCATATTTTCAGGAATTTTTACAGCAGTACCCCACTCCTGGTACCAATTTTCTGTGTTAGTCCGTTTTCACATTGCTATACAGAACTACCTGAGACTGGGTAATTTATAAAGAAAAGAGGTTTAATTGACTCACAATTTCACATGACTGGGGAGGCCTCATGAAACTTACAATAATGGCAGAAGGTGAAGGAGAAGCAAGGCACATCTTACATGGTGACAGGAGAGAGACAGAGAGAGAGCAAGGGAAGGAAGAACCACACTTTAAAACCATCAGATCTTATGAGAACTGACTATCACAAGAACACCAAGGGGAAAATTCACCCCCATGATCCAATCACCTCCCATCAGGCCCTTCCTCTGACATGTGGGAATTAGAATTTGAGATGAGATTTGAGTAGGGACACAAAACCAAACCACACCATAAATCATTTGCAAATATTTTCTCTCAGTCTGTGGATTGTATTTGCATTCTCTTGTGTCTTCCAAAGGGCAGACATTTTAAATTTATTCATCTGTATACCAATACCACACTGTCTTGATTGCAGTGGCTTTCTCTAACTACTCCAAGACAAAGGCATAAGTGAAAAAGGAAAAAAAAATAGAGGAATGTTTTTTGAGTTCTATATGTGCAAGCATACTTGCCAAGAAAGAAATTTTATTTTTCTTAGAAAGTTGTGAGGTCACAGGTCCTCTTCCTAGAGCCCGCCCCCTCCCCACCACTAGGTGTTGTCTGATAGGGACTGAGGTGGACATGACTAACATCTCCCATCTTCTAGAGATAAAACTTTTCTTAATATGGCCTGAGATCACATTAGCTTTGTGATGGTTTCTGTTGACTCACATAAAGCTTGTGATCAACTAAAACTCCTTTGTTTTACAAGTGATCCTGTTAAGTCTGGTCAAGTCAAACCCTCTGCACTGATCAGTAAGCACTTTATATTACATAATTTTTGATTAGTGATTATGTGTCTAGCCTCATCTAGGTACTTTATATAATAAATCACTATTATGGCTACCACATACTGAGCACTTTTACTGTGTGCCAAAGTGCTAAACACTTTGCATACCACATTCAAACCTTGCAACAACCACTTAAAACAGGCTTTATTAACCCCACTTTATTGTTGAAGACATTGAGAGTTTTAGGAGTGATGCCGTTCCCCAAGAGTCTGGAGCATGAGTAGGTCTGGGGCAAGTCATCCCAGGCTGGAGTGATGACCCCTATGTTAGGGACTTTTAAATTATAAAACACCAATCAAATGTCAGGGGTGTCATTAGCATCATTACCATTATGCCGACTTGCCAAGTCTAATTTGGGAAACTTTGAAGGACGGGCTTCACTATATCAGTGATTGATTTGTTTACATGAAATAGAAGCCCACTCCAGCTAGTTTAAGCAAAAAATGTAATTCAATATAAGGCGTTAGAACTATCTCACAGATCTCAAGGGCAGGCAAGTCGCACAAGGACCTTACACTCAGGACTGGTGTTGGGGGAATGCCCACCTTTCCGTCCACTTCTCTCAAAACACCAATTTCCTTTCTGTCTTTCAGACACGTGTCCCAAGCAGCCCTCCTTGGCAAATCTACATTTCCTTACCCAACCAGGACCTGTGGCAAACAGTCTGGCCTCTCCTTGTCCTAATTCCAAAGTTCAGGAATCTGACTGGCCCAGCCTGGCCTCTAGAGTGGTTGCCTGTGAGTCAGGTACCTGCTTCTGCCCCAGTTAACTGGACAAGGAGGCTGGGCTGCATAGAAGAACCAAGGACCCAGGAGACTCCCTGGGCTTGTGGGCTGAGCAGGTACCTACTGAAGAAACCTGAAGAAAACTGAAGAAACCTACTTCAGTTTGGCCGGTCCTGGGGACTAGGAGCAGGCCAGGTGGGCCACGTTTCTGCCCAGTCATTTCCCAGTGCTGAGCTTCTTCAGGGGTAAAATGGCTTTCTCTGGCATTTTAGTGTCTTAGTGCCTCTAGAAACTCTGGAAGGTTCTTTTTATTTTTTACTTTATTACTTTTTTTTTTTTTTTTGAGACGGGGTCTTGCTCTGTGCAGCGGCGCCATCTCGGCTCACTGCAACCTCTGCTTCCCAGGTTCAAGCAATTCTCCCACCTCAGCCTCCTGAGTAGCTGGGATTACAGACGCCTGCCACCATGCCTGACTAATTTTTGTATTTTTAGTAGAAATGAGGTTTCGCCACGTTGGCCAGGCTGGTCTGTAACTCCTGACCTCAGGTGATCCGCCCGCCTGGGCCTCCCAAAGTGCTGAGATTACAGGTGTGAGCCACCACTCCTGGCCTCTTTTTAAATTATTTATTTATTTTATTTTTGGTAGAGACAAGGTCTCGCTATGTTGCCCAGGCTGGTCTCGAATTCCTGGGTTCAACCTATCCTCCCACCTCAGCTTCCCAAAGTGCTGGGATCACAGGCGTGAGCCACCATGCCTGGCCAGCTCTGAAAGGTTCTGACAGAGTCTAGTGACATATGTGTAGCTCATGCTTTGGGGGCTGTTTAAGGCTCCTGGGGACTTATCTACCTGTTTTTCTTAGTCCCTCGCCCTGGTTTACAGACCATTCCCAAGGGACTTCCTGTCTTGCCTTCCTGAGTCACTGCTGAGCTTTGAAAACACGATACATGTGCTGCTTTTGACCAGCCACCTCTTCACTGATTCCGTCTAGTCTCTGTGTTTTCCTTTGCTGGGTGTGACTCTTTGAATCAGACTTCCAGAATGTTAGGGCTGAAAGATCATTGCATCCGAATGCCCTCCACTGCTCACTTGTGGGACCTGAGGTGCAGAGAGGAGAGGATGAGTGAATGCAGATACATCCAAGGTGGCACAGAAGAGGGTTTTAGGTGATACATGGACAAACATTTTGTTATTGTAATAGCTATATTTAAACAGACTGTACTGTTGCTTAGGCTGAGGCTAAATTTATTTAAGTAAAATAGTCCAATAAAGAAAAACACAAAGCAAAAATATCTTACAGATTATAAAAAATGATGAAAGTAGTACAGGAATGAGTGACATTTGGGAAATACTACATTGATGAATGAGTGGGTGAATGGATGAATGAATGAATATATCAATGGATAAGGTACAACACTGGAATCTTTAGGATTCATTTTCTTACAGACATGGAATTTTTTCCCAGTCCTTGCACTTCAAGTCAGAGAATCATCATGATCCCACGAAACACCAGCTCAGCCCCCACAGGTGCTATACTTTTGACGAGATGGAACACAAATGGATTACTATGCAGTTCTCTTTTTTCCAGGTCAGCAAAGTCCAAACGCAGGGGCAACTGAGTGTACCTTTTAAGGTGAATGTCTTGAACTCCAGTTGCTCCGCCTCCTTTGGGTTGCTATGACCTTTTTCCTAATCTTAAAGAGAGGAAGAGCTTTAAGGGCCAGATGGGGTCTCTGGTTTCCCACGGGGCTCCCCAAAGGCAGCCCTTCTTGGCAAAACCCTGGGCCCATGCCAGGACTGAGTCATAGAAGGGAAAGTACCCTGGGTGGAAGTTGGACAGTGACCTTGGGCAAGCCCCTTCCCTCCTTCGCTGGGTCTTAGTGCTTCCTCTGAGAAGCAAGGAGGTTTAACTCCACCTCATTCGTGCCTTCATTCAATAAACACCAAATGCATTCCTGGCATTTGCTTGGTATGTGGGCAGATAAATAGAGTAATTGGATTCAGTGCCTGGAAGAACCCACAGTCAGGTTGGGTGGGGAGAAGGCACCTAAGGGCCTGTAATTACAGATATGTTTAAGAAGGGCTAGATGATGTGGACAGTCCCTGCCCACTCCGGGATCCCTAGAATGTGTCAGTGCAGGGGAAGGAATACATAAGTAACTTGGCAAGGTCACAGGGTTACACCCAGAAAAATGTTAGCCCTTGAAGTTAGGGACAGCCCTGGGCCTAGCTCCTGATCCTTCTCCATCCTACAGAAAACCTGCTGAACATGGATTTTGGAGTTGAGCCAATTCAGATTCCAACCCCTGAGCAGACACCAACTGGAACTGGAAGCGTCACTCTCCGGGCCTCAGTTTCCTCCTTTATCCAAGGGGGATAGGCCCTGGGATCCTAGGACATATGAGGGTTCCATAAGATAAGTATAATGTGTATCATGTCAAGAGCTCAGCACAGGGCCTGGCCCATTGTACGACTCCACCATCAAGGCAGGAGGTCGAATGGACATCTGTCCACTCTGGAAACACACCCACCTCTTGCCTCCCTTGGCTGGTCCCAGGGTTGGCTCTCTTTCTGGGGCCCTCTTACCCAAGAGGTCTTGCCTTAGTCCTCTCTTGACCCTTTGAATGCTCTCAGGGGCTTCCTCTTCTCAGGCCAGAGCCTCCCCATTGTACACCTCTGCTCTACTGATCTGGCTGTGAACTGGTATGTGCCAGAGACAGGGAGGAGGCTGGTAGGGCTGGGATTCCTTGGGGGAAAGCTGGCCAGAGCTGCAGGTTCCCCGACTCTCTTCCCAGCATTAAATTAGCACTGGAGCTGCCTGGTCTTGCCCAATAACTTGCCCAGGACAAGGTGACATCCTTCCTCCCTTCTTTGAGGCAGGACTGAGTGGCTTCCTAGAAGAAGACAGGCAGGACAAGCCAAGACGCACCCAAAGAATGGGGGAGGGAACCTGATTGGGGGAGAAGATGGGAGAGTCTGGAGCTTGGGGCAGCAGTGGATGGAACAGGTTTGCCCACATTCCTGGCAGGCCCCAGGATTCCAAAGCACTTTCTGTTTTTGTCACTGCCCCACCAATCACATACTCTGCCAGGGCCACAAGGCACCAGGCTTTTCAGAGCACCAAGCCCTTCCACCTTCACTTCTCATTCTTCACACCAAAAGATGGGTACTACTGGCTCTGTTTTACAGATGAAGAAATTGAGGCTCACAGAGGAAGAATCACATGCCCCAACTCGGAAGGGCTGATACAATTAACATTTAATGGCCAGGTGTGGTTGCTCATGCCTGTAATTCCAGCATTTTGGGAGGCCGAGGTGGGTGGATCACTTGAGCCCAGGAGTTCAAGACCAGCCTGGGCAACATGGTGAAACCTGACTCTACAAAAAATACAAAAATTAGCTGGGCGTGATGGCACGTGGCTGTAGTCCCAGCTACCCAGTAGGCTGAGGCAGAAGGATCACCTGGGCTCCAGTGGTCGAGGCTACAGTGCGCCATGATTGTACCACTGCACTGCAGCCTGAGAGACAGAATTAGATCCTATCAAAAAATAAAGTAAAATAGCCATTCACTAAGAACTACTATGAACCAGGTGGATTTCATACAAAAATCATCTCTGTTCCCAATATCCCAGCAAGGTGCCCATTTTACAGATGAGCAGACCAAAATGCAACCTGATGAAAGCACTTGCCCAAGGGCCCAGAACTAGCAAGCACAGAGCAAAGATGTGAACCTAGATTTGTTGGACTCCAGATCCTACCCCTTCTCAATGTTAAAGGCAAGGAAGCGGAGGCTCAGTAAGGTTCAAACCATGTCCAAGGTCATACCACCAGCAAGGCAAAGCCAGTTTTCAACCCAGGTCTGTCTAACCCTGCAACTTCTGTGTTTGCCGTATGCTACATTGTCTCAATAAACCTTTTTTTCATGGAGCAACTGGCTGATGCCAAATGACTACAACTGTATCTCAAACAGATAAAGATCCAGGACAGAAAGGGTCATGAACTATTATTACCATTATCATCAACGCTATTATTAATTGCTAACATAGCAGGGTCAGCATTTATACTGTATGATTCAGATTTGCAGAAATAAAACTTTCCTTCCACAACTGAACCCAACGCGATCACAACTCCTCTTCCCCTGATTTATTTCTGGGTTAAAATGTATTTTTTCATGACAACTAAATGCAGTGGGAGAGCGTGCATTTTCTTTTGCTTTAAAGGACATTTGGGGACAATTGGTAAAATCTGAAATAAGTCTACAGGTTAGATAATAGTCTTGTATAATGTTAATTCTCCAATTTTTAATTTTCGTGTTAAAAAAAAATTTTTTTTGAGACGGAGTTTTGCTCTTGTTGCCCAGGCTGGAGTGCAATGGTGCAACCTCGGCTCACTGCAACCTCCGTCTCCCAGGTTCAGGTGATTCTCCGGCCTCAGCCTCCCAAGCAGCTGGGATTACAGGCGCCCACCACCATGCCCAGCTAATTTTTGTGTTTTAGTAGAGACAGAGTTTCACCTCGTTGGTCAGGCTGGTCTCGAACTCCTGACCTCAGGTGATCCGCCTGCCTCAGCCTCCCAAAGTGCTGGGATTACAGGCGTGAGCTACCACGCCCGGCCTAAAAAATTTTTTTAAGATAGGGAGTCTCACTATGTTGGCCAGGCTGGTCTCCAGTTCCTGGCCTCAAGTGATCCTCCTGCCTCAGCCTCCCAAGGTGCTGGGATTATAGAGGTGTGAGCCAACATGCCCGGCCAATTCTCCAAGTTTGATAACTATACTGTGGATATGTAGGGTTACGTCCATGTTTTTAGGAAATACACACTAAAGTATTTAGGAACAAAAGGGCACTATGTGGACAACTTTTAAACATTTCAGAAAAAAATACACATGCACATGTGCACACAAACACAGAAGAATATAGCAGATATAGTAAAATGTTAACATTTAGGGAATTTGGATGAAGGGATTCAGAATTCTTTGCCTTACTCTTCCAACTTTTCTATAAATCTGAAATTATGTCAATACCAAAAAATTTAGACAAAAATATTTAGTCTTGTTTGGAAAAATCGTCAGCTCAGGATCTGAACTTGCTGTTAGGGTTGCTCGTCTCTCGGTGGTGCCTTCTCCTTCTGTCCAAGGATCACATCGGGTGGCAGAGGAGCCTTACCTAACACCTATGGGCTTGGGCCTAGGCTTCTGGGCTTGATGGCCCTATGGGCTGCCTTGCCCTCTGTGGTGTCTGGTGCCAGCTTCTCCCCATTGCTTCTCTGCTGGTGTCACTGGTCCTCTCTGGCTTTGGGCCTGGGCATACGTCACTCCTGAAGCCTCCAGCCACGGTGTCTGTTGCCAGAGCTGTGTGCTCTGAGCCCTCCTCATCCTGACCCCAAGCCTCTCACAGGTTCCTCAGGGCTTAGATGTGTCCTACTGGAAACTTCTGATGCTTACCCATGACCCACAAAGGCCTCAGGGGAGTCAGACGTTTGTATGAGTCAGTCTCATCAGGAACACAGAAAGCAGACTGGTTGCTTTAAGAGAGGGAATTGAATAGAAAGAATTGACTATTTCAACAGGAGTTTTGATGGAGACAAAGAAAAACAAAAAATTTTAAATGTTTTTAAAAGAACTGACTAAACATTAATTGACAGATGGAAAAGCCGGCGGCATGAGAGCGGAGGTAGTAACTGCAGGAAACAGACACCACCCCTAGGGAAGGGAGAACAAGGGAGGAAGTTAGGTGTCAGGACCTAGCAGCTGGGACCCAGACCCGGAGGAGGGCATGGCTGTAACTGGTGCTGGTGTCTCCGAGGGGCCACAGTGGGGCTGGTTCTGGGAAGGTGGGGAAAACCTAGAAACTAGAACCGCTTGCTGCTGGAACCAATTTCCTCTGCCAGGGTGAATGAAGGGCCATCGCTGAGGCGATGGTGACAGGATGGAACGGTATGCTGAGACCTTTCTTCCTGGGACCGCCTTGCACCCTCCAGGGTCCCCTATTGGCAGAGCCTATCCTGGAAACAGCTGACGGAACAGAAATAGGGTGGGCCCCAATGCCAGCCCCAGCGTCACCAGACGGCACATACAGGGATAGGTTTGGGGACAAGGGCTGATAGCTTCAGAACTGGTACGTGGAGGGAATGGGGAGCCGTGGGGCTGGGCCAGAGAGAACGTTGCTTCTCTCTCTCCCTCAATAGGCCTCACAGCCATTCCACCTCCCGTGGAAGGAGGCATACGCCCCTTAGTTCATTGGTCTTCTACTCCTTCCACTGGGCATTCACCCTAAGCAGATGAGACCTGAATCCCAGGCACTTGCTCTCTTTTCTATGTTTCTCAGTCCATCCAGGAAGAGTTTCTTGCCTGACCTGAGAAATTACCTACTTGATGACATCAGGGAAACTTTTATTCCTTGGGTCATCCAAGTTTCATCTCTTGATTTTTTTTCCTTTTACTTTTTATCCTCCTTGATCTGTTAATAAATCTCTTGATATTTAAAGAGAAGATTTTGAAAAAAATGTGTCTCTTCTGTATATATTGACTTTGTAGTTGAGTGCCTGGATCTTTAAAATAATTCTGCTTTGGACTTTTATAAGAGTCCCATTTGACATTCAAGGCTGAACAATGACTTCTTTCTCTCAGGCTATACTCCAGTGCCCCTTCAGACAATTGGTGAAGGGCCATTAAACAGAAAAAAAAAAAAGTTGGTGAGGAAGAAAAAGGCTCAATTAAAAAGCTCCAAATATGACCCTGCTCTACTACTGTGAACTGAGTACTATGTGCTTGGATGTGTTAAGGACGGAGGCCATTGCCATGTGAAGAAGGTAGGAAGGTCTCTTTGACTTCAAAGCCCTAGGTTTTCCCCACTGGGCTATCCCACTTTTCTGGGGCCATTTCTAGCCTTTTACCTTTTGATAAACTGAGGCCCAGGAGGCTACTATGCAAATCAGTATTGAATCCAAGTTCAGGAGCAGTCTAACTTGGGCAAGTCACGTAAGCTTACTTTATGTAAAACAGGGATGTTGTGAAGATTTGAGGTAATGGATGCAGAGTTTTGGGCACAGTGTCTAGAAAAAAGTGGGTATTTGATAAATGGTACTACTACTACTAATAACAATAATTAATGTTTATTGCCAGGCGTGGTGGCTCATGCCTGTAATCCTAGCACTTTGGGAGGCCAAGATGGGGGGATCACCTGAGGTCAGGAGTTCGAGACCAGCCTGGCCAACATGGCGAAACCCCGTCTCTACTAAAAATACAATAAATTAGCCGGGCGTGGTGGGACATACCTGTAGTCCCAGCTACATGGGAGGCTGAGGCAGGAGAATTGCTTGAACCCATGTGGTGGAGGTTACAGTGAGCCGAGATCGTGCCACTGCACTCTAGCCTGGGCTACAGAGCGAGACTCCATCTCAAAAATAACAATAATAATAATAATAAACTTTTATTGACTGGTTACTATGCCAGGCTCAGGGCTAAGCACTTTTCATGTGTGAATTATCTTCATTTAATTATTTGATTTAATTATTTTAATCCACTGCCTCCCTCCATTCCTGCTGGAACACACAGAACCTACCTTCCGTCTTCCCACCCTGACCCACTGAGAAACCTCAAGCTTTGGACTTGTCCATGCTGCCCTCTAACCCTAGATCACAGTTCTGAGTGTGAATACTGCCAGCCCAGAAGAGAACATTCATGCTGGATGCAGTGGCTCACACCTGTAATCCCAGCACTTTGGGAGGCTGAGGTGAGTGGATCACTTGAGTCCAGGAGTTTGAGACCAGCCTGAGCAACACGGCAAAACCTCATTTCTACAAAAAATACCAAAAAAAAAAAAATTATCCAGGCATGGTGGTGCACACCTGGAGTCCCAGCTATTTAGAAGGCTGAGGTGGGAGGCTCATTTGAGCCCAGGAGGCAGCAGTTGCAGTGAGCCGAGATCATGCCACTGCACTCCAGCCAGGGTGACAGAGTGAGACCCTGTCTCAAGAGAAAAGAAGGAGGACATCCATTGCACTCAACTGCACATGCATTGGGATGGTTGGAAACATCTGCATGACCTCCTGCTTTTTGTTAGTATTATTGTTGGATTCTTTCATCGAGCTATTTGCATGTTGTGTAAACTGCAGTTCCCAATATTTGTGAAAACATTTTGTTTGCTTGTTTGTTTAATTGGGGAATTTGAAGGCTTTGTGATTTTATTATTCTTGTTGGTTTTTTTGTTTGTTTGTTTTTGAGACAGGGTCTCACTCTGTCACCCAAGCTGGAGTGCAGTGGCGCGATTTTGGCTCACTGCAACCTCTGCCTCCTGAGCTCAAGAGATACTCCCACTTCAGTCTCCTGAGCAGCTGGGACTTCAGGCGAGCACCACCACACCCTGCTAATTTTTATATTATTATTATTATTATTATTATTATTGTACAGACAGAGTTTCGGTATGTTGCTGAGGCTGGTCTCAAACTCCTGGGTTCAAGCAATCCGCCTACGTCAGCCTCCCATAGTGTTGGGATTACAGATGTGAGCCACCGCACCAGGCTTCCTGTTGGTATTTTTAATCTATTATTTTGAAATGATTTTAGATTTACAGAAGAGTTGTAAAAGGGAACAGAGAGTTCCCATATAACTTTCACCCATCTTCCCTTTTTGTTACATAGCCATGGCAGGAAAATCAAAACTAAGAAATTGACATTGCCAGCTGGGCATAGTGGCACTTGCCTGTAATCCCAGCATTTTGGGAAGCTGAAGTGGGAGGATCACTGGAGACCAGGAGTTTGAGATTGCAGTGAGCTATGATTGTGTCACTGCACTTCAGCCTGGGCAACAGAGTGGGACTCTCTTAAAAAAAAATTGACATTACCACAACACTATTAACTACACAACTACAAATGTTATTTAGATTTTGCCAGTTTTTCCATGAATGTGCTTTTTCTGTGCCAGGATTCCAGCCAGTATATCATGTTGTATTTAACCATCATGTCTCCTTACTCGCTTCCAATCTGTGACAATTTCTTGGTCTTGTTTTTTCATGACCTTGGCACTTTTCTTTGGTGTTTTTTGTTTTTGTTTTTTCATTAGAGATGGGGTCTCAATTTATAAGCCAGGCTACAGTACAGTGGCACAATCATAGCTCACTGCTGCCTAGAATTCTTGGGCTTGAGGGATGCTCCCACATAGCTGGGGTTACAGGAACCTGCCACCGTACCTGGCTAATTTAAAAAATTTTTTTTTTTTTTTGTGGAGACAGAGTTTCTCCATCTTATCCAGACTGATCTTTAACTCCTGGGCTCAATCCATCCTCTTGCCTGGGCCTTCCAAGGTGTTGGGATTACAAATGTGAGCCACTGCACCTGGCTTATTGGCAGTTTTTTATTTTATCTTATTTTATTTATTTATTTATTTATTTATTTATTTATTTATTTATTTGAGACAGAGTCTCACTCTGTTACCCAGGCTAGAGTGCAGTGGCAAGATCTCGGCTCATTGCAACCTCTACCTCCTGGGCTCAAGTGATTCTCCTGCCTCAGCCTCCCGAGTAGCTGGGATTACAGGCATGCACCACCACACCCAGCTAGTTTTTGTACTTTTAGTAGAGAGCGGGCTTCACCATGTTGGCCAGGCTGGTCTCGAACACCTGACCTCAAGTGATCCACCACCTCAACTTCCCAAAATGCTGGGATTAGAGGTGTGAGCCACCGCGCCCAGCCCCATTGGCACTTTTGAAGAGTACTGGTTGGGAATTTTGTAGAATGTCCCTGAGGCTTTGTCTGATATTTCTCACTAGACTGGAGTCATGGATTTTGGGGAATACCACAGAGGGGGAAGCATCCCTCACCTTAAATAATATCTGGGGATATATGAGATCAGCATAACTTGTTGCTGGTGATGTTAACCTTAATCACTTGGTTAAGGTTATGTCTGCCAAGTTTCTCTGTTGTGAAGTTGCCATTTTTCCTCTTTCCATACTCTAGAAGCAAGTCACTAAGTCCAGTCCGCACCAAAGGGGAAAAGAATTAAGTCCCACTTCCCAGAGGAGGTGTATCAAAGAATCTGTGGACATCTGTTAAAACCACCATGGTCATTAATATTTTGAAGAAAATGCTTTAAGGCTATCCAAATGTTGTGTTGCTCCTTAACATTTCATTCACTCTTTTAGCATTCATCAGTGGATCTTGCCTTTTTAACATAAATAATGTCACATTAGCCATTGTTTGACAAAATACATAATGTCAATAAGCTATTGTGAAATCAGGTCTTGTATTGTACTAACCACAATAAAATCTACACGGTCTAGATGAATTTAAAAGGTATTGCATTCAGGGCTGATTCAGAGCTGGGACCTGTGGCCATATTAGCTTAATTATTGAAATACATCTGTCCCTACTCTGTTCTAAGTCCCATTTCTGCCCAACTCTTGGGAAACCTCTCCACAGTTAAAAACAACTTTCTAGACATTTCTGTTAAGTATACTGTGGTATTATGACATATATTGGTTTTTGTGCACAGTTCCGGGTTCATAACTCCCATAGCCCTTGTTACAGTCTTTTGTTACAATGTTGGGCGTGTTAGGCCTCAGGGGCAGGCCTCAGGAAACAGAATCTCTCTTTCTTCTGCCCTCCTTTCATCTGCCCCAAGGCAGGCCTCTAATCTACCCCCACCTTTCTGACTATGAGTATTAAGACCCTGTACACACTGAGGAAAGGAATGCTGATGTCATGAAGCTTCTATAAAAACCCAAAAGGGCCAGGTGTGGTGGCTCACACCTGTAACCCCAGCACTTTGGGAGGCTGAGGTGGAAGGCTTGAGCCCAGGAGTTTGAAACTAGCCTGGGCAACATAATGGAACCTGGCCTCTACCAAAAAAAAAATTAAAAAATTAGCCAGGCATGATGGTAAAAGTCTTTAGTCCTAGCTACTTGGGTGGCTGAGGTAGGAGGATCACTTGAGCCCAGGAGGTCAAGGCTGCAGTGAGCTGTTATCCATGCCACTGCACTCCAGCCTGGGCCACAGAGCAAAAACTTGTCTACAAAAAAAGAGAAAACATGGCCAGGCACAGTGGCTCAAGCCTGTAATCCCAGCACTTTGGGAGGCCAAGACAGGAGGATCACCTGAGGTCAGGAGTTCTAGACCAGCCTGGTCAACATGGCGAAACCCCATCTCTAGTAAAAACACAAAAAATTAGCTGGGCGTGGTGGTGGGCGCCTGTAGTCCCAGCTACTTGGGAGGCTGAGGCAGGACAATCTCTTGAACCTGGGAGGCAGAGGTTGCAGTGAGCCGAGATCATGTCACTCCACTCCAGCTTGGGCAACAGAGCAAGACTCTGTCAAAAAAAAAGAAAGAAAGAAGGAAAGAAGGAAGGAAGGAAAGAAGGGAGGGAGGGAAGGAGAAAGGAAGGAAGGAGAAGAGAGAGAAAGAGAGAGAAAGAAAATAAAAATAAAAAACAAAACAAAAATACCCAAGAGGACTGGGTTGGGAGAGCTCCGGGTAGCTGAACACGTGGAGGTTCCTGGAGGGTGATGTGCCCAGGGAGGACATGGAAGCTCTGAGTCCCTTCTCCCATACTTTGCCCTCCACGTCTCTTCATCTGTATCCCTTGTAACATCCTTTATAATAAAGCAGTTAACATGTTTCCCTGAGTTCTGTGAGCCGCTCCTGCAAATTAATCCAACCCAAAAAGGGGGTCATGGGACCACAACTTGAAGCCAATCCCCGCACTGGCTTCAGGAAGTTTTGGAGGCCCGGACTTGCAACTATTTCCCAGGGACTAGGGAAAAAGAGAAGAGAAGTGTCTAGGGATGGGAGGACCGTCCTGGGGACTGAGCTCTCAACTGTGGGATCTCACGTTATCTGCAAAGAGACAGTGTTGGAATTGAATTGGAGGACATCCAGCTGCTGTCCGCTGGTTGGTGTCTCAGGAAAACTTCCCCTCACATTTGATCACAGAAGTCTTCTCTGTTGATTGTTGTGGTGTGTGAGAGTAGGAGAAAAACACGGTTTGGATAGAGTTTTTTTTTCCAACACAAGTACATATCAGAGTTTTATTACAATCTTGCTTCAAGGGGAAAGGTCTCTAGTGGGCCAATCCAAAGATTCACTCCTGGAAGGGACATTTTATGAGAAAAGAGAATGGCCAGCATAATTATTATTAGATGAACAAGAAAAAGAACATATCACCCTATATCATTAAGGCAAGGACATGGGCTTTGGTACTACTTTGTTATTCCCCATGATCCAGTAACTAAAGCAGCAGTGCCTGGCTCAGGACCAGAATGCTGCCCGCCTCTCACCCCTAGCTTGGGGTTGGGCCAGCCTCCATTCTGATGGTCAGCCCTGTGCTGGAATGGTTGTTAATTACTTGACTAGTGTCCAAGTTTTGGGTATCCACAAAACAAGACATATTAATTATTATTATCATTATTGAGATGGAGTTTTGCTCTTGTTGCCCAGGATGGAGTCCAATGGTGCAATCTCGGCTCACTGCAACCTCCGCTTCCCGGGTTCAAGTGATTCTCCTGCCTCAGCTTCCCGAGTAGCTGGAATTACAGGCATGTGCCACCAGGCCCAGCTAATTTTGTATTTTTAGTAGAGATGGGGTTTCTCCATGTTGGTCAGGATGGTCTCGAACTCCCGGCCTCAGGTGATCCACCCACCTCAGCCTCCCAGAATGCTGGGATTAAAGGCATGAGCCACCGTGCCCGGCCCTTTATTATTATTATTTTGAGACAGGGTCTGTCTGTCACCCAGGCTGGAGTCCCATGACGCAATCAGAACTCAATGCAGGCTTAACTTCCCTGGCTTAAGCGATCCTCCTGCTTGAGTAGCTGGGACTACAGGCATGCGCCACCATGCCTGGTTATTTTTTTTTTTTCAGTAGATATGGGATCTCGCTATGTTGTCCAGGCCAGTCTTGAACTCCCAGGCTCAAGCGATCCTCCTGCCTCATTCTCCCAAAGTACTGGGATTACAGGCATGAACCACCATACCTGGCCAAAACGAGGCATATTAAATAATCAGTCTACAGTTTGGTTCAGGCATAGTTTGATTTGGTTCAGAGAAAGCAGTCTTTAGAGCCAGCAAGAGTAGGTTTTGAAAACCAGTATCGAATACAAGTTCTGGAACAGTCTAGCATTGGGCAAGTCATGTAAGCTCATTTTATATAAAATGGAGATGTCATGAGGATTTGAGATCATAAATGTGAAGTTTCTGACACAGTCCCTGGGAAATAATAGCTATTTGATAAACGGTAGTACTATTAATAATAAAAATAGTAGTAATTAATAAACATCTATTGGCTAGTTACTATGTCAGGCACAGAGCTAAACACTTTGCATATGTTAATTATTTTAATTCTCACATTAAATCTATGAGTTAGATGCCTTTAGTATCACCCCCACTCTATAAATAATGAACTTGAGGCTCAGAGAATTCAAGTAACACATTTTAAGATCACACACAGCCAGGCGCAGTGACTCACGCCTGTAATCCCAGCACTTTGGGAGGCCAAGGTGGGTGGATCACCAGGTCAGAGTTCAAGACCAGCCTGACCAACATGGTGAAACCTCGTCTCTACTAAAAAAACAAAAATTAGCAGGGCATGGTGGCGCATGCCTGTAATCCCAGCTACTCGGGAGGCTGAGGCAGGAGAATTGCTTGAACCCATTATGCAGAGGTTGCAGTGAGCCAAGATTGCGCCGTTGCATTCCAGCCTGGGTGACAGAGCGAGACTCCGTCTCAAAAAAAAAAAAGAAAAAAAAATCACACTACTAGGCCAGGTGCTGTGGCTCACGCCTGTAATACCAACACTTTGGGAGGTTGGGGTGTGAGGATCACCTGAGGTCAGGAGTTCAAGAACAGCCTGGCCAACATGGTGAAACCTTGTCTCTACTAAAAATACAAAAAAAAAATTAGCTGGGTGTGGTGGCACACGCCTGTAATCCCAGCTACTTGGGAGGCTGAGGCAGGAGAATCACATGAACCTGGGGGGCAGAGGTTGCAGTGAGCCAAGACCGCACCACTGCACTCCAGCCTGGGTGGCAGAGTGAGACTTTATCTCAAAAAAAAAACAAACAAAACAAACAAAAATTACACAGATGCAATGTTGGTGGAGCTGAGATTCAAACCCAGGCAGCCTGGTGTCAGCACCTCTATAATAAACATGCAATAAACATGAGCACCCTCTAATCCCTTGCAACAACTCTAAGCCTTCCAGAATTCTACAGCCTGCAGGTTGGGAGCTCCTGCTATAGACCTGACAGAGGCCTTTGGCTACTTAATGAAATATTCTGACACCAGGAGGGTTGCATAGTTATTTTTCTAACTTTACAGCAAGAGGAAGACAGGTCAAAAAAAAAAAAAACAGATTTATGCAGTTACCCAGAAACAGAGATATTTGGCTGACAAGGTACGACTGTTCAGAAATAGTCATTGGACAGTACTTTCCCCCAAAACACTGTCTCAAGGTCCCTGTCAGAGGTGTTCAAACCAGAGGACTCCATTTTGAGTGAGGGCAAGGAAAATGAGGCTGGGACTTGCTGGGCTGCCTTCCCAGAAAATCAGGCATTCCTAGCCTCTAGATGTTTACGGTTAAGGGAGCAAATTAACAATGTTTACTAAAACAAACCCAGACTTGGGAGTGTGCAGGTATCTCGATATCTGGAGAATGAAGGCATTCCTAATTTTGTTTTAAAGATAAAATCGATTCTTGCAAAACACAGTAATTAAGAAAATTAATTATTTATCACAAACCCTTGTAACAGAGCACATCTCATATATGCAAGCATGGCACCTAAGGTGGATGCATTCCTCCTCTTACTTTCAGGAACATCCTGTTCTATGGAGTAGCTGTCCTTTTGCCACTGTACTTTCTTAATAAACTTGCTTTTGCTTTGCGCTGTGCGCTTGCCCTGAATTCCTTCTTGCATAAGATCCAAGAACACTCTCTTGGGGTCTGGATTGGGACCCCTTTCCTGTAACATCCCCATTCGAGAATTACTGTCTCGGTGGCCGGGCGGGCGCAGTGGCTCATGCCTGTAATCCCAGCACTTTCGGAGGCCGAGGCGGGCGGATCACAAGGTCAGGAGATCGAGACCATCCTGGCAAACACGGTGAAACCCCGTCTCTACTAAAAATACAAAAAAATTAGCCGGGCGTGGTGGCGGGTGCCTGTAGTCCCAGCTACTCGGGAGGCTGAGGCAGGAGAATGGTATGAACCTGGGGGGCAGAGCTTGCAGTGAGTGGAGATCGCGCCACTGCACTCCAGCCTGGGCGACAGAGCAAGACTCTGTCTCAAAAAAAAAAAAAAAAAAAAAAAAGAGAATTACTGTCTCTTCTACTTTCCTAGATGTCACAAAACCTCCTAAAATTCTGAAGATAACAAATTGTTACAAAAAGAAACTTTTTTTAAAAAAAGAAAAAATAAATACATAAAAAAGAAAAAATCAGGACTTCTCTTTCATAAAAAATGAAAATGGGAGTAATCTGCTAAAAAATTATTTTTTTTTCCTGGTTTAGCATAAAAGGTTCCAAAAACTCCCCCTTGTCTCTCCCGCCGAGGGTAAGGTGGGAAGCAAGGTGGATCCTCCATGACCCACCTCCATCCCCACAAGTGAACTTTTTTGTTTCTAAGTTCTGGGCCCTGCTTAGGGGCAACTCAGGATCTATTGTTTAAGAGGAGTTGTCCAAACCTTTCAAAGTGGGAATGAGAGGCCCACTCCCACAGTATGGGTCCTGGGACACTAAGAGTCCCAGCCAGGACCCAGCGTGGTGCCCAGGCTGATGCCCCGCCGGCTCTCACTGCTTAGAGCATGATGGAGAGTTCACCAGAGTGAGGAGGGCCACACTGGAGAGCCAGAGCCATGCCCCCTGGCAGAGAAGGTGGCATCAGATGACTGTCCCATGGGCTTTAAGACTCTTTTCCCCATTTTGGGAGTGAAAGAGCAGGTTCACTTCTCTTGGATTTTAGAAGTTCTGGCTGTTCTTGAATGACCCAAATTGTCAGAGTGTTGAGGGAGGAGAGGCACTGCCCACAAAGGATGATCTTGGACTTTGTGCCAGTCTCACCAGGGGGTACTCAAGTCACATTTGTTTATTTTATTTTATTTTATTTTATTTTATTTTATTTTATATTATTTCTTATTTTATTTTATTTTATTTTGTTTTTTGAGATGGAGCTTCGCTCTTGTTGTCCAGGTTGGAGTGCAATGGTGCAATCTTGGCTCACTGCAACCTCTGCCTCCCGGGTTCAAGCAATTCTCCTGCCTCAGCCTCCTGAGTAGCTGGAATTACACAGGCATGCACCACCATGCCCGGCTAATTTTGTATTTTTTTAGTAGAGACAGTGTTTCTCCATGTTGGTGAGGCTGGTCTCGAACTCCTGACCTCAGGTGATCCGCCCACCTTGTCCTGGCAAAGTGCTGGGATTACAGGTGTGAGCCACCGCGCCCAGCCTTTTTATTTATTTTTAAATTGTATTATATTTAGAGACAGGTCCCTCAGCTGGGCTCAGTGGCTCATGCCTGTAATCCCATCCCAACACTTTGGGAGGCCGAGGCAGGTGGATCACCTGAGTCCAGGAGTTTGAGACCAGCCTGGGCGACATGGTGAAACCCTGTCTCTATTTTTAAAAAATAAATAAATGAATAAAATAGAGACAGGTCTCACTCTGCCACCCAGGCTGGAGTGCAGTGGCATGACTACAGCCCACTGCAGCCTCAACCCCCTGGGCTCAAGTGATTCTCCCAACTCAGCCTCCCAAGTAGCTGGCACTACAGGAATGTGCCACCAGACCCGACTAATGTTTTTGCTTTTTGTAGAGACAGATCTCTCTATGTTGCCCAGCCAGGTCTTGAACACCTAGCCTCAAGTGATCCTCCTGCCTTGGCCCTGGAAGCACTAGGATTACAGGTGTGAGCCACAGTCCCTGCTCAACACTTTAAATTCAATTTCAATAAGAACAATTTTAGGCCAGGAGCAGTGGCTCACACTTGTAATCCCAGCACTTTTCGAGGCCAAGGTAGGAGGATCACTTGAGGCCAGGAGTTCAAGACCAGCCTGGGCAACATAGAGAGACCTTGTCTCAATTAAAAATATGTATATGAAAACAATTTTTTTGGCCAGGCATGGTGGCTAACACCTGTAATCCCAACACTTTGGGAGGCCAAGGCGGGCGAATCACTTGAGGTCAGGAGTTTGAGACCAGCCTGGCTAACATGGTGAAACCCCGTCTCTACTAAAAATAAAAAAATCAGCCGGGTGTGGTGGCGGACACCTGTAATCCCAGCTACTCAGGAGGCTGAGGCAGAAGAATCACTTGAGGTGGAGGTTGCAGTGAGCCGAGATCGCACCACTGCGCTCCAGCCTTGGCAAAAAGAGCAAAACTCCATCTCAAAAAAAAAAATAATAATAAAAGAAAGAAAGAAATATTTTTAAGTACTTTGAGGCCAGGCGCAGTGGCTTATGCCTGTAATCCCAGGACTTTGGGAAGCAAAGGCAGGAGGATCACTTGAAGCCAGGAGTTTGAGACCAGCCTGGCCAACATGGTGAAACCCCATCTGTACTGAAAACATACAAAAATTAGCCGGGCACATTAGCTGGGTACATACAAATTGGTGGCGCATACCTGTAATCCCAGCTACTCAGGAGGCTGAGGTATGAGAATCACTTGAACCAGAGAGGCAGGAGTTGCAGTGAGCCAAGATCGTGCCACTGCACTCCAGCCTGAATGACAGAGACCCTGTCTCAAAAAAAAGAAAAGAGAGAGAGAAAGAGAGAGAAAGAAAGAGAGAAAGAGAAAGAAAGAAAGAAAGAAAAAAGAAAGAAAGAAAGAAAGAAAGAAAGAAAGAAAGAAAGAAGGAAAGAAAGAGTGAAAGTTACTTTGAGAATTCTTTTTCAGTGCAGAAGCATATAACAATGACTTTCTGCTGTATCACCCCACCGGGGTACAGCGACATCTGGAATGGGGACTTGGCAAGACTTGGCACACCAAATCACCAAGCTTTTCTTCATCCCCATCACCCATTCATGCTTAATTCACTTGGGAACCCACAAAGCTCCTTTGTGTGCGGTGAGCCAGAGCATCCGGATATTTGGAAGGGCCTGGGCTGGTGTGGTCCTCTGAGCAAGCAGAGGGTACAGAGAGTCACTTCTGCTGATGAGGTGGGAGCCAGGAAAAACAGAACTAGGAGGAAAAATAACCTGCCACCAAAAAGCTCCGGTCTTATGGAAAAGCAGTATCACTTTTGAGGATCCCTCATATGACACATGGAACTTTCATTATTCATTGTGTTTCGAGACAAAAGATCTTTCTGTTTCTGCTCTATGCTGAAACATTCTAAAATTATTTGGAGATGGAAACCAGTTTTGAAAGCCCCAGGTACATCCTCTGTTGGCAACCGACAACCATCCTAACAGAGGGCCTAGCACATTATCCCACACCCCGACAGTTAATTCAAGGCCATAAAGCAAGTTTTACTGAAGATTTCATCAGAAGAGGGAAGACAGAGTTACACTGCACACTGCAGAGTAAAACTTAGTAAAAATGTTGATTAGATACCTCCGTTTTCTCCTCCTGCCCCAGAATTTCCTTCTTGGCTGCCAACCCCCCATCTCCTATTACCCCTCAACCTGCCTTTGCCCAACTTTCTCATCATGCCTTCCCATTGCCCCTCCTTCCTGGGCAGAGTGATGCAGGGACCGCCCAGCTCCTCCTACCTCAGGCCCATCAGCCCTCCCTCCAAACCAAAGATCATCCTTAGGCGCCTTGGCTTCTACTCTTCTTGGGTTTGCCTGTGGGAGACAAAAAGAAAGAATGCTTCCCTCTCATGGAGATTCGTTTTCTATGCCCTTTTTTTGGACATTAATAAACATACCCCCTGCCCTACTTCATTGAACATAAACAGAGTCTCTAGGGTTTGAAGGCAGAAGAGAATGGCTAAAGAGACAAGCTTGGAGAATGAACTCATCTCAAGTGGGAACTGGCAGGGATAGACACGACACCATTGGGCTGCAGCAGGGTGCCGCGGTGGAGTAGGCTCTTGGTTTTGGTCGGCTGACCTGGATTAAGCCTTGGGCCAGGCCTCATTCAGTTCTGTGTCCCAGGACTGGTGCCCAATTAGATGCACACAAATATTTGATGAACAAATGCTCTTGGGCAGGCCAGCTGGCTTGCTTCTCAGCCACAGTTTCCTCACTTGAAAAAAGGGGGCCGAGCGCGATGGCTCAGGCCTGTAATCCAAGCACCTTGGGATGCTAAAATGGGAGGACCGCTCGATGCCAGGAGTTCGAGACCCCCTTGGTCAATAGAGAGACCCCATCTCTATTAAAAAAAAAAAAGAAAAAGAAAGAAAAGAAAAAAAGGGACAATAATCTCTTCCCTCTACTTCTAAAGTTATGATGAGGATCAGGTAAGTTGACTGGCATAAAGGCGCCAAGAAAGTATGAAGAAAGAAAATCCTTGCCTGAGTCTTCAGGACTAGGAGCCTTTGGCTATGACCACCTCCCACCCCCTTTTTTCTCTTCCTGATTCATTTTTTCTTAGTTTCCTCAGGTTCTGTCTCCTTTCCATCTGCCCTCACCAAACCCAACAAGATTTTGTCTGGTACATCGGTGTAGTGTGGGGGAAGAAAAGATCCTGTCTGGGTAAAGGATCAGTGAATAGTCATGTACACCTGAATATGAGTTTCAATCCTCATTCCTTCTGCCAGACTTTGGCTCCACTCCTTGTCTCTGACTGTGGTGGGAAAGGCTTTATGGCAGTGGTTCTCACCCTCGGCAGGCCCCACATGGCAGGTTGCTGAGCCATGCCCTGAGATTTGGGTTCTGCAAGTTTGGGTCAAGACCTAGAAATCTACCTTTTAATGAGCAATTCATACAGTGAATCTGAGCCAGCTGCTCTGCTCATGGGGCATGGAAGAACACTGATTTCTGGAGTTAGTGCTTTAGGAAGAGATGAGGGAGATGGTTAGGTTGGCCAGAGGATCCCACTGAACTTGCACCAACACTGAGGCCCCTAGTCTTCCCAGGGCAAGTCTCCTGTGGCATCAGAGAAAGTCATCACTTTGTCAACAAGAGTAACAATTGCCGCCATTATTATAAAGCCTTTTACTCTAGCCAACCCTTCCCAAAACCTGGGAGGGGAGGTGGGACTGTTCCTAGTTCTAGAGTATCAAGTTGAGGCCTCTAGAAGCCAAGTGATTGGTCTCAGTCCTCCTGAATGATTGTAGCAGATGGGAACCCGGGGGCCTGCCCCCAGGTCAATGCATTTCCCTGTTTGTCCCGTTGTTGATCATGGGACCAATGCTGTTAGCTGTTGTTTTCACAGAGACCTGGGAGCCAAGGGAGGCTGGGCAGGAGGGTGGAGGATGGAGGAGGGAAAAGAAGGTAGGAAATAGTCACCTGGGAGGGTGACTGAGCCAAGGATGTATCATGACATTGCCAGGATGCCAGGGCCCACTTGGGGGGCACAAACATGAATTATAGTAACATATGACAGAATGGGTGAGTCCAACCTCACATCCTTCTCTCTCGTTTTTGGCTTTCCAGAAGGGCCCCATTGTCTAGGGAGGAAGAAGAGGATACCACCTGGGCAGAGTGCTTCTGTAGCAACCGGACAGCCAAAGGTCACCCTGGCCATCTTCAGCGCACCCTCCCAGCACTCCCATGGGCCCTGCCTGAGCTGTACCCCTTCCCCTCCTCCTGCCCCCTTGTACGTCCTGTGTCCTGCCTCAAACCCGAGCCAAGTCTATTCTCTAGGGGCCAACTTCGGCTCCAGCTAAGAAAGAGTTAAAACAAAGCCATCCAGAGCTGGCACAGTGGCTCACACCTGTAACCCCAGCACTTTGGGAGGCCGAAGTAGGAGGATCACTTGAGGCCAGGAGTTTGAGACAAGCCTGGCCAACACAGTGAGACCCTCATCTCTAAAAAAAAAATTTAAAAGTACATTTTAAAAAAATATTTTAAAAAATGCCATCCGGCCAGGTGCGGTGGCTCATGCCTGTAATCCTAGCACTTCGGGAGGCCAAGGTGGGCGGATCACGAGGTCAGGAGATCGAGACCATCCTGGCTAACACGGTGAAACCTCATCTCTACTAAAAATACAAAAAATTAGCTGGGTGTAGTGGCAGGCACCTGCAGTCCCAGCTATTTGGGAGGCTGAGGCAGGAGAATGGCGTGAACCTGGGAGGTGGAGGTTGCAGTGAGCTGAGATCACGCCACTGCACTCCAGTCTGGGTGACAGAGCAAGACTCTATCTCAAAACAAACAAACAAAAGCCATCCAACAGTAAAACAGGCTGACCTAGGAGACAGCCCACCCTCTTTCCCTGGGGTATGTGGCAGCAACTCAGAAGAGGTGTTAAGGAGAAAGAGGCAATTTTTGGGTTGGGGAGGAGCTGCATTTGTTGATCTTGGAGTCTGCAGATCTGTGTTTTCACTTCAGGCTCAGACACACTCTAGCGGATGACATCAGCCAAGTCCACTCGTGTCCCTCAACCTCAGCTTCATCTTCTGTAAGATGGGAATGGTGATGGGGCCCAGCTCCTAAGGTTGCTGTGGGATTCAGTGAGCTCATGTCCTCACTGCTTGGCACAGTGAGCTCTCAGTAGTGGGAGCTATTGCTGCTTCTTTGCAACCTGAAGAAATCTCAGTCTGAAATAGCCAGTGTAGGAAAGAAAGAACATTGATCAGAGACTGATTGGGGCAAAGAGAGGAGATGGGGCTAGAAGTGAAGGTCTGAGGCAGCCCATCTTGCTGAGCAGGTTAAAGGTGAGACTGTTCCCCCAACGCAGTGGGCTTTCAGCGTGAGTCATGTCCGTGTGAACACACTCTGCCACTTGGCCACCTCGCTGCCTTGGACAAGGCTGTCACCCTCTCTGCAGAGTCCTCCCATGGAGCCTATCTTTCCACCTTCCTAACACATGCAGAGGCTCTAGAGTTTCCAAAGCATTTTGCACACAAAAGCCTCTTTGGACCCACCCAACAATTCTTACTTGTGGTGAAGGTATAATTATTTCCCTCTTTCAGATGAGGAAACTGAGTTGGGGGAGGTTGCAGAGCTGGGACTCAGGTCTTCTTTTCCTAAAGTACTGGATTACACGTGTGGGCCACTGGGCCTGGCGGGCTCAGGTCTCTTATTCCTGATCCAATCAATGCTCCTAATGAATCCAAGCTGCTGCTGCTCCTCTAGGTAAATTAGGCCCCATAACACACTTGTCAAGTGATCGTGAGAAAATCACCATCCTGAGCCCTAGAAGCTCTGCCTGCAGGTGAAGATAGACTTCATGCCATCTGGAGGCCTCCTCCCTGTTTGTTTGTTTGTTTGTTTGTTTGTTTGTTTGAGATGGAGTCTCACTCTGTCACCCAGGCTGGAGTGCAGTCGCATGATCTCTGCTCACTGCAAACTCTGCCTCCCGGGTTCAAACGATTCTCCTGCCTCAGCCTCCTGAGTAGCGGGGATTACAGATGTGCGCCACCAGGCCCAGCTAATTTTTGTATTTTTAGTAGAGATGGGGTTTCACCATGTTGGCCAAGCTGGTCTTGAACTCCTGACCTCAGGTGATCCACCCACCTTGGCCTCCCAAAGTGCTGGGATTACAGGCATGAGCCACCATGCCCGGCCTTATTTTATTTTTTTAAAAACTCAGTCCTGGCCCTCCCTTTTTAATAAAATGCTGGGCTGGTACTCTGTGATATTCACTCCTTAGGCAGGGGCAAATTTGGGGACTATCTCGTCTAACATGGGCAGGGCTAGTAGGGAAGAGAGACCAAGAAGGTGGCCCAGTTCCTCCCCAAACTGCCTCCAGCCATGGGCTTAGCACTCCAAGCCACAGGTGTGGCTACGCTGGGGTCAAAACAATGCTCCAGGGTGGCACAGCCGGACTCGGCGTTCCTTTCCTCCCGGGCTGCCCAGGTCCCCTGTCAGCATGCCTGGCTGCTCCCCAGGGAGCATGGCAAACAAGCCTCTATTGATTCTCCCTCGTGGCTAGAAGAATGCCCCTTTGTTGAGCGTGTCACCCTCCCCCTCCCCGTGTCCTTGCCCTTAGGAGAGGAGTTCAGGTAGGAAGCAGCAGGCCATGGCTCCTTCCCCAGGGACCCAAGAGGAAAGCAGGGGCAGAACACTGCTCCAGCTCCCAGAGGAGGCCTCCACGTCCCACCCTTTTCCCTTCTCCTCTCTGCTGTTTCCCGAGCTTGGGCACCCTTGCCCATCACCCTGGTTACCCGGTCATTACTCATGGGAGGTCCAGTCCCAGATCTCTCAGTGCTAAAACCCACTTAAGGTCCTGCTCAAATGCCCACTGTTCCACGGAGCCCTGCTAGAATGGGAGCCTGCCAAGGTGAGGCTGTACACCTGTGTCCAACCCAGAAATAGGTCCAGAGGGCCATGTCCCAGTCTCAAGGAACAAATTAACCAATTTCTGTGAATGGCACTACCCCCTTCCCAGTCACCCAGGCCTGGATTCTGACCAACCCAATACTGGGTTGGTTATAAGCTCTGCTGGTTCTTATTGGAAGCCACCTAAACTCCTTAGCTTGGACTTCACAGCCCTCTGTTTGGTATCAACCTACCCAACCGCGTCTCATGTGACCCCTCCTTCTGCTGGACTCTCTACTGCTTATCCATCCACCTACTTTAACCCTGTTTATTGAGCCTATATTATGTGCCGCCATTGCTCTGGGAACTGAAGATGTTCCAGTGAATGAAGTGGAGCCCCCTCCCTCAAGGATCTCACAGTCTCTTTGGAGCAGACAGGCAATAAACATGTACACAAATGACAAATTGTATAGTACCAGAGTATGTTAAGTGCTCTGTACACAAGTCAAAAGAATAGGGCGTGATGAAGAGGATGTGTGTGGGAACCGCGAGGAGGCCATTGAGGTAGAGTGAGCACAGTGACCAGGCCACTGAGGTAGAGTGAGTGCGGTGACCAGAAGGGCTGGGAATAGAGGTCACAGAGGAAAGGCCATGGTGAAGAGTTTGAATTTTCTGAGAGACAGGCATGGTCCAACACTTTGGGAGGCTGAGGTGGGTGGATTGCTTGAGCCCAGGAGTTTGAGGCCAGCCTGGGCAACATGGTGAAACCTGGTCTCTACAGTTTTGTGCGTGTATATGTATACACACACACACACACACATATATACACACATATATACACACATGTATATACATAATGTGTATTTATATGTATAAATTAGCCAGGCGTGGTGGCGCATGCTTGTAGTCCCACCTATTTGGGAAGCTGAGGTGAGAGAATCCCTTGAGCTTGGGAGGTTGAGGCTGCAGTGAGCCAAGATTGTGCCACTGCACTCCAGCCTGGGTGACAGAATGAGACTCTTTCTAAAAAAAAAAAAAAAAAAAAAAACCTTCCATGGGGTGTGACGGAAAGCGACTGTCCTGTCTGTGTGCCATGCCCATTCCTCCCACTGGACCTCTTGTCTGAATGGCCTCCCCAAGCTTCTCCAGCATCCTTGTTATACTTAGATTTCAGGACCCAAGGCCAGTCATGCTATCATTCTGGAGCCTTCTTTGTTTACTCCAGACCACATTCATCTCTTCTTCCAAATTCCTAAGATGGTACCTTGGGTCTTGGGGCTTGGCTAGACTTCAAATTCAAATTCTCAAACATGTACTCTGCCCCCATGTCATGCCTATCACTGTGCTGGTGCAACACGTAGGTAACTCATCCAAGCCTCGCCACCTTCCCATGAGGTTCAAATTATGCCCAGTTTTTACAGATGGGTAAACTGAGGCTTGGAGCAGTTAAGCAACTTATCTGTGGGCTCACATATAAGGAGTGGTGGAGGAAGGATTTGAATGCAGCATCTGATCCCCCAAGTCCAGCTTCGTTCTCACTAGCCCTCAGCCACTTCTGCCTTTACATAATTTGATCATGGTCTTCAGGGGTCCCCAGACCTGCCCCTAATCTCCTTCCGCATCTTCACTTCTGCACGACCCACAGCACCCAGGGATCACCGGAGTAGGCACCCTGCACTTCTCTATGCCCCCTGCCAGTGGGATGTGACACTTGCAGAGTGAATAAGCACCCCTAGGGTGACAGCCAAGGCTGCCCACACCTCTCTCCTCTCCTGCAGTGGGTTCCTACAGGGAGCCAGCAGCCATCCAGTGGAACAAGGGGCCAACACTTCAGAAGAAACTGCCATATGCTGGAGTTGTGTTATTGTCAATATGACTCTTTCTTCCAGGCCTGTGCATGATGGCATGGGAATAGTCATAACAACCTTTACTACAGCAACTCTTCATTGGCACTAGCCCATCTTAAGCTTCTCCTTTTTGGGTTAAATTCAGGATGTCAATAATAATAACAACAATAGTTTTTTTGTTGTTGTTGTTTGTTTGTTTGTTTTGAGACAGAACTCACTCTGTCACCCAGGCTGGATTGCTGTGAAGTGATCTCTGCTCACTGCAGCCTCAATCTCCCAGGCTCAAGTGATCCTCCCAACTTAGCCTCCCGAGTAGCTGGCACTACAGGTGTGCACCACCACACCCAGCTAATTTTTGTATTTTTTGCTGAGATGGGGTTTCGCCATGTTGCCCAGGCTGATCTCAAACTCCTGGGCTCAAACCCTCTGCCTGCTTGGGCCTCCCAGAGTGCTGGGATTACTTGCATGTACCGCTGTGCCTGGACAACAATAGCTATTTTATCAAAAATATGCAAAATGAAAGGAAGCTGCTGGGCACTTTATGTACCCTATCTTATTTAATCCTTATAGAAACCCTAGGATGCAGGTATGATTATTATGCCCATTTTACAGATATAGAAACTGAGTCTCAGGCAGGCAAAGCAACTTGCCTGAGGCCACAGAGCTGATAAATGCTGAAACTCAAATCCCAGCTCCACCCTGAGGCTGGTGGACCTCCAAGTCCTTGATCTCAACCTCTGCACCCAGTTCTACAACCAGATAGGTGTTCAGGAGGTCCAACACAGGCAGTGGATAGGTGAGGAAGGCTTAGTGACTGGGGCTCCTCAGAGAGGTGCATAAAACCAGGGAAACTCAAAGCACTGCAGGGACACTGGTCTGAGTTTCAGGAACCTGGGTCCAGATCCTGGCTTTGCCTCCTCCCAGCCGTGTGTCCTTGCTCATGTTGCCTACCCTCTCTGCACCTTTATTTCCTCAGCTGTGAAATGGGTTGATAATAGATTCGCCCTCCAAGCCTGGTGTAAGAAGGAAGTATGATAATGTCTGTGAACATGCTTTGAGGCCCTGAAGCACCACGCTTAGTGCATTATCATCCATTCCCTGGACTTCTAGAATGAGTGAACCGTGGGAGAATCAGGAACAGCATCGGGGGAAGGAGGAGAGGAAAGTGTCGGATCAGGCTTTTCTGGGTAGACAGAGGTAGGTAAATGTCTTGCTCAGCCAACCTCACATGACAAGAGGAACCTGCTAACTAGGTCACCTTGCAGGAGGAAAGAGCTATTCCGGGATCCGCCTGCAGTTGCAGAGCTGGAGCTGGGGAGCTGAGCTGGCTATTTCAGGGGCGGCACAGAAAGCCCGTCCGACCGCTCTCCCTTGGATCTCGGCCCTGCCTTGGGCCTAGGGCCTTGGGCCTTGAGAGGCAGGGAGATTCTAGTGGACGCTGTGCTGGCACTCTCTGCATGGCTGCCCTCAGGCAGGGGGAACCATCAGGCCATCTGGAACCATCACAACACGATCTTCCCCATCCCCTGGGAACCACCATCCCAGGCAGCTGTGGGTGAGGGTGGCAAGATGCTAGACTTGCATTTCTCAGCCTGACTGGGAGTCTCAGCTCCTGAATGCAATGACCCTGCAACGCTGGGCAGTTTGCTCCAGCATTCTGGGCCTGGGTTTCCTCACTTGTAACATGGGGGTAATGGTGCTTATGTTCCAGGACTGTCTGAGGATTAAATGAGATAATGATATAAAGCACCAAGCACAGGGTCTGGCCCAGAGGAAGCACTTGATAAATGGGGATTGTTCCTAACTGAGCTTCTGTGGCATTCTATGCTGCAATAGTGATGGCGGGGAGGGGACACCTGAAAGAAGGCTGCACCTTGTGGGATGGGAATGGGGGCGGAAGGAGAGATTATGCTGGAGAAATTGAGCGTTTGAGACTGCTTAAAGAGAAGAATCCTTTTGGGAGGAGCCTGGGACTGTGAGGTCAGTGTGACCCAGGTGAGAATTGCTCAGCTCCCTGCAGGTTGGGCAGGTATGTCTTTACCTTCTGAGCTTCAGGTGCCTTGTCTGCAAAATGAGGCTGAAAATACTTAGCTCCTATAATCTGGCAAGAAATAAGTGAATTAACATAAAGCCTTTATTTAGCATAGTGCTTGGCACCTAGTAGGTGTTCAAGAAATGCCAGCTATTATTGTGTTATCTCATTTAGTCCTCATAGCTACCCTATAAAGAAAGTATTACTATCTTCATT
Source organism: Homo sapiens (assembly GCF_000001405.40). Lineage (NCBI taxonomy): Eukaryota > Metazoa > Chordata > Mammalia > Primates > Hominidae > Homo > Homo sapiens. The sequence goes on from NC_000001.11 coordinate 40,924,091, forward strand.
TTATAGATGAGGAAATGGAGGCACAGAGAGGTTAAGTAATTTATGCAGGGTCTCATAGTGAAGAAGCTGTTTTACTAAGATTTGAATTTAGTCTGACCTTGGAATTCGCACTTTTAACTACCACTTCCCATGCTTGTGTGTGTGTGTGTGAGAGAGAGAGAGAGAGAGAAAGTATGTATAGCTATATGCGGATATGTGAAACAAAAAGATGAAAAGTGCCTAGCATGATATGGTTACATAGTCAGTGATCAGTAACCAGCAGCTGTTGTTACTGTAATTGTTATTCCCGTCATGACCATTGTTCACAATTTAATTGGCAATTATGAAACAGGAGTGGCCGGTGAAGGTAGAAAGAGTTCTAAAATATTAGAAAAGGCAACAATCCCATTCTCAAAGGACTTGTCAAAAGGAAAAGGCAAAAGAATAGTCATAAAGTCATAAGTAACTTTCTTGTAGCATTCTCTATAATTAGGAAAAATGGGGAAAATGTATATACCGAAGAATAACGGGGTGGTTACGTAAATTATGGTTGATCAGTGGCTCACACCTGTAATCCCAGCACTTTGGGAGGCTGAGGCGGGCGGATCACATGAGGTCAGGAGTTCAAGACCAGCTTGGCCAACATGGCGAAACCCCATCTCTACTAAAAATGCAAAACTTAGCCGGGTGTGGTGGTGCATGCCTGTAATCCCAGCTACTCAGGAGGCTGAGGCAGGAGAATCGCTTGAACCCAGGAGGTGGAGGTTGCAGTGAACTGAGGTCGCGCCACTGCATTCCAGCCTAGGCAATAGAGTGAGACTCCATCTCAAAAAAAAAAAAAAAGAAAGAAAAGAAAATGACACATTCATTTAGAATGATGATACAAGGACTTGACATGGAAAATGTTTATTACGTAATTACTATTACTGGGGAAATGCTGGATATAAAATTCTATTTCTGCTCTAATTATACCTCTGTTAAAATATCGACTGTATGTAGAGAGGAGCTAGAAAGAATATGCAGTGTCAATGTGATAAATGCTGGCATTGAGTATTTCTCTCTTTGTCATTGATTTAATAACTCAACCATCATTTATTAAGCACGTACTAAGGTCGGTCAGCATGTTAGGCATGGCTATTAGTATGGATTATATTAGGCTGCAGGAAGACTTAACGAGAAAAGAGGTTTTAGTGCCTCTCAGAACATTCAGCGGGGAAGCAGTTCAAAGCCGATGTGGCAGCTTCAGGGTGTCAGGGACCATGGCTCGCTCTCTGGGGGGGCTCTGGCATTTCTAGGGAGTTACCTTTTTCCACATGGTCCTATGGGGTACACCACCATGTCTATGTTCCAGCCAGCAGGGTAAGGAGGAGAAGCGGAGGGCATGCTTCTTCCAGGAAAGGTCTCACTGAAGTTGCTCACACCACCTCCCTCCTTATGCATTGGCCAGAACCTTGTTGCTTGGACACCCCTAGCTGCAAGCTAGACTAAGACACGTCAGGACTTTGGGAGGCCATTAGCCTTGCTAAAAACAGGTCCCAATTACTGCAGAAGAAGGGAGAACAGCAACAGGGGCACCCCTGCAGCATAACAGATTAAGTAAGTCAAAGCCACAATCCTGGAAGAACCCAGTGCCCAGTGAAAGTGACATACACTGTCAAGAAATTGGCTGGGTGCAGTGGCTCATACCTGTAATCTCAGAGCTTTGGGAAGTTGAGGCAGGAGGATCACTTGAGCCCAGGAGTTCAAGCCTGGGCAACAGGAAAAAAAATTTTTTTAATTAGCTGGGGATGGTGGTGTGTGCTGTAATCCCAGCTACTCCAGAGGCTAAGGGACGAGAATGGCCTGAGCTGGGGAGATAGAGGGTGAAGTGAGCTATGATTGCACCACTGCATTCCAGCTGGGGCAAATAATTATAAGACAATCTGTGAAGTGCTGTGATTGAGCTATAGGGTTACCAGGGACAGAATGACCAACACTGGCTGGGGGGCCATGAACAGCTTCATCTCCCATGAAGATTTTGCCTGGAACGATCCCATCCCACTCCGTTTGTACCATGTGGTTCTGTGCTCCCACCAAGACTTAACTGATCTCAGCAGTGGGTGAGGGGCACTCCTGACCAAGCTGGAATCATCCAAGGCCTGCTGGGAGTTTGAATGGAGTGGAGCGAAGCAGCATCTGGGGTCATGGTAGACTTGTCCCCTGAAGGCAGCAGGCTTCTACTGCAGTGATCCCTGGAGACATGCTAGACCTGTTCTTCAGACGATCCTTGATTCAACTCCTCTTCCTTCAGTCTGTGTGGTGCCTCCATAGCTCCCAAGATATCCATCCCACCACTCCCTCCCAGGTTTGTTTGTTTGTTTGTTTGTTTTTGCCTTAAGGTAGTTACTTGAGACCAAAATAAGCTGAACTAACTCAGAGGTCAGGGTAAGTTAACAAGCAGTTTCACTGAGATTCAATTCTAAGTGGATATCCCCCCCCCGGGTGCAATGTGCAATAAGAAGCCATGAGGTTTTAAGGAGGGCAGAGGGGAAGGTTTTCCAGGCAGGGAATCAGCAGCGTATATATCTGGAAGCCTTTTATTTCTGTCAGTGGTTTATTGATTATGCAATAAAAGGACCGCTGGGAAGAGAAAACTCATAACAAAGGCCCTAGTGGGCCCTGAAGCCACCAGCCCACGACTATCTCTGGGTGAAGAGCTGGAGTTTCGTCCTCCGAGACAGCTGTGGTTTCTGCTTTGCTCTGTGATCCTAGGCCCTCCAGGAGATCTCTCTGGAACTGATTCTTCAATTTCTAAGAGAACAACAAGAGTATTTAAGGGGATTAAAAACCACAGCAATATCTATGAACACTTTAAAACCCCACTCTGTGCAGGCCTGGTTTAACCCTGGCGATGTAATCATCAATCATTCCTATCCTTGACCTTCCCCTGCACTCACTCAATGAGCAGCTCCCAAAAGTTGGGTCTCCACTGTGCACCTGGGGTCCACACACTTCTCCCCACCAGCTTGGCCCACCACTTCATCGAGCCTCTGGATGACTGCTTCGTCTCCTAACTGGTCTTCCTTTTGTTATTTTTGTCCCCTTCCAATCTGTTCCTACGATACAGCCAATTTGATCTTTTAAAAAATCAGATCAAGCTGGGTGCGGTGGCTCACTCCCAAAGTGCTCCCAGCACTTTGGGAGATGGAGGCAGGGTTGTTTGAGCCCAGGAGTTCAAGACTGGCCTAGGTAACTTAGGGAGACCCCATCTCTACAAAATATTTAAAAATTAGCCAGGCATGGTGGCATGTGCCTGTAGTCCCAGCTACTCAGAAGGCTGAGGTGGGAGGACTGCTTGAGGCCGGGTGGTTGAGGCTTCAGTGAGCCATGATTGCATCACTGCACTCCAGCCTGGGCAATAGAGTAAGATGCTGTCTCAAAAAAAAAAAAAAAAAAAATCAGATTAAGTGGAGGAAGCCAGTCTGAAAAGGCTACATACTGTGTTATTCCAAATCTATGATATTTCGGAAAAGGCAAAAACTATGGAGACAGTATAACAATCAGTGGTTGTGGCCAGGTGCGGTGGCTCATACCTGTAATCCTAGCACTTTTGGAGGCTGAGGCAGGCAGATCACCTGAGGTCAGGAGTTCGAGACCAGCCTGGCCAACATAGTGAAACCTCATCTCTACCAAAAATACAAAAATTAGCCAAGCATGGTGGCACGTGTCTGTAATCCTAGCTACTTGAGAGGCTGAGGCACGACAATCGCTTGGACCCGGGAAGCAGAGGTTGCAGTGAGCTGAGATCGCACCACTGCACTTCAGCCTGGGCCACAGAGGAAGACTCAACTCAAAAAAAAAAAAAAAAAAAAAAAAAGTAGTTGCCAAGGCCTTGGGAGGAGGGAGGAATCAGTGGAAAACAGGGGGTTTTTAGGACAGTGTGACTAATCTGTATGCTACTATAATAGTAGACACAGGTCATACATTATTCAAAACTCATGTTCAATACAGAGCAAATTCTAATGTAAACTGTGGACTTTAGTTAATAATAATGTATTGGGTCATCAACTGTAACAAATGTACCCCTCTAATGGAGGATGCTAATACTAAGGGAAATTGTGATATGTGTGCATGTATGCACAGTAGAGGGTGAGAGGGAACTCTGGACTTTCCGCTCAATTTTTCTATAAACCTGAAACTACTCTAAAAATAAAGTCTATTAATTTTTTAAAAATCAGATTATGTCATTTTCCTGTTTAAAACCTTCCAACGGCTTCCTATTGCACTTTGAACAACATAATAAAACTCCTTCCTCTGGCTCATGAAGTCCCCATGATGTGGCCCCTGCCTTGCTGTCTCCCTTCCCCAACTAACACTCCACAATGGGCTTCTTTCTGTTTCTCAAATATGCCCAGTTTTTTCTCACCCCAGGGTCTTTGCACTTGCTGTTCCCTCTATCTCGATGCTCTTCCCTCTGATTTTCAGATGGCTGGTTCCCTGTTATCACTGAGGTCCTAGCTAAACATCCCTTCCTTGGAGGGGCCATCCTGACCACCCAATAAGAGCAGCCACCCAGTCACTCAATGCCATGCAACCCTGGATTCTACTGGAAGTAGTTGCCATGGGAACAGGGGTCTTTTCTACCTTCTTCCTTGCTGTATCCCCAGCTCCTAGAACAGAGTCTGACCTGCAAAGGTCCTCCAGAGATACTGGTTGAGTGAATGTGAGTGAATGAATGAAAGAATCTTCTGAAACTCATTCAGGGCCAGGCCTATGCTGGATCCCAGATAAGGCATGGTTTGTGACCTCTGGGATCTCACAATTTAATACACAGAAGTTTACATTGGACCTCCCGAACAAAGTAGCAGAGTGGTTAAGAGCACAGGCCATGGAGCCAGACTTTGTGGGTTCAAATCCTGGCTCTGGTTGGGCTCAGTGGCTCACGGCTATAATCCCAGCTCTTTGGGAGGCTGAGTTGGGAGGATTGCTTGAGCCTAGGAGTTTGAGACCAGCCTGGGCAACATAGTGAGACCCCCATCTCTACAAAAAATTAAAAAATTAGCCAGACATGGTGGCATGCGCCTGTGGTCCCAGCTACTCAGGAGGCTGAAATGGGAGGATCACTTGAGCCCAGGAAGTCGAGGCTGCAGTGAGCCAAGATGGCACCACTGCACTCCAGCCTGGGTGACAGAGCAAGACCCTGTCTCAAAACAACAACAACAACAAAAGACAACTAGCTCTGGTCTGTAACAGCTGTGTGTGTAAAACACCCAGGAAAGTTTCTAGAGCATATTACATGATCAAGAAATGTGAGTCATCATTGATGTCATGCAGGCCATATAAAGATACATGAGGCTGCACAACTCCAACACCAGAGTTCAGGGAATTTGGGAAATCCCTTTATTTATTCATTTGTTTCTGGATCACTCATTGCAAGCCTTTGGAAATGAGCATGAGAAGGGGCAGGTTATTTTAGGGAAAATTAAATTTTTTAAATGGAGAAACTAATATTGACTGTACTAAGAGGCTTGATATTCAAGATGTCATTTTATCCTCCCAACAAATATTTGGGGTAAATACTGTAGGGCTATTTCACAGATGAGAAAACTGAGACTTAGGGAGGTGAGATGATTTGCCCCATGTGACCCAGCTAGGAGGTAGCAGAACCAAGAATGACCCCAGGGCACAGTGAGGTCATAACATGCCCCCTTCTCTCTCACCATCCCTGCTCCAGCAGGCATGGGCTCCAGTCCCGAGCCCGGGCTTACATGGGTGGCAGTGACACTGGGTGGTCAGGAGCTGGGATGTTAGTGTAGACGGACCTGATTTCAAGTCTTACCCAGGGCAAGACTTTGGGCAAGGTTCCATACTGGAAAACTGGGTAGCTGGGCACAATGGCTCATACCTGTAATTCCAGCTACTTGGGAGGCTGGAGAGCAGGATGGCTTGAGGCCAGGAGTTTGAGACGCGCCTGGACAAGATAGCGAGGCCCCTCGTCTCTAAAATAAACAAACATATCAGAAAAATGGGGTTCATAACAATATCTGCTTCATAAGATGGACCTCTGTGAGCACAGCTCTCAGGACAGCACTTGGCAAAGGGTGGGGAGTTGGTAAATACTCATTGAACAGAGGCACCATGGAGTTGTTGTGAGAGGTGAGATGAGATGAGGCTGATCTGTCAGATACATGACAACCAGTTCCCAAAATTTCTGAAAGAAGGACCAGAGCCAGGATTCCACAACATGGCACCTGTGTGAACAGGAGTTCTGAAGAGGGCATTCAGAGCCGGGAGGAACAAAAGGGATCATGTTGTTGACACATGAGGTAATCACCTGGCAGGTTGGTGGCAGAGCTGGCTGGAACCATGGCCATCCGTCAGTTCTCAGGCAGTGCATTGCAGGGGAGAGAACCAAAGAAAGTGTTCTTCAAGGCCAAGGTCCCTTCTGCCAGCCCATGGGGCCTCCGATTCTGTTCTCATGGGGAGTTGGGGTGAGGATGCCTGTGTCATCCATGGGTGAATTCTCCAGCCTCTCTGGGGAGCTCTACATGCCCGGCTCCCTCAGGCCCCAGCTAGTTCCAGGGTTTAGGTCCTGGAGAGGGCCACAGTGCTCAGGGTCTCAGAAGCCAGCTCTTCTTCCCACACCCAGAGCTCCTTCCCCAGCCGGGCCCACACTTTTGCTCCCTGGCTGACCTAGATTCAGGAGCTGGCTCATTTCCACAAGTAGACAGATGCTGAGGCACAGTGAATTAACACACATATTTCAATAAGTGGTGGGCAGGTGGCCCCACAGCCTCTCAGAGCCTCAGTTTTCTCAAATTTTTTTTTGTTTTTTTTGAGACGGAGTCTCGGTCTGTTGCTGAGGCTGGAGTGTAGTGACGCAATCTCAGCTCACTGCAGCTTCCACCTCCCAGGTTCACTTCTCCGGCCTCAGCCTCCTGAGTAGCTGGGATTACAGGTCCCCACCACCACACCCGGCTAATTTTTGTAATTTTAGTAGAGGTGGGGTTTCACCATGTTGGCCAGGCTGGTCTCGAACTCCTGAGCTCCTGTGATCTGCCCACCTCGGCCTCCCAAAGTGTTGGGATTACAGGCATGAGCCATCACACCTGGCCAGTTTTCTCAACTTTTAAAGTAGGGACAATAGCATTTACCCTTGCAGAGTTGTGAAGATTAAATGCACTTATATACTTGAAGTGCTAGCACAGTGGCTGAACAGAGTAAGTCAACAATACACATGTATTATGCATTCTTGCATTGCTATAAAGAAGTACCCGAGACCGGGTAATTTACAAAGAAAAGAGGTTTAATTGGCTCACAGTTCTGTAAGTTGTACAGTAAGCATGATGCTGGCATTTGCTCGGCTTCTGGGGAGGCCTCAGGAAACTTACAATTATGGCGGAAGGCAAAGGGGGAGCAGGCATGTCACATGACCGAAGCAGGAGGAAGAGGTCAGGGGGAGATGCCACACACTTTAAAATGACCAGACCTCGGGAGAATTCACTCACTATTGAGAGGACAGCACCAAGGGAATGGTGCTAAACCATTCATGAGAAACCTACCCCCATGATCTAATCACCTCCCACCAGGCTCCACTTCCAAAACTGGGGATTACATTGAATGTGAGATTTGGGTGGGGACACAGATCCAAACTATATCAACACGTTAATCTCTTTCCTTCCTCACATCTATCCCCACACTGACTTTGGAGGCAGCTTGCTAGCTCTCAGCCGGGCTTACGTCACCACCCTGCTTAAAAAATCTTTTATTCTTCCAGTGCTCTCTAAGCTAATGTGAATATTCCCTGGCTTGGCATCCCAGACCCTCCTCACCCGCCCCAAGCTGTTTGACCCGCCAGCTTTTTTGCCACCCTTTTCTAACTAATGTGCTGTCAAGTTAATAAGCCTTTCTTGGAAATGTCACTCATATACCCCTGCCTTGTAGACCCAATGCACATTAACATATTAAGGGTTCTGAGGAACATTGCAGGAAAGACATTTGTTTAACCTTGTTCAGTGCAGAATTTCCCAAGTGAGTTTGACTGTAGAATCCCATTAATATCCCACAGGACATGCGTTTGTTTCCTGAACACCCTTTGCAATTTCCTGCCTGCATGCTCTGCACAGGTGGGTCTTTCTTTCCACAAAGCCCTTCCTCCCCAACGCCTGTTTACTCATCACAGGAGGCCCAGACTGGCCGACCCCTCCTCCAGTTGGTAGAGCTGACTCCCTCCCCTGGGCTCCCTCAGTCTGTGTCCTCTGCCCCACCCTTGCTCTTCCAGTCCTCCCAGTGAGCATTCCTGCAGGGCTGCCAGCCCTCACTCTCGCCTCCCCAGCATCTGGCCTCCCTTGCTCCCCTGCCCCCACCCGAGATCCATTTGAGTCCTATCTATCTGTTCCCAGGGGACCACCAAAAAACATTTCCTCTAAGAACCTTTTCTGTATTCCTTAGTCAGGTAAAAAATAAACAATAAATAAAAATCTGTTTTCCTCGTGATTTTAGTTAAAGGTCGCTAAGGGTAAGGTCCATATTTTTGGTTTCTCCACAGTGCTTTGCACTTAGTAAGTTCTCAGTAAATGCATGCTTAGACATACATTCCACCATATTTATTGAACACCTATCATGTGTCCTGTGCTGGATGTTGGGGGCATAATGGGAAACACAACAAACCTGGAAGGCAATAAGGGAAGTAGGAAAAGCTAGGATTCTGGGAGACACGGCTTGCTTCTGAATCCTGGTTCCACTACTTACCAGCTATGCATCCCTGAACAAGTTACTTGACCTCTTTGTGCTTCAGTCTCCTCACTCATGAAACAGGGAAAGAAAAAGTATTTGTCTTGAAGGGTTACTGTGAGGATTCAGTAAGATGATACATAAAAAGTGCTTAGAACAGACCCAAACACATAGGAAGAGCTATAGATGTGTTCAGCGATTGTTATTGTAATAGACAGCTTTGCCTCACAGAGTTTAGTTTAATAGGAAAGACAGACGTTGAATGACCAATTATACTAGTAACTATTTATTTATTTATTTATTTATTCGAGACAAGGTCTGGCTTTGTAGCCCAGGCTGGAGTGCAATGGTGCAATCATAGCTCGCTGCAGCTTCAATCTCCTGGGCTCAAGCCATTCTCCTGCCTCAGCCTCCCAAGTATCTGTGACTACAGGTTTGAGCCATCATGCCTGGCTAAGTTTTTCAAAATTTGGGTAGTGACTGAGTCTTACTGTGTTGCTCAGGCTGGTCTCGAACTCCTGGCTTCAAGTAATCCTCCTGCCAAGGCCTCCCCAAGTGCTAGGATTGCAGGCATCAGTCACTGTGCCTGGCCCTATTTATGCTTTCCTATTTATGTTTTTGATAAATGTTGAGAAGGAAAAGTACAGTGCACAATGGGAGAATAAAACAGATGGCCCAGGCTTGTCCCACGGTTCAAGGAAAGCTTCTTGGAGGATATGCCATTTAAACTAAGACTGAGGATAAGCATCAGTTGCCAGGCCAAGAGGGGATGGAAGGGCATTCCATGCAGAGGGAACAGAGTGTGCAAAGATACTGAGCCAGGAAATAATTTGGCATTTTGGAAGAACTCAGAGAAGGCCAGAGTGGCAAAAGGGCAGGGAATGAGAAGGCAGAGGTAGAAGATGAATTTGCAGAGGGGGGCAGACCATGCATGCCCTGGCAGGGCATGTAAGGATTGAGGGCTTTATCCCAGGAGCATTGGGAAGCCTTTGAAGGTTTCAATCAGAGCAGTGACCAGATCATATCTGCGTCTTAACAAACCATTTCAGAGACTGGTAGAGGATACCAGTAGGAGATTGATCCAGGTGAGAGAAGACAGGGGTTTGGACTGGGGTGCTGGCTGTGGGGAAGGAGAGAAATGCAAGCATGAAAGAAATGGTGAGGAGATCAAAGAAATGACAGAAATAAGTGACTGATGGAGAATGGGCAGCAATTGGAAGAGAGAACTGCTGAGAATGCGTCTGGACTCATGGCCTGAGTGGCTGAACAACTGAAGATGAACCCGCTCACGTGCAGGGAGACGTGATGCATTCAGTTTAGGATATGCTGAGTTGGAGGCTGCAAATGGGGTTACTCGTTTAAGGGGGGGTAAGAATAATACAGAAAGTTAAATCATGCTATATTAAGAATATAAAAGTAGGCAAAGTAACTATAGGTTGAACAGAGACTTTGGGTTGAGAGAGAAATAACTTGTATAATCTATCAAAAAAGTCTGAGTCTGTCCCTTTTTAATTTATATTTATTTATTTATTTATTTATTTATTTATTTATTTAGAGACAAGGTCTCGCTATGTTGCCCAATCTGTTCTCAAACTCCTGGGCTCAAATGATCCTCCCACCTTCACGTCCCAAAGTGCTGGGATCACCACTCCAGGACACATTTTTTTTTTTTAATGGAAAAGATGTCACAAATGGAGACCCAGTTTAGTACAAAGGAGATGGGGGTGGGGCGTTTTGGTAGGGTTCAGGGCACTGTGGATTCTCAGCAGTCACTGACTCTTACCAGTCCTGGAAGTGCGTCAAGCAGCTGGACAGAAATCACAGTGTGGACACTGGTTGGCACTTAGGGAACTCATTCATTCGTTGACTTTACAAATATCTATTTATCTGTCAATGTTCTAGGGCTCAAGGAGCTAATTCCTTAGCTTCTAACTGGAGGAGACAGACAACAAACACGTGAGTGCGTAATTTAACATCAGATCAACTGCTGTAAAGGAAAAGAAAGTCAAATCAAGGGTTAAAAAGTGCTGGGAAGAGCTCCATGATTTGAGTGGTCAAGGCCTCTCTGAAGGACAGACATCTGATTTCCAATAAAACAATTAAGAAATTACATATTTCCTTTTGTTACCTTTAAATTTATATATTAAATAGCTGACAAAAAATATTTAAAGCTTAATAGAGCATAAAATAAAGGCCATAAAAATGAACAATGAAACCAGTAGAAATCAACAGAAAATCGATGGAAGAAAATGGTAACAAAAGAATTTCAGATCATTCCAAAAGCAGTAACTCAGTAAGAGGAAAAGATAAATTTGCAAAGCAGGTATAAATAGCCTTCTGGAGTCTTTGGTAATCCAATTACTAAAAAGGAATAGGTGGGTACAGTTGTTCATGCCTGTAAGCTTAGCACTTTGGGAGGCCAAGGTGAGAGGATTGCTTGAGCCCAAGGGTTCGAGACCAGCCTGTGCAACATAGCAAGGACCCCCAAATCTATTTTATTTTATTTTTAAATAAAATTTTTTTCTAGCCCATAAGATATGGCAGAAAGACCCCATAGCAAAAAAAAAAAAAAAAAAAAAAAAAAATTAGCCAGGCATGGTGGCATGCAGTGCAGTCCCAGTTAGCTACTCTGGGGGCTGAGGCAGAAGGATCACTTGAGCCCAGGAGTTAGAGGTTACAGTGAGCTATGATGGTACCACTGCACTCCAGCCTGGGTGGCAAAGTGAGACCCTGTCTAAAAATAATAACAATAGGCTGGGCACGGTGGCTCACACCTGTAATCCCAGCACTTTGGGAGGCCGAGGCTGGCAGATCACCTGAGATCGGGAGTTGGAGACCAGCCTGACCAACATGGAGAAACCCCATCTCTACTAAAAATACAAAATTAGCTGAGCGTGGCGGCTCATGCCTGTAATCCCAGCTACTCAGGAGGCTGAGGCAGGAGAATTGCTTGAATGTGGGAGTGGAGGTTGCAGTGAGCCGAGATCGGGCCATTGCACTCCAGCCTGGACAAGGAGAGTGAAACTGTGTCTCAAAATAATAATAATGAATAATAAAAAGGAGTAGATCATGGACACAGTGGAAAAAATATTTACTTTTGCTGAGTTGACACACATTACTGAACTAAGAAAGCATGAAACTTACAATGTACCACTACAAAAGAACATTGATGACAAATGGATAATGAGAATCAATTAAAAGAAGATTTACAATTAATTGTACAAGAAAATTGAAAATGTCCTGAAAGAAACTTGATGGAGGTTTTCACAACTTTGGCAACAATCTTAATAATTGAAACAACATGACCTAAAGTCAGTTATGATGCTAGACGAAACTTTACTAAATTACCAATTAAAAAGTATTTTTCAATAAACCATTTCAGAAGAAAGAGAGAATCCTCTCTCCCTCCTCTCTGTAGAAACACAAAATTACAAAAAAAAAAAAAAATTTAAGTTGTTATATTGGAGAGGCAACCAAAGAAAATGTAGCCAACATATAGGATATTATAGAGGTATGTCAGATGGCAATTAATGAAAATTTATGTATTTTTCTGGATTCTGTGACTTTTGAGCTATTTGTCAGCTGCTAAAATCTTATCTGTTGTGATTTATTTTCTCATTACAAATAAACCTTCATGTTTATACCTGCATTTGTTAGCTACTGGTAGAGTACTGCTGTGTAACATATGGTCCCCAAACTCAGCGGCTTACAAGTATTTATTGGCATAGATCTGCAGATCAGCTGGGATGCTTTAGGCCACAGCAGCTGTGAGCTAGGTTATCTAAGCTGGGTCAGCTGGATGGCTTTGCTCCCTGTATCCCTCATCTTCCTCCTGGGACCACTGTGCTAACCAGTGAATGCCCTCATGTTGAAGACAAGGTACAAAGAAGAAAGACCCAGACTCAGAAGTAACATGCTGTCACTTCCACTCAATCCCATTGGCCAATGCAAGTTACATGGCCAAGGCCAGAGTCAAGAAGAGTAGAAATACACTCTGACACTTTAGTGGCCCAAACTGCAAAGTCATATGGCAAAGATGTAGACCCAAGGAGGGGGGAAGTATTGGGTCCAGTAATGCAATCTCCTGTAGTACCTAATTTTGTACTTAGAATTTTGCAGTCTTTTTCATAAAGAGCCCTCCTCACCATACAAACACACACACACACACACACACACACGCACAGACACACACACACTTATATAAACCTCAGGCTTTCACAAAACCTGGATCTGTCCCTGCTGGCTATACTCTTTAGGGTGCCTGCTTTAATAACAAACACTGCAAATAAGAGCTTCATGAGTAATTTTTTCTGAGCTCGCAAGTTTATTATGAAAACTCTGCAGTGCTCTTGTGCAATAAAACATCACTTTACAGGAAGGGGCAAAAACAGCTCTGTTCAAAACCACTCACTAGGTTCTGACAATAACGAAGAATGGCATGTGGCTCAGATTTGAGAAGGCGACAAACTGAGTGGAGGCAAGTCTTATAATTAAATTAAATGGTATCCCTGAAAATAAACAGAACGATTTCAAAACCCTTAAGTAGAGGGGAGGGCTTGGCATTTATTTTTTTTAATTTCATTAAGTTCCAGTGATCCAGTGATTGTTTTCTGCTACCCCTATGTACAGTCATGCTGAGTAAAGCTATAGCTAGATGGAGGTTAAATTGTATTCACAAAGTGAATTTACATCTTATTATCTGCGGTCTCTCAAAGAAAGCAAAAGTAACTGCAAACACCATGTTGCTCCAGCATACAATGAACTGGTTTATTCTAAAGTGATCACGGCTTGGTGACAAAAAGCTTTGTATTTTTATATGGCACAGCTTTTAGTCCATGTGAAAACAAATTTTTTGAATGTTAACTATTTTCTGACACTTTGGAGTTACTGTTGCTGTCCCCATTTCCATTAAGTCAATATACAATTCATGGCAATCCTGTTCAAATTTAAAATTCTTTTTCTTTTTCTTTTTCTTTTTTTTGAGATGGATTTTTGGTCTTGTCTCCCAGGCTGGAGTGCAATGGCACGATCTCGGCTCACTGCAACCTCCGCCTCCTGGGTTCACGCGATTCTCCTGCCTCAGCCTCCCCAGTAGCTAGGATTACAGGCGCATGTCACCATGCCCGGCTAATTTTGTGTTTTTAGTAGATTTTAGTGTATTTTGTATTTTTAGTAGATTTTAGTGTATTTTATATTTTAGTTTCACCATGTTGGCCAGGCTGGTCTTGAACTCCTGACCTCAGGTGATTCTCCCGCCTTGGCCTCCCAAAGTGCTGGGATTACAGGCGTGAGCCACCATGCCCAGCTTAAAATTTCATTACAGGAAGTAATCTGGGGTACAATGAGTAACATGTGGCTTGCCTCTGTGAGGTGCTGGGTCATACTGCAAAAAAAGAGTATTTTAGAGTATTATCAAGTTCCATGATTGCAGTGTGATTACCACAATGATAGCAATAGTTTGGAGTACTGAAGATGGCTACTACATTCCAGTCATGACACCAGTTATGTCCCACCATCACCAGCTGGTGAGCTCTAGACACCAACCTGAGGCCACTGGCATGATTAAATGTCTCAGGAGTATCTTGCCCAAAGGTGTAACCATCTCCTCAAAGAGATATACCCCAGCCACCATGGTCATCTGGATCTGAGTATAGCAAGTCACCCATTGGACCCTCATGGGGAATTTTCTGTAGGCAATTCAGTGTTCTGATGTGATGCAGTGTATCTACAGATGGCGACAGGCCACCATGGAGACAGAAGAGCTGCCCATCCCCCAAGGCAGTGAGAGGAAGATGGCCTGTAAAGGCCGGGCATGGCGGCTCATGCCTGTAATCCCAGCGCTTTGGGAGACCAAAGCAGGTGGATCACTTATGCCCAGGAGTTCAAGACCAGCCTAAGCAACATGGTGAAAAACTCATCTCTACAAAAAAATACAAAAAATTAGCCGGGCATGATGGTGCACGCCTGTAGTCCCAGCTACCTGGGAGGCTGAAGTAGGAGGCTCACTTGGGCCAGGGAGATTGAAGCTGCAGTGAGCCATCTTTGTGCCCTTGGACTCCAATCTGGGTGGCCCAGTCTTTGAAAAAAAAAATCTGGAAAATATTTCTAAACATTTGCATTTCCATGTTTTCTTAAACACTCTTCATAGGAATGATAAACTTGTGTGATCTGCCTGCTCTCATGATTCCTTGGAAGAATGGTGACGCATTCATGGTAAGAAACCTTAACAGCTAGGAGCAGCATAACTATTTCAATTGAATAATATCCTCTGTCAATATAATCTCCTGTAAACAAGTAATTTGTATCTGGTAATTTTCTATTAATTTTTTTTTGAGACAGGATCTCGCTATATTGCCCAGGCTGGTCTTGAACTCCAGGACTCAAGCAATCCATCTGCCTTGGCCTCTGAAAATGCTAGGATTACAGGTGTGAGCCACCACATCCAGCCTGTATCTGTATCTGGTAATTTTCTATTTTTGTTTTGGTTTTTTTTTTTTTTTTGAGATGGAGATCTCACTCTATCACCCAGGGTGGAGTGCAGTGGCACGCTCTCAGCTCACTGCAACCTCCGCCTCCCAGGTTCAAGTGATTCTCCTGCCTCAGCCTCCTGAGTAGCTGGGAAGCTAATTTTTGTATTTTTAATAGAGGCAGGGTTTCACCATGTTGGCCAGGCTGGTCTCCAACTCCTGACCCCAAATGATCCGCCCGCCTCAGCCTCCCAAAGTGCTAGGATTACAGGCGTGACCCATCACGCCCGGCCATCTGGTAATTTTCTAAACAGTTCCATGAGAACATGAAATTGCCCATGCTTATCTCCAGAGACAGTGACTGGACACCAAACCTCTTGTGCATTGGATTCTTCTGTCAGGATTTCTTTAGCCTCCTTGCAGAGGCTCTTGACCTGGGACTTGGATAGCTACTTTCTCTGGTTCAGCTGCTTGATCCACTGGTCCAGCTCCTTGGAGAACACCTCATCCATGATGCCACCTGCCCGAGCTGGCTGCTGCACACGGGCCACATGCATCTGTGGCCACTGACAGTTGCTTGGTGCTGCTGCTGGCCCACAGACTCTCCACAGTGCTCGGCCAACAACTACTGTGTCTCTTCCCTACTCACTCTGGCTCCAGAGCTTGGTTCTCTGAAATCGTGAGTATTTCGAAATACTTGAAACAACAAAGTTCAATTGAGTTCAAAGTCCACTTACATCATTGCAAGCAATTTCATTCATTCATGCCAGAAAAGCAAGTACTGTTAGAGTCTTCCATTAAAATTTCAATTTCATTTTAAAATTTTGCGCAGGAATTTTGTGTAGCTGTTTCAGACAAAAAATCTAAAAATTGATGTGCACAGAAGGAAGCTCAGATCTCTAAATAAAACTTTTGAAAAGATTTTATTTGGAAGTATTTACAAATTCACATTTAATATCTTTGCTAATTGTTTTTCAGGGGTATCCCAGGCCCATGAAATTAGATGATTATAATCCTTGGTTTATGGTACATTCTTTTTTTTTTTTTTTTTTTTTAGACAGAGTATTTTACTGTCACCCAGGCTGGAGTGCAGTGGTGCGATCTCAGCTCACTGCAACCTCCGCCTCCTGGGTTCAAGTGATTCTCCTGCCTCAGCCTCCCGAGTAGCTGGGATTACAGGTGCACGCCACCACGTCCAGCTAATTTTTTTTTGTATTTTTAGTAGTGATGGGGTTTCACTACGTTGGCCAGGCTGTTCTCAAGCTCCTGACCTCAAGTGATCTGCCTGCCTCGGCCTCCCAAAGTGCTGGGATTACAGGCATGGGCCACCACGCCTGGGCAATGGCACATTCATAACAGGTCCAGGGCCAGCATGGTGGCTTATGCCTGTAACCCTAACACTTTAGGAGGCTGAGGCAGGAGGGTGGCTTGAGCCCAGGAGTTCAAGACCAGCCTGGGCAACATAGGGAGACCCTGTCTCTACAAAAAGTAATAACAAATTAGTTGGGTGTGTTGGCATGAGCCTATATTCCTAGCTACGTGTGAGGCTGAGATGGAAGGATTGTTTGAACCCGGAAGTTCGAGGCTGAAGTGAGCTGTGATTGTGCCAATGTGCTCCAGCCTGGGTGACAAAGTAAGACCCTGTCTCTAAAAACACTTTGTCTCTGAAAAAAAAAGAAAAAAGAAAAGAAAAAAAAGAGGCCAGGCCTGGTAGTGGCTCATGCCTATAATTCCAGCACTTTAGGACACCAAGGTAGGAGGATTGCTTGAGGATTTTGAGACCAGCCCAGGCAACACAGTGAGATCCTCACCTCTACAAAAAATAGAAAAAATTAGCTGGGCGTAGTGTCACAGGCCTGTAGTCCTAGATACCTGGGAGGCCGAGGTGGGAGGATAGCTTGAGCCTGAGAGGTTAAGGCTGCAGTGAGCCATGATTGTGCCACTGCTCTCCAGCCTGGGGCACAGAGCAAGACCACTTCTCAAAAACAAACAAATAATAATAATGTAACATCTCACCCCAAACCAAAGCTAGTACCTTGACTTTTTAGGTACAAATAACCATACGTGCATCCCCTGCAGCATGGATCCGGGACATTTTGCTTTTGTGGGCCTCTTCCTAAACACACATATACACGTGCACAAAAATATATATGTATACCAGACGTGTACAAAAATATATATGTATACGTATATTTTATGATTGCATTGGTAATAAAGAATATGTTGTTATATAGTAAAACATTTTCTTTGAACTAAAAAGTTCATTAGTTTCTTCTGATTAAAAAGATAATAATGGCCGGGTGCGGTGGCTCACTTCTGTAATCCCAGCACTTTGGGAGGCTGAGGCTGGTGGATCATGAGCTCAGGAGTTCGAGACCAGCCTGGGCAACATAGCGAGGCCCCCGTCTTTACAAAAAATACAAAAATTAAAAATTGGTCAGGCATGGTGGCGCGTGCCTGTAGTTCCAGCTACTCGGGAGGCTGAGGCACGAGAATCGCTTGAACCAGGAGGCAGAGGTTGCAGTGAGCTAAGATAGCACAACGGCACTCCAGCCTGGGCGACAGAGTGAGACTCTGTCTCAAAAAACAAAACAAAACAAAACAAAAAACACATTTTCATGGACCTCTAAAAGTATTTTGGGCCCTAGGCATGGTGCCTATGGTGCTTCATGGATGAGTCAGCCTTCCTTCCCTGGCACCAGGTCCCCATCAGCCTGGGTCCTGTCTGCTCACCATTCTCGTTTTCCTTGTTATAATTTCTTGCAATAATATGTATTCCTTAAGAGTACATTTTTGGTTATAGCACAACTTATATGTTTCAAATGGACCAAAATTAGTATCATTTACAGTATCTTAAGATAAATTTCCTTTGAGTGAGCTTCTTTTCCTGTACTTTGAGGTCTACGAGATGTATCTAGAAAATTTACTACTGTGGAAAATGAAGTCGTTTAAAGCAAACTCCAGGGGGAAGGAAAAGGGCCTGTGGTTTTCCTTTTGGATAATTGCTGTAATGCTGTCCTTCAGGCAGCTGAGGGAGTTTCATGTTTTCACTAGACATCTTTAGGCGCTGAAGCTCTTGCAGGACAACTTTGATGTTATATGGATTCTGCCATTTTGCTAGCACTAATAAGGTTCTTGGTCCACCACTCCATTAGAACTACTAACTCCATTCTTATTAATTTTTGTTACAAATCTTACAAACGGAGGTGCTGTGGAGTATTTAGGTCCATATTCTATTTTTGTAGCTGCATATTCTGTTTTCATAAATTGGCTACCATCTTGTGTTGCTGTTGCTCAAAGGCTCAAAAGAGTACTTTTAATGTTAGTCATTTTTAACTTCGCGAAATAATATAATCTTTTTTTTTTCCCTGATACGGAGTCTTGCTCTGTCACCCAGGCTGGAGTGCAGTGGCACAGTCTCGGCTCACTGCAACCTCTGCCTCCCGGGTGCAAGCGATTCTCCTGCCTCAGCCTCCCGAGTAGCTGGGATTACAGGTGCACACCACCACGCCCAGCTAATTTTTTGTATTTTTAGTAGAGACTACGGGGTTTCACTATGTTGTCCAGGCTGATCTCGAGCTCCTGACCTTGTGATCCGCCCACCTCAGCCTCCCAAAGTGCTGGGATTACAGGCGTGAGCCACTGTGCCCAGCCTATAATCTTTTGAGATCTACTTTTCTCACTTACTATTAGATTGGCAAGATTAATTCATATCTGAGGCATGTCCCTGCAGTTCATTCATCTTGATTGCTGTCTATTGTGTACCATACATGAGCATACCAAGGTCTATTCATCACTGTCCTATCCCATTTAGCATAGGGTGTGTTTTCATCCTTTCCTACAGGAAAAAAACAACCCCAGTACTTCAATGGCTTGTTGTAGCAAACATTTATTTCTAGTTCTCATTCTGTGAGGCCAAGAGTCAGCTGCAGCTCTCCTAGGAAAGGGTCTTTTTCCAACGAAGAGGCCTAGCAAGGTGAAGAGGGAATTAATAATTATGAGCAAATGCAACTGATCCCAGATGGTTTCCAGTTTTACTGAATGGACAGTGCAGCTAGGGTAAAACTGCTGGGTTATAAGCTATAAGAATGTTTGGTTTTAGAAGATTATGCCAGACCTTTCCATAATGGTGTCACCAATTTAAATTTCCACCAGCAATATGCAAGAGATCCTGGAGCTCTACATCCTTCCAACACTCCATATTATGAAACTTTAAACTGTTGAAAATTGAAGGGATGTAAAATGGTATTTCACCGAGCCTTGGTTTGTGTTTTCCTGATCACTAACAACGTTCGACATCTCTTTAAACTTACTGGCTATATGTGTTTCTTCTTCTCTTAAATGCCTGCTTGGCCAGCCATGGTGGCTCACGCCTGTAATCCCAGCACTTTGGGAGGCTGAGGGGGGTGGATCACCTGAGGTCGTGAGCTCGAGATCAGCCTGACCAACATGAAGAAACCCCGTCTCTACTAAAAATACAAAAACTTAGCCGGGCGTGGTGGCGCGTGCCTGTAATCCCAGCTACTCGGGAGGCTGAGGCAGGAGAATCACTTGAACCCGGGAGGTGGAGGTTGTGGTGAGCCGAGATTGTGCCATTGCACTCCAGCCTGGGCAACAAGAGCAAAACTCCATCTCAAAACAAACAAACAAACAAACAAAAAACTCCTGCTCATACCTTTTGTGTCCATTTTTCTTTCTTACTGAATTGTAGAAGTTTTTTGTTTTTTTTTTTTAAGGGGCTTGCTCTATCCCCTAGACTAGAGTGCAGTGGTATGATCATGGCTCACTGTAGCCTCGACCTCCCTGGGCTCAGGAGATCCTCCCACCTCAGCCTCCTGAGTAGCTGGGACCACAGGCAGTCCACCTATATTTTCTACTAATAGTTTTAAAGTTTTATTTTTTTAAATTTAAGTCCTTAAAACATCTAGTGCGGATCTTTGTTTATGTTGTGAAGTAATTTTTCCAGCTCTGTTTATTGGCCCATCCTCCCTTTCTTCGCTGTGATATGCCACTCCTGCCGCATATATATACCATATATATGTGGATCTGATTCTGGTCTCTCTACTCCTTCTCAGGGGTCAATGTGTCTGTCCCTATGTGGATACCGTACTGTCTTAATGGCTGTAGCTTCATCGTGGGTCCTGATTCCTGGCAGGGGTGATGAACCCTGCCCCACTCCACCCCCGCTACTCTGCCCAGTAACAGGGAGAAGCACCCTCTGCTGGCTCTGCTCCTTCCAAATAAGTGGCCTCAGGCATACTGTCTATTTCCCTTTTGAATCTTGGTATTCTTGTGCGTAAACCAGGGAGTAATGATTCTACCTCATAAGAATGTTCTGAGCATCCAATAAGACTGTACATAAATAAAGCTTCTGGCACAGCGCCTATTTGTTGGGCCTGAATGTTTGTGAAATGGGGTCCAGAGACGTTCAATGACGTGCTCAAGGTCACAGGACCAGACCCATAATATGCTGTCTTCTCACTGCTGAGCTTCAAAGACCATTTCCAGACAAGTTAGCCTTCTCAAGAGTCTTTCTTCCATTTTCTTCCCTTCCAGGAAAAAACAAAGGTAAGAAAGAAAGAAAGAAAGAAAGAAAGAAAGAAAGAAAGAAAGAAAGAAAGAAAGGAAGGAAGGAAGAAAGCAAGCAAAGCAAAGCAAAGCAAAGCAAAGCAAAGCAAAGCAAAGCAAAGCAAAGCAAAGAAAGAAAAGAATCCATTTCCAAAAGCTCACAGCATACCACAGTTCCCAATGACTGCATCTTTTTTGGCTTTTTCTTATCTAATGGGAACGGAATGAACTGGATCAGGGTTTCTCTAACAATGTTGGAGAGGAAGTCAGGTTTATTTAAAATTTAACTTCTTTTGGCTCTGTTACCACTGGCCTTGGCTGAGCCATGGCTCGAGGGCATCCGAAAGCAATGAGATCCGGGCATGGTTTCCAGGAGAGTCCCTGGGAGCAAGTTCAGTGTCCCTGAACTTGTCATCATGAAAATTGCAGTGGCCTTGAGGGTTAATCACTGAAGTTAGCATGTAAAGCTGGGTCTGCATCTGTGTTGTTCCCTCTGTCTCTCCTGATCCCACACAGCCAAGACACAGAGCAGGTGCGCAGTGTGGAATAAACAAAGGAAAGTGGGCGGAAAGATTTACAGTCACCTTGAGGAGACTGTTTGGCCTCATTGTAGAGACATTAACAGAGCCAAAGAAAGGGTGTGCAGCTTCTCAGGAGATTTGTTGCTATTATAGTGAGAAAGGTTTGGAAAAGATTATGAGCATGTTCAAAGTTACGATAATTAAAGCGTGTTAGCTCAGAAACTGAAGACAAAGAAGTAAAGTGGAATTGAATTCACAAATAGACCTAAACACATAAGAAAATCTGGTGTATGATAAGGGTGGCATTTCACATATGTAAGGGGAAACTACATGTTGATGAGCCATCTGGAAAAAAACCAAACTGAATCTCTAACTTACTGCATGCACTGAAATAAATTCCAGATGGATTAAGTATGCATTGGTAAAAAACAAAACCATAAACATGCTAGAAGAAAATATCAGAGAATGTTTTCCTAATCATGGAGTGGAGAAAATCTTTCTAAAATATGACACAAATCCCAGAAGTTATCAAGGAAAAGATGGACAGATCTTACTACATAAATATTTTTAAACTTCTGTAGGGGGAAAAAACATATGCAAGGCAAATGACAAACACTAAATTATAAAAAATACTGATTTGCTTTCCACATGGCAGATGAGAGCTAATAACCTGATATGCAAAGACCTCCTACAAATCAACTTAAAAAAAAAAAGTACAGGCTGGGTGCAGTTGCTGACGCTTGTAATCCCAGCACTTTGGGAGGCCAAGGTGGGCAGATCACAAGGTCAGGAGTTTGAGACCAGCCTGGCCAACATGGTGAAACCCCATCTCTACTGAAGTTACAAAAAATGAGCCCAGTGTAGTGGCACACACCTGTGACCCCAGCTACTTGGATGGGTGAGGCAGGAGAATCACTTGAACCTGGGAGGTGGAGGTTGCAGTGAGCCGAGATCACGCCATTGTACTATAGCCTGGGCAACAGGGTGAGACTCTGCCTCAAAAAAAAGAAAATTAATTAATTATTTTAAAATATTTAAAAAGTACAAAGGAAGGAAGAAAACCATGAGTAAGAAAAATATAATCAGGCGTGGTGGCTCACACCTGTAATCCCAACACTTACAGAGGCCTAGGCGGGTGGTTCAGTTGAGGTCAGTAGTTTAAGACCAGCCTAGGTAACATGGTAAAACCCTGTCTCTACCAAAAATACAAAAATTAGCCAGGCATGGTGGTGGGTGCCTGTAGTCCCAGCTACTTGGGAGGCTGAGGCAGGGGAATCACTTGACCCTGGGAGGAGGAAGTTGCAGTAAGCCAAGATCACACCACTGCACTCCAGCCTGGACAACAGAGTGAGACTCTGTCTCAAAAAAAGAAAAGAAAAGAAAAATAGACAAACGACATGGGAAAATACACTTTATAGAAGATGACATTCAAATGGCCAATCAACTCAGGAAGAGATGTTTGACTCCACAGAAATCCAAATGAAAACAACAATGGGATAATATATTTCATGTATCAGACTGCAAAAATTAAAAGGCACCCAGTGTTGGGGAGCGTGTCAGTTGGTATCTCATCACTCCTGGGGCAAATGCAAATTGCAATATTATTTTTGGAAAGAAATTCATCTATTTCATCAGAACTTTATATTTATGTGCCCTTTGATCAAATCCATTCCACCTTTGAGAATTTATTTTATTGAAATAATGGCAAAAGTGAGCAAAGAGAAATATATAGTGGTTCTTTGCAGCATTGTTTATAATAACAAAAGACAGGAATTGCATGAGTATCACCAGAGAATTGGGTACCTCATGGTGTGTCCATACTATACAGCTGATAAAAAGAATGAGGGAGATCCATCTACACCTGCCAACATGGAAATTAGTTCTCCGTTTGGAAGACAAAGCAATTTGAATAACAGGTATATTGTATATCTATAAGATATATTATTATATAGATAACATGTTATAACAGGTATTTTTATATGTTTAATATTATATATAGATATATATATATATATACTTTTTTTTTGAGACAGAGTCTTGCTCTAACCTTCAGGGTGGAGTGTAGGGGTGCGATCTCAGCTCACTGCAACCTCCATCTCCTGGGTTCAAGCAATTCTCATGCCTCAGGCTCCCAAGTAGCTGGGATTACAGGCGCGTGTCATCACACCCAGCTAATATTTTGTAATTTTAGTAGAGACAGGGTTTGACGGAGTTTCACCATGTTGGCTAGGCTGGTCTCAAACTCCTGACCTCAGGTGATCCACCCTCCTCAGCCTCCCAAAGTGCTGGGATTACAGGTGTGAGCCACCACGACCGGCCTAATATTTTATTATATTTTTATTTATATTTTGAAAATGATCTCTTGGCCAGGCGCAATGGCTCATGCCTGTAATCCCAGCACTTTGGGAGGCCAAGGTGGGTGGATTACCTGAGGTCACGAGTTCTAAGACCAGCCTGGCCAACATGGCAAAACCCCGTCTCTATTAAAAATACAAAAATTAGCTGCGCATGGTGGCACGTGCCTGTAATCCCAGCTAGTCGGGAGGCTGAGGCATGAGAATGGCTTGAACCAGGGAGACGGAGGTTGCAGTGAGCCGAGATCACGTCATTGGAGTCCAGCCTGGGAGACAAGAGTGAAACTCCGTCTCAAAAAATAAAAAAATAAAAAAGAAAGACAATAATCTCTCTAGCTCTTTCCACATATATTTGATTATAAAAACACATACACATATGTAGCTATATGATTATAATATCTATTATGTATACCTGGAAATTAACATACTAAAGTGTTAACAGTGAGACAGATTGAAGGCAAAGATTGAAATTCATTTTATTTCTCTATCACTGAAATTTTTTTCATTGAGCACATTACTACTTTTGTAACAATGTTAAAAATCATCTTTATTAAAAATTATTTTAAGGTCAAGGCAGATGGATCACTTGAGGTCAGGAGTTTGAGACCAGTCTGGCCAACATGGTGAAACCCCATTTCTACTAAAAATACAAAAATTAGCTAGGCATGGTTGCGCACACCTGTAATCCCAGCTACTCGGGAGGCTGAAGCAGAATTGCTTGAACCCGGGAGGCAGAAGTTGCAGTGGACCGAGCTCCCACCACTGCACTCCAGCCTGGGCAGTAGAGCAAGTCTTCGTGTCAAAAAAAAAAAAAAAATTATTTTAACTGATGTTATGGTTACTAAAAGTCGGCCTGGAAGGACAGATGACTCCCAGACTGCTAACAAATAGGGTTTTCTCCCGGACAGCGTTTCCCTCCCCCGGCTATTAGAGGTTTCCCACCAAGACTCCTGGCTTCCTTTTCAGAGCCAAGAGAGCCAAAGGGGCCCTTGTGTTGCCCAGGGCTCACTGGGGCATAGTAAACATGCCCTAAATACAGTGCAGTCCCACCCTTAACAGTAAAGCTACCCTATCCAGCAGCCCTTTCGCAGAGTGCGGGAATAGCAGCCTCCCCTTCCCACCCCATACTGTGAGCTTCCCTAGGGCAGACACCAGGGCTAACTGTTGTCTGTATTCCTAGCAGCCAGCACAGATAATATTACTCGAACTAATTTATTAACACAAACACAGACTAACACAACTCGCCCACCAGGCAGATGGCGAAGCCTGGCTATAAAACTGGCACAAGGAAGAGAGAAAATTGATTAGCAATGAGTCATGAATGGCAGGAAAGCATGAAGGAGAAAAGGCAGATACACGAAGTCTGTCTACCAGCTGGTCCTTTTTTAAAAAGGGAGGAGGCAGACAGTGCCCCCTACAGGGCTAATGGAAATGGCATCTGCCCTTTTTAGGAAGAAGGGCAGAGGTAGGTAGGGTTGGAGGGGTGGGGAGGTGGGTGCGGGCTATGCTGTATTCTATCCTGCAATGCCAGTGAGTGAGACTGTAGATCATGTTGCCACTAATGACATCTGGTGGAAACGGCATTTGTGGTGGAGATAACTTAATAACATAGCATGTGCGGCACTGTGCTACAGCCCACAAGAAATGGAAAGAATGGCAAGAAGTACTTGTTTGTCCCTGTGTCCCCAGCACCAGGGGCCTGGCACAGAGCAGGGGCTCACTAGAAGCTTGAGAAGGAAGGAAGCCAGGGAGTGAGGTAAGGAGGGAGGGCAAAGGGAGGAGATAGGGAAAATGACGCAAGGACCAAGGAGCTCTTTCCTTTAATTTATTTTATTTTATTTTTTCTTTTCTTTTCTTTTCTTTTCTTTTTTTTTTTTGAGACAGGGTATTGCTCTGTCACCTAGGCTGGAGTGTACCAGTGCAATCACGGCTCATAGCAGCCTCTACCTCCTGGGTTCAAGCTATCCTCCTGCCCCAGCCTCCCAAGTAGCTAGAACTACAGGTGTGTGCTGCCACACCCAGCTAATTTTTAAAAAATATTTTGTAGAACCATGGAATACTATGCAGCCATAAAAAAGAATGAGATCAGCTGGGCATGGTGGCTCATGTCTGCACTTACTCCCAGCACTTTGGGAGGCCGAGGCAGGCGAATCATGAGATCAGGAGTTCAAGACCAGCCTACCCAATATGGTGAAACCCCGTCACTACTAAAAATACAAACAATTAGCTGGGCGTAGTGGTGGGCACCTGTAATCCCAGCTACTCGGGAGGCTGAGGCAGGAGAATCACTTGAACCTGGGAGGCAGAGGTTGCAGTGAGCTGAGATCGCGCCACTGCACTCCAGCCTGGGCGACAAAGTGAGACTGCATCTCAAAAAAAAAAAAAAAAAAAAAGAGAGATCATGTCCTTTGCAGGGACATGGATGGAGCTCAAAGCCATTATCCTCAGCAAACTAATGCAGAAACAGCAAACCAAATACTGCATGTTCTCACTTACAAGTGGGAACTGCATTATGTTAACACATGGACACATATGGGGGGGCAACAACACACACTAGGACCTGTCGGAGGGTGGGAGGTGGGAGAAGGGAGAGCATCAGGAAGAAAAGCTAATGGATGCTGGACTTAATACCTGAGTGATGGGATGATCTGTGCAGGAAACCACCATGGCACACGTTTACCTATGTAACAAACCTGCACATGCTGCACCTGTATCCCTGAACTTAAAATAAATGTTGGAAATTTAAAAAAAAAAGAAAAGAAAAGAAAAAAATCTTTTGTAGAAACAGGGTCTCACTATGTTGCTCAGGCTGGTCTTCAACTCCTGAGCTCAAGCAATCCTCTCGTCTTGGTCTCCCAAAGTGCTGGAATTACAGGCGTGAGCCACTGTGCCTGGCTGAGGAAGGTCTTTTCTAGTTTTATGACATGAGGGGATCCTTTGAGGGGGTTCCTGGAAGGCTGCCTCGACTTCACTGCCCCTCCTTGGGCTTCCACGTTCTTATCTGTATATTGAGTATGGCAGGGGGAGAGATAAAAGGCTGGACTAGCTTAGTGATTCTCACCCGGAGTCCCAGAACCCTAGGGAACTCTCAAGATAGAATGGGTACCATGAGCTATATTAGGACTTCTAAATGCATAACAAGAATGCGTAAGCATTTGCTCAGGATGAAACTGTATGTGCTGATGGGCCAGGTATCTTTCTTTCAGGCTGGAACTCCATCACTCCCAAGGAACAGGGAAACGTTTGAATCAAGTCCACTCTACAGGAAGATAGGCCAGGGTTAGACCACAGTCAGTGATGTGCCTTTGAGCAAGTGACTGAGTCTCTTTTGGGTGTCAGTTTCCTCCTAAGTAAAATGGGAGTGATAAGACCCCACTCAGAGGTTTCTAGTGGCGATTGAATGAGCTAGCACATGTAAAGCACTTGGCACGTAGGCTGGCCCAGAGTCAGCCCTCTGCAAATGGTAGTTGCTATAATGATTAATGCAGAATAGGGAGTCTGAACATCTCATGCTAATCAAAAACTCTGATAGGAGCTATATATATATAGATAGATAGATTCATAATAGTAGGAAATAAATGAAGATTAATTATTTAAGGCAGCTTGTTTGGAAGACGATGTCTTTTTTCAAATAGGGATGGAGTCTCCCTTTGTTGCCCAGGCTGCAGCCTCGACCTCCTGAGCTCAAGCAATCCTCCCACCTCACCTGAGTATCTGGAGTACAGGTGCAAGCCACCACGCCCAGCTAATTTTTTTTTTAATTTTTGTTTTTTATAGAGACAGGGTCTCACTAGATTGCCCAGGATAACAACGTCTTTTAAAACATGAAACCTCTTGGATAGGAGAGTATTTAAGGTCAACTAAAAACAATAAAAAAAAAATTTAAAGAGAAGAAAACATGAGACCATACTTAGAAGTCACAAGAGCGAACTTCGTGGGACAAAGGCTGAGCCCTTGTGTCAGGTCCCTTCGAGCTGGAGTTCAATAAGAGACTAAGCTCTCCTACTTCTGGGTCTTGGCACAGTTCTCTCTTTTTGAACTGACTGATTAACTGATTGAGACAGGATCTCACTCTGTTAGCCCAGGTTGGAGTGCAGTGGCGAGAATATGATTCACTGTAGCCTCAACTTCCTGAGCTCAAGCAATCCTCCCAACTTAGCCTCCAGAGTAGCTGGGACCACAGGCGCCAGCCACCATGCCAGGCTAATTAAAAAAAAAATTTGTTTTTTAAGAGTCAGGGACTTGCCATGTTGCCCAGTCTGGTCTCAAACTTCTGGGTTCAAGCCATCCTCCCACCTTGGCCTTCCAAAGTGCTGGGATTACAGGTGTGAGCCACTGCACCCAGCCTGTTCTGTCTTTTTGGAATGACTTTCTCTCCCTTTTTTATCTAGTTGACTCCTAGACACTGCCTCCAGGAAGCCTTCTATGCTTGGCCCTTGGCTCCCTTGAGTCAGTGCCTTTCCGCAGCTTGCTGGATCAGTCCTTTGAAGGAACTTGCTATAGTGTGCAGTGTTTTCTTAGACCAGCAACTCTCACCCTTGACACCATCAGAATCACCAGAGGGGCTTGTTAGAACAGAGATTGCTGGCCACGGGCCCCAGAGTGTCTGATTCAGCAGGTCTGCAGTGGGTCCCGAGAATCTGTGCGTCTGCTCATTCACAGGAGATGCCAGGCCTCCTGACCCGGGGAACACACTTTGAGAACCGCTGGCTTAGACCACATGGTCTAGGACAGCAGGGATCTTGCCTATTTGTTCCCCCACTGCACCTCCAGCAGCACCTCACAGTCTCAGCCATTACATGGAAAGACAAAGTCAAATAACAAGACGTAATGTAGAAGATTTCCCAAGGCCTGTGTGCTGAGCACACAGGTCGGGCCCCGGCTGGAGGTGCGAACTGTCTCCGAGAGCGCCAGGTGAGTGCCCAGCGGGAGCAGAACGGGAATGGCAGGAGGCCCGTGCTCTGGGTCAGAGCGCCCTCTGGTGCCAACATCTCAGCTCTGCACCTGGAGCTGAAATTAGGTGACATCAAGGCAGACCCCAACCGACCTCCCAGCCCCTGGTTTTCCCCTCTCAGCCTCGTCCATGTCACCACCAGGAGTAACTTGCTAAAATCCAGCTCTGACCCTACTCGCCTTTGCCCTTCTCCCAGCTTAAGCCCCGCACTTGGCTCTCCACTGCCTTCTGGACAAACCTCAGCATTCAAGGTCCTTGGCTGTCCTCTGGTGACTCTGTTGCTTTCTGTCCTTCAGTATCCTGTGGCTCTCCTCAGGCACTCTTTAATTTGTCCACACCAGGCAGGTCATGGACTTTATGCCTTCTTACAAGCTATTCCTAACAGGACTGCAACCCCACCTTCTCCTCCAGAGAAACTGATCCTTTTTAATGTCAAATGTGGCCTCTTCTGTGAAGCCTTCCTGGATTCTCCCAGGCAGAAGCGATTGTTTCTTCCATTGTGTCTGTATAGCCTAGTGCACAGGCCACTGCGGAGTGGGGTCTGGGTCCTCCTTGAGACCATGAGCTCCTTCGGGCTCCTGACTCAGCTTTGGTGTATCAATAAATGCTGGAATCTACAAAGCTGTTTTCCCTCTTCAAAGCTAAAACCCACTGTCTACTACCTAAGTCTGCATAGATCCTTAGATATTCAATCATTTATTCAACCAGCAAATATACTTGAGGCCTTTCTTCTTCTTCTTCTTTTTTTTTTTTGAGACGGAGTCTCGCTCTGTCGCCCAGGCTGGAGTGCAATGGCGCTATCTCGGCTCACTGCAAGCTCCGCCTCCTGGGTTCATGCCATTCTCCTGCCTCAGCCTCCCCAGCAGCTGGGACTACAGGCACCCACCACCACGCCCGGCTAATTTTTTTTTTTTTTTTGTATTTTTAGTAGAGACGGGGTTTCACCGTGTTAGCCAGGATGGTCTCGATCTCCTGACCTCGTGATCCACCTGCCTCGGCCTCCCAAAGTGCTGGGATTACAGGCGTGAGCCACCGCGCCCAGCCTCTTCTTTTTTTTTTTTTTTTTGATGGAGTTTCAAGCCCAGGCTGGAGTGCAATTGCATGATCTCAGCTCACTGCAACCTCTGCCTCCAGGGTTCAAGCGATTCTCCTGCCTCAGCCTCCCGAGTAGCTGGGATTACAGGCATGTGCCACCATGCCTGGCTAATTTTGTATTTTTAATAGAGACGGGGTTTCTCTATGTTGGTCAGGCTGGTCTCGAACTCCTGACCTCAGGTGATCCGTCTACCTCGGCCTCCCAAAGTGCTGGGATTATACGCATGAGCCACCACACCCGGACAAGGCCTTTCTTCTGGCAGGCATTAATCAATTCCAGTGCAGGGGATACAGAGGAGAATAAAACAAGACGAAGTTCCTGGCCTCTGAGCTTATATTATGGTAGGAGAGAATGACAATAAACAAAATACTGTGTATTAAATACTGTTAAGCCAAGCTGTGCTAAATTGCATAGAGAAATTAAGCAGGGTAAAGGATAGAAGTTGATGGAGTGGTTCTATTTCAGGCAGTGTGGTTAAGAAAATACTCACTGATGGCCGGGCGCAGTGGCTCACACCTGTTATCCCAGCACTCTGGGAGGCCGACGCGGGTGGATCATGAGGTCAAGAGTTCGAGACCAGCCTGGGCAACATGGTGAAACCCTTTCTCTACTAAAAATACACAAATAAGCTGGGCATGGTGGCACACACCTGTAATCCCAGCTACTCAGGAGGCTGAGGCAGGAGAATCACATGAATCCCGGAGGTGGAGGTTGCAGTGAACCAAGATAGGGTCACTGCAATCTAGCCTGGGCGACAAATCGAGACTCGTCTAAAAAAAAAAAGGAAAAAAGAAAATACTCACTGATAAGGTGGCATTTGAGCAAAGACACAAACAAAGTGCAGATGTGAACCGTGCATGTGTCTGGGGGGAGGTATTCCTGCAGCGTGCAAAGTCCCTGTGATAGGAACGTGCTTAGCATGCTCTAGAAACTGCAAGTTGGCTGGTGTTTTAGGTCAGGCGATCTGGAAGCAGACTCTGAGAGGATTCCTGTATAAGTGATTGATTAGTGCTCCCTTAGGGGTAGGGTGGGGAATAACCAGCAAGGGTGTAGGGGAAGCAGGGCAGGGAAGAGGAGGAAGCCAAGCAAGCGTGTGATTTCATGCGAAATCCGGAGGAAGGTAGTCTCACCCTGATCCCACGGGGGTGGGGCGGGGTGGGGTAAGGTAGAGTCGGGTAGGAAGGGGAGCTCTGGCATATAAGTTACACCTCAGTGTTTGTTCCAACCTAAGGCAAGGTTGCTGAGACTTTCAAACTCTCCTCCCATTAACATCTGGCTAGGGTCATCCCAGGGAGCTTTTTCAAGTAAATTCTCAGGCACTTCCTCTGGGCAAAGTGGGCTCCAGTAGCGCCCTATCCAAAGAGCCATAGGTACTAGGTACTAGGTGTTGGGTACTAAGTACTAAATGTTAAGAGAAAAAGCTTAGCAAAGTTGGGGGCACACACAACATGAAGGAAAAGGGGATCTTAAAAGGATCTGGGTAAAATGCTAACAGTACCTGTGAAAGTCAGTGAGGTAGAAGAACAGAAGTCAGAGTAGAATCGTAAGAGAAGAGATAGTCAGCTGAGGCCAGATCAGGTAAATCAATATCTGATTTCACTCAAATAGGCAATGTGCTGAGCTAAAAAATCCACAGCTCTCCTTGCATCTAGGGGCGGCCAGTTCCACATACTCAAATGTCGATAAAAGTCAGCTGGAGGCACCTAAGAAAGCATTCATTTCCTGATAGAGGCACCACATTTTCTTCCTTGCCACTCCCTTCTTTTTGCCTGGAATGTGAACCCGAGGCTGGGGGTAAAGCAGTCATCTTGTAACCATGAGGTCACAGTGAGGCAAATGTGAGAGTAAAAGCTTTGTACTAAGCATGGTGGAGGGGCCTGAGACCCTGGTGATGTTGCAGAGAGGCTGCACTAGCCTGGGACGCCTGTCTCTAGACTTAATATCTTTTTTTGAAAGTTAACAAATCCCTATTCGATGAAGTCTGGCTTTCTGTTACATGCCAGTGGGCATCATCCCTAACCAATACTTCCTCCAAAGAGTTATAGATCTACACAGCCTCCTACATTCTGTGAGAGCACTTGTTCCCACTCAAATGCGCTGGACGTTATAAAGCTTTTTCCAGTTTGCCAATCTTCCACGTGACAAATCCTATCTTGTTTTCTTTCGGTTTTTGTTGTTTTGAGACGGCGTCTCACTCTGTTGCCCCGGCTGGAGTGCAATGGCGCGATCTCGGCTCACTGCAACCTCCGCCTCCCGGGTTCAAGCCATTCTCCTGCCTCAGCCTCTCAAATAGCTGGGATTACAGGCGCGCGCCACCACGCCCGGCTAATTGTTGTATTTTCAGTAGAGACGGGGTTTCACCATGTTGGTCAGGCTGGTCTCAAACTCCTGACCTCAGGTGTCACCACCCGCCTCGGCCTCCCAAAGTGCTGGGATTACAGGCATAAGCCACCACACCCGGCCTATCTTGTTTTATTGTGAATATGAGTTATGAGTGAGGTTGAGTATTTTTATATGTTTTTTGTGCATTTGTGTTTACGTGAAACTACATGTTTCTGTGCCTTGCCCACTTCCATTTGAAGGCCAAAAAAAAAAAAAAAAAAAAATCACAGCGGGCACTGGCATCTTAAGGGTTCTGAGAATTCCTGCAGCATGCAATGTGCATTTTAACTTTAGCATGGAATTCTCCAAAATTATTTGACCACATAACATATTTTGTCTTGGAAACCCTATTTCTATTAGTTAGGACTGAGCTTTCTAACTGGCATGCCATAAATGAGCCACAAGCATGTTGACCTATTCAACTACTCAAAATTTGACAAGAGCCAAAACATATTTGAACACTGTTAGATAGCTTCCTCTATGAACTTCCTGAATTAGGTAATAATTATTTTGGTGGTTAAGATTTTATTCAAAGCACTTGCCGCCAGAAAGACTTTGTCATGGCCACATTGTCCCACACTCCACAGAATAGTCTGACTATGATCCTAGTCATGATTTGTTTATCTGTTTATCAGCTGCAACTGATAAATTCTTCTTTATTTTGCAAGTACATATAAAATATTGGCTTTTCTTTAACTTAATAATTTTCTCTTATTTTTCTAACATAAAAGTATGGATATTATTATTTAATGTTATGTGTTTCCCTATAGAAAATGAGTTATTTTGGGCAGGGCATGGTGGTGCACGCCTGTAATCCCAGCACTTTGGGAGGCCGAGGCAGGCAAATCACGAGGTCAGGTGTTTGAGACCAGCCTGCCCAACACGGTGAAACCACATCTCTACTAAAAATACAAATATTAGCAGGGCATGGTAGCACACACATGTAGTCCCAGCTACTTAGGAGGCTGAGGCAGGAAAATTGCTTGAACCCAGGAGGTGGAGGTTGCAGTGAGCCAAGATCACACCACTGCACTCCAGCCTGGGCAACAGAGCAAGACTCTGTCTCAAAAAAAAAAAAAGAAAGAAAGAAAAGAAAATGAGTTATGTTGTTAATTTTCTCAATTGCTGTTTCTTGATTGGGGGAGTGTCTGTTCATTTTTAATGTTAACAATGAATACAGTTTGTTTTTTATTTTTTTATTTTTTTTGAGATGGAGTCTGGCTCTGTCACCCAGGCTGGAGTGCAGTGGCATGATCTCAGCTCACTGCAGCTTCCACCTCCCGGGTTCAAGTGATTCTCCTGCCACAGCCTCTCAAGTAGCTGGAATTACAGGCATGCACCACAATGCCCAGCTAATTTTTGTATTTTTAGTAGAGTCAGAGTTTGGCCATGTTGACCAGGCTGGTCTCGAACTTCTGACCTCAAGTGATCTGCCTGCCTCGGCCTCTCAAAGTGCTGGGATTACAGGTGTGAACCACCGCGCCTGGACGCCTACAGTTTGATTCTTGATGGAATTTCAGGATGAGTTATTGTTTGCTTTTAAAAATGAAAAAATGGGGCCGGGCGCGGTGGCTCACGCCTGTAATCCCAGCACTTTGGGAGGCCGAGGCGGGTGGATCACGAGGTCAGGAGGTCGAGACCATCCTGGCTAATACGGTGAAACCCCGTCTCTACTAAAAATACAAAAAAAAATTAGCCGGGCGTGGTAGCGGGCGCCTGTAGTCCCAGCTACTCGGGAGGTTGAGGCAGGAGAATGGCGTGAACCCGGGAGGCGGAGCTTGCAGTGAGCCAAGATAGCGCCACTGCAGTCCAGCCTGGGCAAAAGAGCGAGACTCCGTCTCAAAAAAAAAAAAAAAAGAAAAGAAAAAATGGTCTGGGTGTGGGGGCTCACGCCTGTAATCCCAGCACTTTGGGAGGCCGAGGTGGGCAGATCACTTGAGCCTAGGAGCTGGAGACTAGCCTGGGCAACATGATGAAACCCTGTCTCCACCAAAAAATACAAAAATTAGCCAGGTGTGGTGGTGCACACCTGTAGTCCCAGCTCCTCAGGAGGCTGAGGCGGGAAGATCATTTCAGCCTGGAAAGTGGGGGCTGCAGTGAGCTGTGATTGCACCACTGCACTCCAGCCTGGGCAATGGGAATGAGACCCTGTTTCAAAAAAAAAAAAAGGTTTCTAAAGTTAACATATACCTACTCTGACCCAATGTTTCCAGTTCTAACTATTCATTCAATAGCAACAGGTGCATATGCCCACAAAAAGACATGTGCAAGCATGTGTGTAGCAGCTTTATTCATTACAGCCCCAAACTAGAAACAGCCCAAATGTTCAACAGGTGAATGAATAAAGAAATTGTGGTATATCCATACAATGGAATACTATTTAACAATAAAAAGAAATAAACTTTAGCCATAAGCAACAACAAAGATGGATTTCTCCAACATGATACTGAGAGAAAAAAGCCAAAAAAAAAAGAGTATGTACTATATGATTCCATTGGTGCAAAGTCCTAGAACAGGCAAATCCAACCCACAGTGATAAAAGCCAGATTAGTGGTTATGAGTGAAGAAGTTAAGTCACCTTGCGGAAGGATTGAAATTGTCTCTATTTGAATCTGATACTTTTTTTTTTAGCCAAAAAAAAAAAAAAATCTATAAC
The DNA here is from genome assembly GCF_000001405.40 of Homo sapiens. Lineage (NCBI taxonomy): Eukaryota > Metazoa > Chordata > Mammalia > Primates > Hominidae > Homo > Homo sapiens. The sequence goes on from NC_000001.11 coordinate 40,958,780, forward strand.
ATAGAGATGTGGTCTTGCTATGTTGCCTAGGCTGGTTTCAAACTCCTGGCCTCAAGCAATCCTCCTGCCTCGGCCTCACAAAGTGTTGGGATTGCAGGTGTGAGCTGCTGCGCCTGGCCTAAATGAGCATTTTGAATAGACTAAGATCTGTGTCCACAATGGATGAGTCTGTGTTTGCAGCAGGTGGCTACCACAACAAGGTATCAAGGTTTCACAAGATCGTTCCAAAAAATCCTGAGATTCAAGCAATACATTTTTTTTCTTTTTGAGACGGAGTCTTGCTCTGTCGCCCAGGCTGGAGTGCAGTGGTGTCATCTCAGCTCACTGCAACCTCCACCTCCCAGGCTCAAGCAGTTCTCCTGCCTCAGCCTCCTGAGTAGCTTGGATTGCAGGCGCGCGCCACCACCCTGACTAATTTTTGTATTTTAGTAGATACCGGGTGTCAGGCCTCTGAGCCCAAGCTAAGCCATCATATCCCCTGTGACCTGCACGTATACATCCAGATGGCCTGAAGCAACTGAGGAACCACAAAAGATGACATTCCACCATTGTGATCTGTTCCTGCCCCACCCTAACTGATCGATTGACTTTATGACAACACATCCTCCTAATGCACTTTGTGATATTCCTCCGCCCTTAAGAAGGTACTTTGTAATATTCTCCCCGCCCTTGAGAATATACTTTGTGAGATCCACCCCCTGACCACAAAAAATTGCTCCTAACTCCACTGCCTATCCCAAACTTATAAGAACTAATGATAATCCCACCACTCTTTGCTGACTCTTTTTTCAGACTCAGTCTGCCTGCACCCAGGTGAAATAAACAGCCCTGTTGCTCACACAAAGCCTGTTGGTGGACTGTCTTCACACAGACGCGCGTGACACGGGTTTTCACCATGTTGGCCAGGCTGGTCTCAAACTCCTGACCTCAGATGATCTGCCCGCCTTGGCCTCCCAAAGTGCTGGTATTACAGGCGTGAGCCACTGCGCCCAGCCGCAATACATTCTTTTTTTAAAAAATTTAACCAGAAGCCCAAACCTCACCACACATTCTTTTATTCACAGACATGCTATTGAATATAAAGGTTTCCTTAAAGATCTGAAATCCACAATAGATGATGTGATCAAAAATGGTGAATTAAATCCAAGCCTCTCAGCCCTGTATGTTTTCAACCTTGTGTGAAGAAATAAGACGATAAAAATTATTCTCTGCTGTTTCATACAGAAATGGGATGATCCTCCAAAGGAACAGTTTTGTCTAGAGTGTATGAGTTTAAGAAATAATAATTTAAAAATAAGGAGTTATGAGCTTAAAAAATAATAAAAATAAAATCAAAAAATTGTGAGTCACTCTCACTTTGCAGTATTTTTTTGTTTGTTTTGAGACAGCGTCTTGCTCTGTTACCCTAGGCTGGGTGAAAGTAGTATGATCATGGCTTACTGTAGCCTTGACCTACCAGGCTGAATTGATCCTTCCACTTCAGCCTCTGGAGTAGCTGGCACTACAGGTGCATACCACCATGCCAGGCTAATTTTTACTTTTTGTAGAGATGAGAGCTCCCTATGTTGCCCCGGATGGTCTTGAACTCCCAGCTTCAAGTGATCCTCCCACCTTGGCCTCCCACAGTGCTGGGATTATAGGTGTGAGCCACCACACCCAACCTACTTTGCAACTTCTTTGAAAGATAGTAATTGGCTTCAAAATCTGACGTACTTAATTGACATTTTTGACGCTCTGAATGATCCTAATCAAAAGTTTAAAATCATATGAAAGTCTATTTGTGCAGAAAAGGTTAACTGTCTGGAGTTCCCAAACCTTACACATGCCAAAGGTCTTCAGGACCCATCCCTTGACCAGCTCCTGGAAGATCACCTGTGAGCCCTTGGAATATCCTGCCGGATAAGAGTGCTTTCTTATGCTGAGGCCTTGAACAACACTTATCAATTTGACCTCTGGGGGTTGGAAACTGAGGAGCTAAGATCGGCCCTGCAGGTTCTGCATCCCTGTGTGACTGACCCTTAATTAAAAACACAGTGGGGTGTGGTGGCTCACGCCTGTAATCCCAGCACTTTGGGAGGCGGGTGGCGGGGGGGGGGGTTAATCGCTTGAGGTCAGGGGTTCAAGACCAGCCTGACCAACATGATGAAACCCCATCTCTCCCAAAAATACAAAAAATTAGCCAGGTGTGGTGGCACACACCTGTAATCCCAGTTATTCAGGAGGCTGAGGCAGGAGAATCGCTTGAACCAGGGAGGCGGAGGTTGCAATGAGCCAAGATCACGCCACTGCACTCCGGCCTGGGAGACAGAGCAAGACTCCATCTTAAAAATAAAAAATAAAAATAAATATGTAAAAATCCTAGACACCAAAGCTAGCTGAGATTCCCTGGTCAGCAACACTTCATCCATGTTTTCAAATATCATTGCTGGGAGAATTAGGTGCTATCTATGTGTCTCCACTGGAGGACAATGAGAACCTTGAGCCTGGTTTCTCCTGGACTTCTCCCAGGCACGTTTTCCCTTTATTATTTTATTTATTTATTTATGTTTTCAAGACAGAGTCTTGCTTTGTCGCCCAGGCTGGAGTGCAGTGGCGCGATCTCGGCTCACTGCAACCTCCACCTCCCTGGTTCAAGTGATTCTCCAGCCTCGGCCTCCTGAGTAGCTGGGATTACAGGTATATGCCACCACGCCCAGCTAACTTATGTATTTTTAGTAGAGACAGGGTTTTGCCATGTTGGCCAGGCTGGTCTCGAACTCCTGACCTCAAGTGATCCGCCTGCCTTGGCCTCCTAAAGTGCTGGGATTACAGGCGCGAGCCCAGCCCCTTTATGATTTTAATCTGTATCCATTCACTGTAATAAATTTAACCCACGAGTATAACAGCTTTTCTGAGCTCTGTGGGTCCTAACAAATCATTAAGCCTGAGGGTGGTCTTGGGAACCCCTCACACAATATTAATATGTGCCAACAGCATTTATGGATTTAAAGAATAAAATTCACCTTTGCAAAAGTGAAATTACAAATGGTTTACCAGTGAACCAAGCTGAAGTTATTATTTGAATCCTAAATAAAAAATTATTAAGGCTACTAGAGCAATATCTGCATATGGTTGAAAAAAAATTCATCATGATTTGAAAATACTTGACATGGAAAAAATGCTATTGTATTCTAAAGCCCTTTACATTATTACAAGAAACTTTGACAATACATCTTGTTGCTCTCAGCACTTTGGGAGACTGAAGCAGGTGGATCACCTAAGGTTAGGAGTTCGAGACCAGCCTGGCCAACATGACGAAACCCTGTCTCTACTAAAAATACAAAAATTAGCTGGGCATGGTGGTGTGCGCCTGTAGCCCCAGCTACTCAGGAGGCCAAGGCAGGAAAATCGCTTGAACCTGGGAGATGGAGGTTGCAGTGAGCTGAAATCGTGCCACTGCACTCCAGCTTGGGCGACAGAGCGAGAAACCATCTCAAAAAAAAAAAAGAGAAGAAAAAGCAGAGCTATTAGATTTAGACAACTTTTGCATGGTTAAAGTACAATTCAGAGGATCCTTATTTTATTAAGGACAAGAAAGGAGTTGTTTTTTGTTTGTTTGTTTTTGAGACGGAGTTTTGCTCTCATTGCCAAGGCTGGAGTGCAATGGCACCATCTAGGCTCACCGCAACCTCCACCTCCCAGGTTCAAGCAATTCTCCTGCCTCAGCTTCCAGAATAGCTGGGATTACAGGCACATACCCGGCTAATTTTGTATTTTTAGTAGAGACGGGGTTTCTCGGTTTCTCCATGTTGGTCAGGCTGATCTTGAGCTCCCGACCTCAGGTAATCCACCCGCCTTCACCTCTCAAAGTGCTGGGATTACAGGTGTGAGCCACCGTGCCCGGTCAAGAAAGGAGTTTTTGACTGAGGAAAATGGTAGATATCACTGTCCTTTGCAGCACCTACTTGTGCAGAGTTTCTTGTTGATGGTGATAATCATGAATTTGAATAGAGCATAATTAGAAAAACAAAATCAGGAATTTTGTAGCCATTTCAAGTAAAAAAAATCTAAGATAAAAAAAGCATGTTCATGGAAGAAAGCTGATTTCTCATATAAAATTTGAAAATACGTTATTTGGAAGTTGTATTCTAATTAAATGTTTACTCTCTTATTAAATGCTTTGTACTTTATTTCTTTTCATGGTTATATACTATAAAGAAAATGTAGGCCAGCCGCGGTGGCTCATGCCTGTAGTCCCAGCACTTTGGGAGGCCAAGGTGGGAGAATTGCTTGAGGCTAGGAGTTTGAGACCAGTCTGGCCAATATAGAGAGACTAGTCTCTTAAAAATATAAAGATAGAGGCTGGGCATAGTGGCTGATGCCTGTAATCTCAGCACTTTTGGAGGCTGAGGTGGGTGGATCACGAGGTCAAGAGAGCAAGACCAGCCTGGTCAACATGGTGAAACCCTGTCTCTAATGAAAATACAAAAATTAGCTGGATGTGGTGGCGTACGCCTGTCGTCCCAGCTACTTGGGAGGCTGAGGCAGGAGAATCGCTTGAACCCGGGAGGCAGAGGTTGCAGTGAGCCAAGATCACGCCACTGCACTCCAGCCTGGTGATAGAGCAAGACTCCATCTCAAAAAAAAAAAAAGACAGAAAATGTAATTAGTCTTTTCACCAAATCTTTTTTTTTTTAATTTTTATTATTATTTTTTGAGACAGAGTCTCACTCTGTCTTCCAGGCTGGAGTGCAGTGGCGCGATCTTGGCTCACTGTAACCCCCACCTCCCAGGTTCAAGTGATTCTCCTGCCTCAGCGTCCTGAGGAGCTGGGACTACAGACGCCCACCACCATGCCCGGCTAATTTTTGTATTTTTAGTAGAGACAGGGTTTCACCATATTGGCCATGGCTGGTCTCGAACTCCTGACCTTGTGATCCGCCCGCCTCAGCCTCCCAAAGTGCTGGAATTACAAGCGTGAGCCACCATGCCCGGCCTTTGCCAAATCTTTTATAGACATTCCCAAATCTTGAGTTTATCCTAATGTGCTGTATAAACACTACCATTTTCCACATGTCCCATGGTGTGAAAAATGTTGGAAAGCACTGAGTTAAAATAGTTTGATTGCTGTAAAAAGATTCAAGATAATGGTGGCTTAAAAATACAGAATTTATGGCCAGGTGCAGTGGTTCACACCTGTAATCCCAGCACTTTGGGAGGCCAAGGCGGGTGGATCACTTGAGGTCAGGAGTTCGAGACCAACCTGGCCAACGTGGTGAAACCTTGTCTCTACTAAAAATACAAAAAAAAAGAAAAAAAAAATTGTAGCTGGGCGGCCGGGCATGGTGTCTCACGCCTGTAATCCCTGCACTTTGGGAGGCTGAGGCGGGCAGATCACCCGAGGTCAGGAGTTTGAGACCAGCCTGGCCAACATGATGAAACCCTGTCTCTACTAAAAATAGAAAAAATTAGTGGGGCATGGCAGGCACCTGTAATCCCACCTACTCGGGAGGCTGAGGCAGAAGAATCACTTGAACCTGGGAGGCGGAGGTTGCAGTGTGCTGAGATTGCGCCACTGCACTCCAACCTGGACAACAACAGCGAAACTCTGTCTCAAAAAAAAAAAAAAAAAAAAAATTTAGCTGGGCGTGATGGTGCACGCCTGTAACCCTAGCTACTCTGGAGGCTGAGGCAGGAGAATCGCTTGAACCCAGGAAGTGGAGGTTGCAGTGAGGCAAGATCGTGCCACTGCACTCCAGCCTGGGTGACAGAGTGAGACTCCGTCTCAAAAAACAAAAAACATAACAGAATTTTATTTCCCTCTCAGGTCACAATACAACTGTTAAGTAGTCCCGGGATGAGGGCGTGTCTCTGTAGCTCATCACTAGAATGCATCCGCCCAGCAGAAGGCAAAAGAAACCATCATCTATCTAGTTTTAAGTACTTTTATTGTTGCATTTGACATGTATTGTTATTTCCCAGTTCCCAGACTAGAGGCTCTGGGGTCAGGTAGCATCTGTCATTAGACAGCTGAAAACAGCAGCAGTTTTGGAGACAGACAGATAGATGGAGGTTCAAACCCCATCTCTGCTGATTATAAGCTGGGGATTTGGGAAGGTGTTTATCCTTCCTAAGCCTCAGTTTCCTCATCCATGAAATGGAGAGGAGAGAAACAACCTTAAAGGGCTGTCAGGAGAATTAAACGATGGGCATAGGTAAAGCATCCAGGACTGCATCTGGCATACGGCATGTGCTCAAGGGAGCTGAGGCTTAATCTGTCTCCTGGGTGCCTGGCACAGAGTCTGGAACAGGTGGGCCTGCATTTGGGTTGGTGGAGATGAACAGAAGTGAATTGGGCTCAGGGAGGGATGTTAATTCCCTAGCTCATCAGGCCTGTCCTGTGGGAACAGCAGGCTCTGGCAGCCACAGAAAGCCAGAGGTGAAGATTTCAGGAATGGAATTGGACAGGGTGATGTGCCCTGGAGGACTGAGGACATGGGCAAGGAGATGACAGCCTCCGCCACACCAGCTAATTTAACTTATGTTTTGGGAGAGAAATCTCTGGCTAGACCCTAAATGGAATCTGGGATGGGGAGGGACTGTTATCAGAAGTGGGCTGTGGCAAGCAGAAAAGAGTGATTGTCCTCTAGGCCTGAGGTGGGGTCAGGCTGCAGTGGACTTCTACCTGTCTCAGCAAATCTATTCTCCATTCCTCCCACACCGATAGACTCGACCTCGGGAGGTGATCGCCCTGCTAGGGACTACATTTCATGGCCTCCCTGCGGCTAAGATGTGGCCCTCTGCCTAAATGTGACAGAAGGGGAGTGGAAAACTTCTCCGTTACTTGCTTCAGAGGAAATTGTCCTTCCTCTGCTTCCTTTCTCTCCTCATTCCTGCGGAGATGTAAACGCAGACATGGCAGGAACCCAGCCTTGACCACGCGGATGAGGACAGCGCCCTGAGGGAAGGCACAAGGGGCGGCAGTTTCTCTTCTGCCTGGAAGAAAGACCTAGGTGAGGGCTGCGGCAGCCCCTGAGAGTGAGCAGTAGCAAGGCTTGGTCTATCACTGGCTGTGGGTGCGGGACTCTGCCAACCAGAATGGGAAGCCCAGAAGCTGCCAGAGAAAGAAAGGCAAGTAGCAGATCTACAACCTGGAAGGATTGGAAATTTAACATGACAGTTACAAGTGGAAACGTGGATGGTGTTTTAGTTGGGATATGCATTCAGCCGAAAAAACAGAGACCCAGACTTGCAGTAGCTTAAGCAAGGTAGAAATTATTTCTCTCTTGCCCAAGTGTCCACGCGTGAGCAGAGTCTGGGTCTGGTATGGTTGCTCCTTGGTGGCAGGGCCTGAGCTGCTTCTGTCTTGTTGCTTGTGTTGGTCCAAGTTTTATTTTCCACTTGGTTAAGCAGGAACTATATTTGTCAGAAGCTCCCTCCCTATGTAGTGGGATCTGGCCCACAGAGGAACTGGGATGAGAATGGGGAGGTGGAAGTGAAGGAACGGCCATTGTTTCCTGAAGGGGAGATTTGGTGACAGACAGATGCAGAGGTGTTTGGTGGGCTCCAGCTTGTCCTTACTTTCCTCTGCCCCACATTCAGCACCTCTTTCCCAATTCTGGGCCTGCTGACCACAGTGGCCCCAGGCCTGCCACCAGAGGCTTGGACTCACTCAAGAGGTAGCTACATAGGGGCTACAGTTTCCCAAAGACCTCTCCACAAGCTCCCCCTTTCAGTGGCTGAACGTACCTGGCTTCTTAGATTTCCCAGCACGCTCCAATGTATCCACCATGATAGTTCTTCAGGATTGTGACTCACCCCATCTTTGATCCCCTATTTCCCCACTCCAGACCATAATCTCCTCAGCTGCGCAAAGTCTAATTCCTGTTATCAATCCTTCATCCCAGCCGTGTAAATCAAAGTGATCCTCAGTTTTCTCCACTGCTGGCTGGGGTTTTGGCTATTTATTTATTTAGTCTACTCAGTCTTCATTCATTCATCTAATTTCTTGCTTCCAGAAGTTTTACTCCTGTCACCTTTCCTGTTCTCCCTGCCTTTAGAGATCTATGTTTTTTTCAAACGTTGCTATAGTTTTAGTGAGGTTTCAGAGGGGAGGGAAATTCAATGTTTGTTCAGTCTACCATCTTAACCCAGAAGTCTTCTCAACACTCTGTCTTCCTTCGTATGCAATAGGCTGTTTGCTGTTGTTGGTTTTCTTTTAACTTTTTAAATTAAAAAAAAAATTTAAGGCAGGCGTGGTGGCTCACGCGTGTAATCCCAGCACTTTGGGAGGCCGAGGCGGGCAAATCACTTGAGGTCAGGAGTTCGAGACCACCCTGACCAACATGGAGAAACCCTGTCTCTACTAAAAATACAAAATTAGCTGGGCATGATGGCGCATGCCTGTAATCCCAGCTACTTGGGAGGCTGAGGCAGGAGAATCGCTTGAACCTGGGAGGCAGAGGTTGTGGTGAGCCGAGATCATGCCATTGCACTCCAGCCTGGGCAACAAGAGCGAAACTTTGTCTCAAAAAAAGAAAAAATTTAAATTTCTTTAGAGTTGCTCTTTTTCAGAGCCTTGCTCTGTTGCCCAGCCTGTAGTGCTGTGGTGCCATCACAGCTCACTGTAACTACAAACTCTTGGGCTCAAGCCATCCTTCTGCCTCAGCTTCCCAAGTACCCGAGACTACAGGACTACAGGCATGCACCACCATGCCTGGCTAATTTTTAGTGTTTTTGCAGAGACAGAGTCTTGCTATGTTGCCCAGGCTAGTCTTGAATTCCAGGCCTCAAGTGATCCTCTTACCTCAGCCTCCCAAAGTACTCGGATTACAAGTGAGAGTCACCAGGCCCAGTCTGTTTGCAGTTTCCTAAACAGACTGAGCCTCCTGCCTCTGTGACTCAGCACATGATCACCCCTCCCTCTATTGTACCCCCCAAACCCCTACCCTGCCAGCCTGGCCTCCCTTCTTCCCTATATTGATGCCTGCCGATCCTTAGAGACAGTTCTCTGGGAAGCTTTTTCTGGTGCTGTGGGTGTGTTAGGTGCCCTTTCTATGAGTCCTAAAGCACCCCACCACTTTCCTCCACTACTGTACTGCTCCTTTCTCAGTACTGTAATTGTCTTTGTAACCCTGGTGTCTGCAACAATGCCTGGAATATGAGCAATGCCAATAAATATTTGGTAAATGAATCAACGAAAAAGATACCCGTTCTGCAGACTCCTTTGCTTTGTTTGCATAATGAGAATCAGAGGAAGATAATGTTTACCTAAAAAGGAAGAGGATCTGGCATGCAGGAGGGAGAGAGGAAACATGTACAACTTAAAGGAGCCAAGTAAAATGTTGTGAATTTTACTATTCTTAAATGATTCTCAGCTGGGCGCAGTGACTCACACCTGTAATCCCAGCACTTTGGGAGACAGAGGCAGAGGCATGCGGATCACAAGGTCAGGAGCCTGGCCAATATAGTGAAACCCCGTCTCTACTAAAAATACAAAAATTAGCCAGGCGTGGTGGTATGCGCCTGTAGTTCCGGCTACTCGAGAGGCTGAGGCAGAATCACTTGAACCCGGGAGGCGAAGGTTGCAGTGAGCCAGGATTGTGCCACTGCACTCCAGCCTGGGCGACAGAGCGAGACTCCATCCCCCATCACCCCCCCAAAAAAGATTCTCAGAACTTTAATAGATGACCATACTATTCTAAGTTTAGCTGTAAAAAGAGCCTTGAGAAAACTAATCTATGGTATTCAAGGTCAAGGTAGTGTTTATGCTTGGGGAAGTGGTAATTGGAAGGGGAACTAGTAGGAGCATCTGGGTGTGGGCAATGTTCTGTTTCTTGGCCTGGGTACTGGTTCCATGAGTGTGGCTAAATACATAAAGATTCATCATGTTGTACACTTATGATTTTACACTTTTTGTATTTCTGTTATACTTCAAAAAAAGTTTACAAAATATAAAATTTTTTAAACGGCAAAACTACAGCATAAACCATTCCTAAACCTCTTTCTCCAGAACACATCATCTCCATCACATCATGCTTGTCAGTCTTTCCAGGTCTTTAAATCTCCAAACAGATGGGTGGGGTTTTTTTCATATCCTCTTGAGTTCAGATTAAATATATATTGAATGCAATTATTTTAAAAGGTTGGGTCATTTAAAAAACTCTCATTATGGGCTGGGCACAGTGGCTCACGCCTGTAATCCCAGCACTTTGGGAGGCTGAGGCGGGCGGATCACGAGGTCAGGAGATTGAGACCATCCTGGCTAACACGGTGAAACACCGTCTCTACTAAAAATACAAAAAATTAGCCAGGCATGGTGGCGGGCGCCTGTAGTCCCAGCTACTCGGGAGGCTGAGGCAGGAGAATGGCGTGAACCCGGGAGGCGGAGGTTGCAGTGAGCCAAGATCGAGCCACTGCTCTCCAGGCTGGGCGACAGAGCAAGACTCCGTCTCAAAACCAACCAACCAAACAAACAAACAAAAACCAAACCAAACAAACAAAAAAAACCCTCTCATTATGTACAACAGGAATCAAGGTGCTAATTATATAAACGTGGGAGTTGTTGGATACCCTATGAGTCCATATTTTCTCACAGATTTAAAAGGTGTTTTTCACATGATCATCGTACTCATGACAGGGGCATGAGTTGTTGCTCTTGGAGGCAGCAATATCTCTTAGATAGATCTTGGATACAGATATCTGGAGACCCAGAATTATAACTATTGAGTTTTAAAAATGTATTGTGGCTGGCCCTAGATTTTGAAATTATAACTATTGAGTTTTATGCACATATTATGGCTCCATTAAGGGCTTGCTGGATGAAAATCTTTCTGAAGATTTTCCAACCACAGTCTGGTTGGAAGCGGGTGGTGGAAGCTTGAAGCTCTGTTTGCATAATGAGTGCAGTTTTTATGTTGATTGTATGTTTGAGGTGGTTCTCCCAGGGCTTATGGAAGTTTTTTTTTGTTTTGTTTTTTTGAGACGGAGTCTCGCTGTTGCCCAGGCTGGAGTGCAGTGGCATGATCTCGGCTCACTACAGGCTCCCCTCCTGGGGTTCACGCCATTCTCCTGCCTCAGCCTCCCGCGTAGCTGGGACTAGAGGTGCCTGCCACCTCACCCGGCTAATTTTTTTTATTTTTAGTAGAGACGGGGTTTCACCGTGTTAGCCAGGATGGTCTCTATCTCCTGACCTCGTGGTCTGCCCGCCTTGGCCTCCCAAAGTGCTAGGATTACAGGCGTGAGCCACCACGCCCGGCCCGGCTTATGGAAGTTTTATGGAGGCTTTACCACCCCTTCTTGGGGCTACTGAAGCTGAAAAGGGGCAGTTCTTTCTTTTGATCTAGAAAGTGGCAAGTGCAGATCATCTCAATAAGATGTTTTAAATCTTGCGGCAAAGGAATAAAGAGACGGTTCTGGGCCGGGTGTAGTGGCTCATGCCTGTAATCCCAGCACTTTGGGAGGCCGAGGCGGGCGGATCACAAAGTCAGGAGATCGAGACCATCCTGGCCAACATGGTGAAACCCTGTGTCTACTAAAAATACAAAAAATTAGACGGGCATGGTGGTGCACACCTGTAGTCCCAGCTACTCAGGAGGCTGAGGTGGGGGAATCGCTTGAACCCACAAGGTGGAGATTGCAGTGAGCTGAGATCGCGCCATTGCACTCCAGCCTGGCTACAGAGTGAGACTCCGTCTCAAAAAAAAAAAAAAAAAAAAAAAGAGGCGGTTCTGGAGATCAGGTGAGGGGTACCTAATTAGCCAGAGAGGCTTGGAGGGGTTCTCACAGATGGGGTTGCTGAAACAAGTCTTGTTTGCCATGTGTTTTTGAACCCTAAAGTCAGAATATATGATCTAAAAAGTATTCATTTCCTTATTCTTTCTTTTCTTTTCTTCTTTCTTTTCTCTCTCTCCTTCTTTCTTTCTTTTTTTTGTCTTGCTCTATCACCCAGGCTGGAGTGCAGTAGTGTGATCATGGCTCACTACAGCGCTCAAGTGATCCCCCACCTCAGTCTCCCGAGTAGCTGGGACTACAGGCACTTGCCACCAGTCCTGGCTAATCTTTTTTAAAATGTTTTTGAAGAAATGAGGTCTCACTATGTTGTCCAGGCTGGTCTCAAACTCCTGGGCTCAAGCAATCCTCCTACTTAGGTCTCTCAAAGTGCTGGGATTACAGGCACTGTAAATGTGCCTAGCCCATTTATTTTCAGTAAGTCTCATAGGGGTACAATAACAAAATCACAGTTACATATGTACACATTTTATTAACAATAGCTACATTCCAAGAAATCAGAACTAGCTCACCAAATATGGGTTGTATGGTGATGTTAACTATGGTCTATTTTTCAACTAAGAATTCCTTCTTATGTTTGACAGCATATTTTAAAAAGTGGCTTTTTCTTTCTCTTTTTTTTTTCAGACAGAGTTTTGCTCTTGTTGCCCAGGCCGGAGTGCAATGGTGCGATCTCGGCTCACTGCAACCTCTGCCTCCCGGGTTCAAGCGATTCTCCTGCCTCAGCTTCCCGAGTAGCTTGGATTACAGGCATGCGCCATCATGCCCGGCTAATTTTGTATTTTTAGTAGAGACGGGGTTTCTCCATGTTGGTCAGGCTGGTCTCAAACTCCCGACCTCAGGTGATCTGCCCACCTCAGTCTCCCAAAGTGTTGGGATTACAGGCATGTAATCCTGTACCCGCCTAGCCATTTCTTTCTTTTACTACATTTTTCCCTTAAATGTGCTATTGAGGTACTCGTGTATAATTATACTGTATGTTCATATATAATAGTAATATACACTATTATAGGCCCTATATGAAACAGATGTCTCTGTCAGATTATTCTGACATTTCATCATGTTCCCTATAAAGGACATCAATTAGTTCTGAGGAGAATATGAATTTTACCCCCAAGCTCATCTGCTTGTTGACAGCCTTTCAATTTAACCTGATGTTCAGAGTAGCATCATTCCATGTATCTCTCAGAGTGTAGTATTTAATTCACTGCCCCTCAAATCTCCCCAGCAATCAGGTTGGAGAACAACAAAATCACATGCAGTGACACTGTCACCAGCCTTTATTGAAAGTCATCTTAGGCCGGGCATGTTGGCTCACGCCTGTAATCCCAGCTTTGGTAGGCTGAGGTTGGCAGATCACCTGAGGTCAGGAGTTCGAGACCAGCCTGGCCAACGTGGTGAAACCACGTCTCTACTAAAAATACAAAAAAATTAGCTGGTCATGGTGGTAGGTGTCTGCAATCCCAGCTACTCTGGAGGCTGAGGCAGGAGAATCACTTGAACTTGGCCTGGGAGGTGGAGGTTACAGTGAGCCAGGGTCATACCATTGCACTCCAGCCTTGGTGACAAGAGTGAAACTACGTCTCCAAAAAAAAAAAAAAAAAAAAAAAAAGGAAGTCATTCTAAGGAACAGGCCTGTGACCTTTGCCTGTATGTCTGCTGTATAAATGCTATTGAGACTTTTCATCCTTACATTGTATATCCTATATCCTCTCCATGAAGACTCACAGGGGGAACTGATTTCTGAGCTCAGTAGCAGAAATAATTGTCCTTTTAATTAATTCAATAAACATTTACTGAGCATCTACTACATGCAGCCATATGAGAGCTGCTGGGGATATACTCGTAAATGAAATACAGACTGGTGGGGAAGACAGAAAACAACTACCCAATTACTCCACCAATTGTTAGAATTTTGATAAATGCTGCTAGGAAAATTAGTGAGGACTTGGAGCTGGTAAAGGGACCTGGGGTCAATGAAGGGTTATTTGAGGAAGTGATATTCCTCCTGAGCAATTGTTGTATAGTCACATTGATCCTCTTCACTTTGGCTCCTAGGAAGTTAGTCAAATTTGTGACTCTCCTCTCGAAAGAGTTTGTGATCTAATTGAATTTCTGGACTCATTTATTTGTGTAACAAATGACTATTGTGTGCCACAAGCAGCTAGGCACTGGGCGTATCACAGAAAATCAGATAAACAGGTCCCCGACCTCACAGAGCTTGTAGACAAGTGGGAGATTTGGGCAAGGAAGTGGATTATTAAAATAAAATTTGTTCTTTTAAAAATGTATTGTGGGTACATAGTAGGTATATATATTTATGGGGTACGTGAGATACTTTGATAAAGGGATGCAATGTGTAACAGTTACATCATGGAGAATGGGGTATCCATCCCCTTAAGGATTTATCCTTTGTGTTACAAGCAATCCAATATTATTATTATTATTATTATTATTATTTTTTTTTTGAGACGGAGTCTCACTGTGTCGCCCAGGCTGGAGTGCAGTGGCGCGATCTCGGCTCACTGCAAGCTCCATCTCCCAATTTGTGCATGGCCTCATACATCATAGAGTGGTTTTGACTTTATCCCGAAGGTAATGGAGTGTCATTAAAATAGAAAATTCCTATTTTTCCTTTCCTTTGCCTCATTTTTTGCTCACATTTTGTAGACACACACACAAGTGACTTTAAATCCTTTCTTGAACAAAGTGGTTCACACCATTCTCCTGCCTCAGCCTCCCCAGTAGCTGGGACTACAGGCGCCCGCCACCACACCAGGCTAATTTTTTGTATTTTTAGTGGAGACGGGGTTTCACCGTGTTAGCCAGGATGGTCTCAATCTCCTGACCTTGTGATCCGCCTGCCTCGGCCTCCCAAAGTGCTGGGATTACAGGCGTGAGCCACGGCGCCCAGCCCAATTATACACTTTTAGTTATTTAAAATGTACAATTAAATTATTACTGACTATAGTCACCCTGTTGTGTTATCAAATACTAAGTCTTTTTTTTTTTTTGAGACAGGGTCTTACTCTGTCACCCAGGCTGGAGTGCTGTGACATGATCTTGGCTCACTGCAACCTCTGCCTCTGTGGCTCAAGTAATCCTCCCACCTCAGCCTCCCCAGTAGCTGGGACAACAGGCATGCACCACCAGGCTCAGCTAATTTTTTTGTACTTTTTGTAGAGATGGGGTTTTGCCATGTTGCCTGGGCTGGTCTGAACACCTGCACTCCATCAATCCACCCACCTCGGCCTCTCAAAGTGCTGGGACTACAGGCGTGAGCCACTGCACCCAATCTACTAAGTCTTATTCATTCTTTCTAACTATATATTTTTTGTACCCATTAACCACCACCTTCCCCTCTGCCTCCCTTAAAATATAATTTGGTAAGTGCTATGCTCTGGGACGTCCCAGCAGCAATAAAAGAATGGGAGAGAAGTGCTAACCCCAAATGAGGGAGAGAGTCTGCCCAAAAAAATTACTTTGGGGAAGTGAAGACCAAGTTGAGATGTGATGTGATGTTAGCAAGAAAAAGGCAGGAAGCAGGGGGGTAGGTGAGAGCCAGCAGAGGTCTATGCAACGATTCATATGTGGAAAAGAATACATGGCATGTTCAGAGAACTGAAAGAATCATTGTGGCTGGAGCATGGGGTGGGTGATGTGGCTAGAGAGGTAAACTGAGGCCAATTTTTGCATGGCCTCATACATCACAGTGTGGTTTTGACTTTATCCTGAAGGTAATGGAGTGTCATTAAGATGAAAAATTCCTATTCTTCCTTTCCTTTGCCTCATTTTTTGCTCACATTTTGTAGACACACACACAAGTGGCTTTAAATCCTTTCTTGAACAAAGTGAGGACATAAACCAACAAATTCACTAAATAACATAATTACAGCTAGCTCAAGTGATGAAAATCCAACATCATACAGTCATATTAAAATAACATACAGCCAAAAAGAATATCTACATATGCACAGAGTGTGCTTGAAGGATAAACCAGAAACTGGTAATAGTGGTTGCTTCTGGGAGGAAACTTGGGTGGCTGGGGAACAGGTATGGAAGGAGAGCTTTTACTGTGTATTCCTTTTTAACACTCGAATTTTACGCCATTTACATATCTATTAGAAACTAAATAAAACATAAATAGCCCCAATCTGGGAAAAAAACAACAAATCTATCACTAGTTGTAGGCTCCCTCCTGCCCCATTTCTCAACCAGATAATCCATTAGAATGCCAGACTAGAGTGACAGCGTATTCATATAAAAGTAGAAAGCTCGAGGAAGTCCTGGAGAAGAAAAAATAAGCAAGACTTGATGATGGGCAGAATGAGGGACAGAAACAGAAAGACAATCCAAAGCAAACCTTCGCGTGTGCTCTCAGGAAGGTGTTTACATGTGTTCAGTCTTGGCTCCATCGTCTGTAATATAGTAATAATGACAGCACTTGCATTATAGGGTAGTAGTGGGAGTTACAGATGCTAGATGCTGGTTACTAAAAGGTCCACAAGACGTACTTGATAAGGAAAGTGACACACAGAAAGGCTAAGTAACCTCAAAGAGATTCCAATCTGGTATGGAGGAGACAGATAAGTGAACAGGCAATCTCAGCAGGCTGTGATAAACGCCTCAGAGGAAGCACTGGGTGTGCCACGGAATGTGCGGGAGGCACCCTGTCTTAGCCTGGGTTCCCTAGGAAGAAAGCCGGAGGTAGGTTCTTGAGTCAGCGAGTGACTGAGGAATAACCTCAGGTGAAGACTGTGAGGGAGCGAGGGGAGCATGGGGCGGGGAAAAAGTGAGACAAAGATATGTGTTTAGCTCAGGAGTTGGCACATTTTGGCCTTCAGACCCAAGCTCTATTTCTGTAAAAGAGTATTTTGTGAACACAGCTATAGTTCTATTGAAATAAGTCACATTCATTTAATCGATATATTATCTATGGCTACTTTTGCACTATGAAGGCAGAGTTGAGTGATTGCAAGAGACCATATGGCCCACAAAGCCTAAAATACAGACTGGTTCTTTTCAGGAAGTTTGCCTCAGCCTGATCCCACGGGGAGCTCTAGAGCACCAATGGGATCATAGAGTTGGCCCACGTGTAGGCGAGGCGCCTGGCTCACCTCAGGACCTGGGCTTGGAAGAGAACTTGGGGTTCAGGACACATCCAGCCTGGGAACATCAATTTGGGAGTAGTCAGAATAAGGATTTTTTTTGTTTGTTTTGTTTTTTAGACGGAGTCTTGTTCTGTTGTCCAGGCTGGAGTGCAATGGTGCAATCTCAGCTCACTACAACCTCCGCCTCCAGGGTTCAAGTGATTCTCCTGCCTCAGCCTCCCGAGTAGCTGGGATTACAGGCCTGCGCCACCACACCCAGCTAATTTTTGTATTTTTAGTAGACGGGATTTCACCATGTTGGCCAGGCTGGTCTTGAACTCCTGACATTGTGATCCGCCCACCTCGGCCTCCTAAAGTGCTGAGATTACAGACGTGAGCCACTGCGTCTGGGCCAGATGGTTTTAATGACTAGATAATGACTTTAGAGAGAAGGGATCCTAGAACTGAGGCTTGGGGCAATGTTTATAGTTCAGGATAGAGGAAAAGGAAGAGGATCTAGGTAGGGAGATCTAGAAGGAGAAACCTGTGAAATAGGAAAAAATGAACAGCAAGTGGTTTCCTAGAAGCCAAGTAAAGGACACCCACCTTTTAAGGAGGAAATGATCAGCTGTGACAAATGCTCTTAGGGAAGTGGTCAGTTTGGGGGCAGCTCTGGGGCTGTATAGCTGCACCTAGGAGCCCAAAAGGAGACTGGGCCTATGGTGGGGGAGAGAAGCAGCCCAAATATGTAAATACATACACATGCGCACGTGCACACACACATATGCATTCATGCCATGCACATACAGCCACACTGTTGTCTATTTTTTTTTTTTTTTGAGACGGAGTCTCGCTCGTCGCCCAGGCTGAAGTGCAGTGGTGCAATCTTGGCTCACTGCAACCTCCGCCTCCCAGGTTCAAGTGATTCTCCTGCCTCAGCCTCCTGAGTAGCTGGGACTACAGGCGCCTGCCACCACGTCTGGCTAAGTTTTGTATTTTTAGTAGAGACGGGGTTTCACCATATTTGCAAACTGGTCTCGAACTCCTGACCTTGTGATCCACCCATCTCAGGCTCCCGAAGTGCTGGGATTACAGGCATGAGCCACTGCGCCCAGCCCACTGTTGTCTTTATTTGGGACTTACGGACATTAGAGATTGGAGTCTAGGCTGATGTACAAAGAAGAGGTCTGAGAACATGGAGGTTAATTTTTGACGAGATCAGTTTCAGTGAAATTATATGAGCAAAATATCCAGATTGGAATGAGTTCAAGAGAGGGAAGAAATTGAGACAGCAAAGTACAAACAACATTTTTTAGGAGTTGTGCTGAAAAGTGAAACAGAAATGGAGGGGGAGCTAGAGAATGGCATAGAGTCAGGAGAGGGGTTTTAAGATGGAACAAATTGCAGCATGTTTGCATCACGGTAGTGGAAAAGATCTACTAGACAGGGAAAGACTGATGACGCAGGAAGGGACATTCTACTAGACATTCTTGAGTTGATGAAAGGATATGGCACTTGCATACTAGACATTCTTTGAGTTGACAAATGGATATGGCACTTGGAGCAAAGAGGAGGTTGACCTCTGGGAGTGTGGGCAGTTTGTCCACAGTAACAGGAGACAACGCAGAGCTTGTGCGCAGATAAAAGTGGTTGGTGGATATGAAAAATCTACTGATGGCTTCTATTTTCTCGTGAAATGGGAAGCAAGACCACCAGCTGAGGAGAATATGGGGGAGGAGATGGAAGAGCTTTGAGGAAGAAGACAATGTCAAGTGGTCATTCAGAGGAGTGGTTGGGTGAATGGCTCATTTTTCCATCTCCCATAGCATCTTCATTACCTCAGCAAGTATGTTCTCAGCATCTGTTATGTTCCAGGCACTTTGATAAACATCAAATGCTTCTTGAAAGAAGATGTGGCTGTAGAGTACCTTCAAAGACAACCCAAACTTTTTTTTTTTTTTTTTGAGATAGAGTCTCACTCTGCCCAGGCTGGAGTGCAGTGGTGGGATCCTAGCTCCCATTGGCCTTGAATTCCTGGGTTCAAGCATTCCTCCAGCCTCAGGCTCTGGAGTAGCCAGGACTACAGATGCGTGCCACCATGCTCAGCTAATTTTTGTATTTTTTGTAGAGATGGGGTCTCACTATATTGCCTAGGCTGGTCTTGAACTCCTGGACTCAAGAAATCCTCCCACCCTGTGTCAGCCTCCCAAAGTGTCAGGATCACAAGTGTGAGCCACTATGCCTGGCATTCCAAACATTTTTTAGATTTGGAGCTGAATGCAGCATGGGCAGGTTGTCAGGGTTGAAGCACTGGTGATCCAGATCTGGAAGGAGCCAGAAGCCTCTAAAAGAGGCCACTGCAGGAGCCTCCTGACCTGGTTTCTGGGAATCCATCTGCTTCAATGATTTTCCTAAAACACAAATCTGATCCCATCACATCTTTTTTTTTAAAACTCCTTCAGTGAAGATAGTTAAGAACTTGTGGCAGACTGCTTCTAGAGAACAAAACAGGAACACTGGGGTACAGAAATAAGAGATTTACTTTTCATGGATACCCTTGTGTAGTGTTTGGGGAAAAATTATAACCATGTACATATATTCACTATTCAAAGGAAGGTCAAAAGCCTCTCAAAAGTTTCTACAGCTTTCCACTATCCCTAGGAGAAAGAGAAGCCTTTACTTGGTCTATAATGCTCTTCACCGTATGGCCCTACCCAACTCTTCAACCTAATCTCATGTTAATCTCGCTTCCTGTGGCCCTTGTGGACTTGGCTAGACTGGCCTTCCAATTCAGCTGTGCCGGCCTCTTTGGGCTTGTACACAGGCTTTTCCTTCTGCCTCACTTTTAAAAAAAAATTATTATTACTATTTTTATTTTATTTATTTATTCTTTGAGAAGGAGTCTCGCTCTGTCGCCCAGGCTGGAATGCAGTGGTGCAATCTTGGCTCACTGCAACCTCCACCTCCCAGGTTCAAGCTATTCTCCTGCCTCAGCCTCCTGAGTAGCTGGGACTACAGGCACCCACCACCACGCCCAGCTAATTTTTGTATTTTTAGTAGAGACGGGGTTTCACCATATTGGCGAGGCTGGTCTTGAACTCCTGACCTTGTGATCCGCCTGCCTCGGCCTCCCAAAATGTTGGGATTACAGGTGTGAGCCACTGCGCCCGGCCTACTATTATTATTTTTATAAGAAACGGGGTCTCGCTATGTTACCCAAGTTGGTCTCGAACTGTTGGGCTCAAGCATGTCTCACTTTCTTATCCCCGCCTCTCCCTTTCCCATCTTTGCCGTCTACTTAGGTCTCTGCTTCAAAGTTACTTTTTCAGGGCGGGCTTCCCGCCTGAATTCCCAATCACCACCGGACTTGGGTCAGTCCCCGCGCTGGGCACTCACTGCCCCGGCACCAGCATCTCTGCAGCAAGCACCCATAACAACCATAAAGTGTAATGAGCTGCTCAGTGTGCCTCCCTACATCGTTAGTCCGAGGAGAGGGTCCCTCGGTGCCCAGCACAGTGCGTGGCACAGTCGGTGCTCAGGGAGCGATAGCTAGATGAAACCGTACTTTTCGGGATCCTAGTCCATCCAAAGCAGCCGCCTTCGGGGCAGGTGTGGGGAGGAGGGAGGCCGACGAGGAGCCAACGCCGCGCGACCCTCCGCACTTCCGTCTTGGAGGCCAGGGTGGCGCTGCCGCCGTCCCTCGCCCGGAGGCAGAGATGCGCTGGCGCATCACCGCCAGGAGCCCACAGTGAAAGACCATCGGATGGAAGGCGACGCCCAGAACTCCAGGAGACCGCTGTGGGAGGACGCGAGGCCAGGTGACGAATAGGCCAGGCGTGAGTTCCCAAACAGCCTCCTCCCCTTCAAGAGAGTAAGCTTGGGCCACAGGCTGGGACGGAAGCAGAGGGGCAGACACGCCACCACCCGCCCGGCCTCGAACCTACGGCGGCACAGTTCAGCGGAGGCGGCCCAGCGGTCCTGTCCCGCGCCTGCGCACTCCAGGCCCCGCCCCGCCCCGCGCCCTCCAGGCCCGGCCCGCCCTCCAACCTCTGCGTGCGCACAGCCTAGAGCCCGCCTCCGTGAAAGACTGCCGGGCGCATGCGGTCGGGGTTGTTCACTGGCTGTCCGGGGCTCCGCGCGCGTCGCCGGCCCAGCTCTGTCGCTGACGGGAGGATCTGAAGCCGGCCGCAGGTAGGCTGACTCCAGGGATCCCGGGGGGGATCTGTTCTCCCGCGCAGGAGTCAGCGGCGCGAGCTGAGCCCGGCGCCGAATAGCCCCGCCGCCGCGGTGACGGACGTCGCTCCTACCAATCAGGGGCGAGGTGACTCGGCGTCCTGCCCAATGGGCTGTGTGCCTAACGGGAGTGGGGCGGGCGCCCCGGCCGGCGAGCTGCCGGCTCCCGCGCGCGGGCCTCGTGGCCGGGCGGCGCTGGGGAGAGGGGCCAAGCGGGGCGCGGGGCGGCTTCAGAGGCTGCGGGGCCTGCGCTGCCGCGCTGGGCCGCGCCGAATCAGCTCGGCCGGGCTCGTCGGACGGAGAAGGCCGTAGGGGAGTGGAGCGGCGCCCCCCCCCACACCCTCCGCCCTTGCTCTTCGTCTGCGAGGAAGCCCGGCAGTCGCCCATCCATTCAAGCAGTGCGGGCCTCGGGCCTCCGGCCTCGGCGCGGGCTCAGCCGCCCGGGGCTGGGCGCGGCAGCTCCGCGCCGTAGGACGAGGGGGCCTGCGAACTCGCCGGCCCTGGGCCCCGCGGCTGGCCTTTGGGCCTCACGGCTTCCTCCCTTCCCGGCGGCCGGGGGTCGGGGCGCTGGCGGTGTATAGAGCTCACCACGTTTGCGTGGCGCCCTTCCGTCCACGCTCGTTACAGTTTCGAATCCTCAGCGGCCCTGTGACGCGGGCGGCGCAGAGATTCTCACCCCCATTCCCCTAGGTGAGAACCCGCGTTGCAGGCAGCTCAAGTGACATGATTGAGGTCTGCACACTAGTGATGGGGGCTGGCACTTCATCTCATAACATTGAAAGAAAAAGCATTTCCCCCCTCAGTCTTTGTTGAATTTCTCTGATGCGTCTTGATTTACGTTACTTCTGTGCCGGAAAACCTTCTTGCGCCTTCCGTCACCTTCAGGATTAAGTTCAGATTGGGCATGCCAGTTTGCACATGATCTGGCCCTTGCCTACCTTTCCAGTTTATCTTCCACTGTATATCCCTGCTTCCCCGCCTTCCCCCTCACGGCCTTACCTCTGTTCTCTGTAGCTGCCCTGCACCTGCCTGTTCACCCTGTTCCCTTTCCTGTGCTCTGAGTCGTGCAGTCAGTCCTTCAAGGCCCATTGCAAGTCATATCTACAAAACAGGAGCCGCCTGGATCCGCCCACTACCCCCAGGACTTGTCTCACCTTCCTCTGATGGCCATGGTACTGAAAGCGTCTGCTCTCATCGTCCCCCTTTATAGTCTAAACATGTTTTCTGTCTGCTTCCACCGTCACTGAATTACTCATTTATTTGTTAATGTTTCATCTCTCCAACTGGACTGCCAGAAAGTTGAGATATGGGCCCAAATCTGATTAATGTTTGCAGTCCCCAAGCACAGTAGCTGTCATGTAAGTCAGTAGCCCATAAGGATGAATGAATGAGCCTCCCGCCTGATCTTTATGTACACTGGCATATGTATTGCCAGGCACTGAGACTGCAAGAATCTAAAGAGAGAAACTAAAGAACGTAAAGAGAGATGTTAAACTCTTAGAGTAAAATTGGGACAAATCAAATGTAATTGGATGAGATGAATCTTTTGTAGAAGTAACTCACTCGGTGGCAGAGGAATTTCTAGGATCATCCAAAACTTAGGGAGACCAGGGTATAGTCTCAGTAAGGTATATGTCTGGTTAGAACATATCTAAAATGTACCTAAGACTGATTTTCATGTGTCAATAAGGAACTGTAAAGTGAGAGACTTAGGGTCAGATAAGCTTGGAGACACCGCATACTGTATAGCAGTGATCACAGTGCGAGTTTACTTGCTAAACACTCCCAGGATTCTTGCGTTAAATGACTTGGTTTAATCAGCGTTTCTCTGATTTATATCCATAACACCCTTTTTGAGAATCCCATGTGCATTTTGTTGAAACCAGGGAGCATGCTTTTGGAAATGCTGCAGCAGAGGATGCAAAGAGCCTTTGGAGCGGGGAAGACTTCTGAGCATTCTTCCTTCCCTGCCAAGTGTGTTCTTTCTTGCTCTGGGGAGGGGGTGGGGCGGGGGAATGCTTCGAGCACAACTCCTTAGTTTTCTTGTTCCTTAGTTTATTTTTATCATAATTTGGCTTCACATGGAACGTTCCTGAGGAGGAAAATGTCCTGACCATGCCAAAGTAAGCATTTTCTGCTACTTTCTAATTGTGTTTTTCATTTTGGTCACATTTGGGTTTGCTGACCAAATGGACGATCCTGGACCTCTGAAGCTGGGGACCAGTGATAAATCCTCCGTGGTGAGCCTGTCACGGTCTCCTCACCTCTTGTCGATGCTGTTTTCACCTGCATCTTGACTCTGCTGCCCTTATATCTTATTTCTCCTTTCCCTGCCACCGTGGCACTGCTTTTTGGATTTAATCTCATCTCCCCTCTCTTTGAGTCCTCTGCCCGTCATGTGCTTCAGACTGGTTTCTTATCTGATGTCCCTCTCCCCCAGTATTTACAGTCTCTCTTCATTGCATGCCTGGGAGAGATTTCTGACAAGGAGCAAGTTGTTGTTAAATTATAGAAGAGAACTACTTTTTCTTTTTTTTTGAGGTAGTCTTATTCTGTCGCGCACGCTGGAGTGCAGTGGCATGATCCCAGCTCACTGCAACCTCTGTCTCCTGGGTTCAAGCGATTCTCCTGCCTCAGTCTCCTGAGTAACTGGGACTACAGGCGTGCGCCATCACAGCCGGCTAATTTTTGTATTTTTAGTAGAGATGCGGTTTCCCCATATTGGCCAGGCTGGTCTCGAACTCCTGACCTCAAGTGATCCTCCTGGCTCTGCCTCCCAAAGTGCTGGGATTACAGGCATGAGCCACCATGCCCAGCCAGAGAACTACTTTTAATTAAAGGAATTTTGGTTTAGCTGCAACCACTTTTAAATGTTGATGTTCTTTCCTTTTAGTCTATCTTTTGTAACCTAGAGGAGCTGTGTTTTCTTGATGATATGTTGTAGTTTAGCCAAAGACATTATTTATTTCCTGGAGAACTGGAGTACTTATCCAAGTTTGAATTTTTTTCCCATGTAGGGAAAATAATGAGGCACCTGCCTGGTATCCCAGTGTCTGGCAGTGATGTCAGCAAACATTTGGGGTGTAGTGTTCTATCAGCCAGCTTAGAGCTGGTTTTATTAGGTTGACTCTGAAGGTTATTAGTTGTCAAAGCTTTAAACAAAAGCTGTGTTATTAGAGTAGCAGTTGTTTTTCTACACGTATTTGACTAAAGCCATTCAGTGATCCAAGAAATGTTTGTTTTGATCCTATTTAAACCTGACGAGAACCTTCTGAAGTCCTGTGACAGAGAAACTGAGGCTTCAAGAGGGTTCATAGCTAATAATTGGCAGAGCCAGTGTTTGAACCCAGATGAGTTTGGTTTGTTGAGATACATTTATATCATCTGTAATTTTTCCTTCTTCCAGGTCAAAGAGTAAAATGAAGTACATTCTGGTTACTGGTGGTGTTATATCAGGAATTGGAAAAGGAATCATTGCCAGCAGTGTGGGCACAATACTCAAGTCATGTGGTTTACATGTAACTTCAATCAAAATTGACCCCTACATTAACATTGATGCAGGAACATTCTCTCCTTATGAGCATGGTAAGCACAGTGGATTTCTTCATAATAATTGCATGTGGCAGAACATGTCAGCACTTGGGAATTATGTGCACGGTTTGCATAACTTTTATTTTCTGCCTTCTAACAGGTCCCTTAATACAGCAGAATGATACTTTTCTCACCTAGAAAGGAAGAAGCAGAATTCTTTTTTTTTTTTTTTTTCTTTGAGACAGGATCCCACTCTGTCCCTCAGGCTGGAGTGTAGTGGTGTGATCATGGCTCGCTGCAGCTTCCACCTCCTTGGCTCAAGCGATCCTCTCACCTCAGCCTCCTGAGTAGCTGGGACTACAGGTGTAAATCACCATGCCTGGCTAATTTCTAAATTTTTTGTACAGGTGGGGTTCCACTGTGTTGTCCAGGCTGGTCTTGGGTCCTCCCACCTGTAATCCCAAAGTGCTGGGTTTTATAGGTGTGAGCCACCATGCCCGACTGCCTTTTACTTCTTTGTTGTTATTGAGAACCTGTCAATGGTGTGACATACAGCTGTGGCTGTTACTTCAAAGATTAATTGCTTAAAACTGGGAGAGATGTTAAAACATACCTCTTAAGTTTTAAAATTCTGCATTCGTACTCCTACTCTCTAGCGTTGAGGTGAAAATATGCAAGCATTAAATGTCACTAGTGCAGAAATCCTCGTAACAAATGGCATCAGGAAAAGATCCATATACCTGAGTGATATTTAATACAGAATTCTTGAGCAGAGGATGAGTTATCTCTCTGAGGGAGAAAATGAGACTTTTTTTCCTTTCCTGTGTTTGAGCTTGTCTCCTATTGTGATGGTAGGAATGAATCATTCTGGGCAAAATTTCTAGAGTGAAGTTTCATGGAATGAATGTGCAACAAAAGAATGGGGTAAATATGTGCAGTTTCACAAAGTTGTTTAGAACAAAAGCAGAGCTCGGAAGCTGATTTTTATAATCAGCACAAGCTTAATATGCATATATCCAGGTTTTGAATCAAATATTGTTATCATACTTTAAACCATATTATGCTCAATTAGGAGACGTTTCTGAAGGTTCTTTTTCCCTAAGCAGCAGATGCTGTATACTACTGTAAAGTCCTGTATGCACAGCCCACTGGGCTGTCATTTCTTCCCATCCCATGCTATTTTATAACTCTTCTTAAGAATGAGTTTGTTGACAGGCTAGAAGTATGAGGTTACCTTTTAGAGAATAGCTGGTAATTTTTCTTTTTGTGTGTCATATTTAGTCTTCTAGAAGTGAATTTCTGTGCTTCCTATTACGTAATTGCACACCTTGTTAATGAGTGTTTTATTTCAGGATTGCAGTTGTGCCATGGTATAGGTATTTTTCACTTAACGTAAATGGTTTCTCTGTTCACTGCAGGTGAGGTTTTTGTGCTGGATGATGGTGGGGAAGTAGACCTTGACCTGGGTAACTATGAGCGGTTCCTTGACATCCGCCTCACCAAGGACAATAATCTGACCACTGGAAAGATATACCAGTATGTCATTAACAAGGAACGGAAAGGAGATTACTTGGGGAAAACTGTCCAAGGTAATACTGGATTTACCTTTAAAGCTTAAAAGTCTTAACCAGTTTAATTTCTTCTCCCTCCCACCTCTACACAGATGTGTAATTCCCTTTTGAGTACAGAAGTTTACATTGTATGTGATTTCAGCATGAAACTCTCAAGGTATTGTTACTGAAATATGCCTTCAGTTGAAAAATCAGAATTATATTGTTGTTTGCTAAAAAAAATAATTTGAAGAACTACTTCTTCGTTGAAGCTTGTCAATTCTGCTAAGGCAGCATGATACGAGTCCAGAGAGCTGTTGTTTTTACACAGTAATGAGTGTGAAAGTGGTAAAGGCAACTCGATTAGGGCATTAAGCCAGATGGCATGTATGTGTGCATCTGGGACTTACTATGTATAGAAGTGAGAAGGAAATGAACATCTATTGTGTATACTGGTTTCCAGGCCGTTCATCAGTGCCATATGGCCTAGGAGGAGCCTGAGAAGTGGGTTTCTGGGTCCTCCCAAGCTTTCACTGGCACAGCTTCGCTTACATCTATTTGCTGTTTTGGGGTTTTGTACAAACATTCATTTAAGGAAAATGTTTTGCTGCTTTAAAAAGGTGGGGATGGAAAACTACTGATCTAGTATAATGGCAGTGGCCCAAATTTGGAGAGGTTGCTGAAAAGTGGCTTTAATCTGAGTTATGAGAGCAGATCTGCTTTTGGCTTTAGACTTTACTGGCCTGAAAGCTGAGGGTCACACTGACAGCTGGCTCTGGTCTGGGGCTGCCCTGGCAAGATTCTGGGCTAATTGGGTCATGTTTGGATCTTAGCTTCCCCTCTCACCAGCTTTGTGAACATGGGCAAATTAACCTCTTCAAAATGTGGATTCCTTTTCTGTAAAATGGAGACAATAACAACACCTACCTCTCTAGGTTGTTAGGAAGATTAAAGAAACTAAAAGTCAGTGAAGTGTTTCCCTGACTTCCTGACACATAGAAAGGAATCAGTTAGGAATTAGAATGGTTTTGATCTTACAGTTTGCTGTTTATTTATTCATCATCCATCAAATTTGCATTGAATGCTCACTGCAGTCAGACCCTCACTGGTGCTGGTGATGCATGTGATGAGCAAGACCAGAGAAGTCATTGCCCACATGGAGGTTACCTGTGGGGGAGGCAAACAACAAACATGAAACAAAACGAGACGTCTGTCAGAAGCTGTGAAGAAACCAAGTGGAGTGAGGACAGAGTGACTGGGGAAAGCCACTTTGGGCAGGTGGTCGGGGAGTCTCCCAAGAGAGGCCATTTGAGCTGAGAGGCCAGTCACAGCGAGAGTGGAATGAGAAGTGCGGAGGCGCAGGGCTACGAAGGCGTGGTTGGTCCGGGAATGGAGGGGAGGCCGGCATAGCTAAGGCAGAGTGACTGAGGGAGATGGTCAGAGAGCGGGGGTGGTAGCCACAGCCAGGTTCTACCCAGTCGCTGGGCCGCAGCAAGAAGCTAGGAGTGTACTCGGAGGAGTGGGAAGCCACCGAAAAGTTGAAGTGTGGGAGTGATGAATTCTGACTTGAATTTTAAAAGATCACTTTGACGCCATGTGTGGAGTAGATAATGAATATTCTTCTGCGTGAGGCAAATGAATATCCTTGTGCATGAGGCATTGCTGTAACTGGAGTAACCTGGAGTTAAACAGTAATCTTCACCTTTTAGGAACTTGCCATCTGTGCCCAACAACTATGATTTTTGAAGTGTTGAGCAATTGCTGGCATTCTTTGAGCATTGACATGGCAGGCACTTTACCGAGCATTTTACAGGTGCTGTCTCACAAAATTTCCACAGCTTAACAGGTGGGGAAAACAAGCTTAAAATGGTTCTATAATTGGCCCAAAGATCCACAGCTAACGAGTCATGAGACTAAGGTTTGAATCCAGACATTCTGACCCCGGGTGCTGTGCTTCTAACCACTCTGCTGTGCTGTGCTGGCTCACTGCAGTGGATTGTCTACCCTTTGGTAAACTGGAAACATATGGAACAGGGTCCCAGAAGTCTCTTGTTCCTGGAAGTGCACTGAAGTGTAATGTGCCTACCTTCAGCTGTGAGCAATAGGGTTGGCTATACTGGTGTGTGGCCAAAAGGGTAGACTCTGCACAGGGGCACGTGCGCCTGTGTGGCTCAGGACACTGCTGTCAGCCTTGCTCTGTTGCAGGGCTTCCAGCAACAACTTAGACATCTGGCTGCAGGAAGTGTGAGCTCAGAGATTTGTTGAGGCCAGTTAAAGGGGGCCTCAAAAGTATTTTTATGACCCTATTGCTACTCTCTCCAGGCAAAGAGTGCTGCAGTTTGTTTTCACAGTAAGTGCATTTGTCTCAATCAATGTAGATGGACAAGCGTAAGTTCCCTGTTTGTTTTCTTTTTCCCAGTTGTCCCTCATATCACAGATGCAATCCAGGAGTGGGTGATGAGACAGGCGTTAATACCTGTAGATGAAGATGGCCTGGAACCTCAAGTGTGTGTTATTGAGGTTTGTATGATTCCTGCACATGTGAACAAGTGTACTCATCTCCTTAGTCAGCCATCAATAACTGATAAGACAGTTCCCAGTGGAGCCCTTGGCCTTCCTATCTCTGGTGCAGTATGTTGCAATGTGGCAGGTAAGGGCACAGTTAACAGTCATGTGGAATGGCCACGCAAGGGAAAACCGTAGTTTGCCCAGTGTTCCTTTTTTGTAGCATTTATGGTACAATCACTTAGTACTGATTGTCCCCATGAGTAGTGTGACACATTTTCATCTGTCTCTTGAGCAAGTCAGCAGATCTTTTGCTTTCGTCTGGCAAGAGCATTCGTCTCCGAATGAGCTTCATTTGGTTTCAGTATCTGTACTCCTGCTGTGCTGATCCTAGCTGTTGGATCTCAGTGTTCCTCAGATAACAGGAGACTCAAAAGTTCCAGCAGTTTGTTTATAACTAATACTTTTTTTTTGAGACAGGGTCTCACTCTGTCACCCAGGCTGGAGTCCAGTGCAGCAGTCATGGCTCACTGCAACCTTGACCTCCTGGGCTCAAGCAGTTCTCCTACCTTAGCCTCCCAAGTAGCTGGGACTACAGTGCGCACCACCATGCCCGGCTAGTTTTTGTACTTTTTTGGGAGAGGCAGGGTTTCGTCATTTTGCCCAGGATGGTCTCTAACTCCTGAACTCAAGCCATCTGCCTGCCTTGGCCTCCCAAAGTGTTAGGATTACAGATGTGAGCCACCGTGCCCAGCCAACTGATGCTTTTTCAGTACAAAAATTATTTATGGTTAACTAAGGAGATAAGATTTAGGTTTTTCTTTTTTTTTTTTTTTTACTTTGTCACTGTGATAGAGATAACATTCCTGGCACCTCTCTCATCTGACCTTTTTCTTGAAATGATGTGGAAAGTTCCATAATAACCTTTGGGAAGGATGAGCCTGTCCAAAAGAATAACCTTTTAGTACAAAGAGTTGTCTAATTCCTGTTAACTGTTAACTAACATTATACAGGGTTAGAGAGTCCGTGTTACATAATTACTGATACTGAATCAGGAAGACAGAACAGTTGTTAGAAAACTAAACTGCCAGAGAAGGGTTTAGTGCCTAACCTCTGAAACAACTTTGTTCTTCTAGCTTGGTGGAACCGTGGGGGACATAGAAAGCATGCCCTTTATTGAGGCCTTCCGTCAGTTCCAATTCAAGGTCAAAAGAGAGAACTTTTGTAACATCCACGTCAGTCTAGTTCCCCAGGTAAGTAAGACATTGAAAGTTTTACTTTGGGGGAGATGGAGAGGAGGGAGGAAAGGTAAACCGGAATGATTTTCACTCATTGTCTAGTAGTTTTCACTTGAGGTGCAGGAAGCAGAGAATAAAGAACTTTGTAAGTTTAAATTTGTTACAATCATACTTTTTTGAAAAGATCAAATAGAAAACATTTGAAAAATCAGGGCAGTTGCATTTGCAGATGTAGATTGGCCGTGTGCATTTGTCTTTACTATATGGTGGAACTAGAGTAAAGAGGCTGTTTTTAAAGACAAATCTTGTGGAGAGGAGTCAATAGTAACAAAAATTGGGAAGCCGGAAAGCAGATGGATGCATAGAACCGACTAAGCTGACCTTGAGTGCCGGATCTTAAGCCCGCAGCAGTGAAAGCAGAGAAGCAGCCCTGTTTGCCCTGCAGAACCCCAAAAGCTCAGGAGTGGGATGAGGGTGGGCCTCATGTAACTACTGCTTCAGAAGACTCAGACCCTGACATCTTTTTCCTACAGTGCACAGTTGGGCGTTAGCCTCCTCCCACCTTGGCAGAAGACTGGAGGCTTGTTCTCTGGGGAGGGTTCCTGGATGAGCAGACAGTAGGGACAGTTGAGGGCAGTAACACTGGACTACAAACATGGGGTTATGTGTAATGTTAACGCTGTTGACAGTCCTTGCCTTCTTCCACCATTTGGTTCCCAGAATCATCATGTTTAGGCTTGGCCATTCCACGTAGGAGGTTGTAAGATTGTCTTCTGGGGTATGGATAGCCCAGGATAAAAGACACTGGCTCTGGCGGCTCCCCATGAAATAAGCCAGCCAGATTTTCACCATGACAAGCCTACACACTCACACATAACTTATAGGTAGCATTTAAGCAGGCCTCCATACACTTGGAGAAAGCATCTGATAGGTAAGAGACCAAACAACAGAAAGAAAGAAACTTACAGGGAACTGAGGCGCTACAAGCAGAGGAAACTTTAAAAAAACACCAAAAAACCAAAAATGACCTGTCATTACTATTCTTAGAAAATTAGAAGGAGATAAGCTATATCCGTTAGGTAAGAACTGGATGCTATAAGAAAGAAACATTGAGAGAACAGAAAAGAATCCTTGGAAATTAAAAATTAGATAGCAGAAATGAAAAAGTTAAGAGAAAGTAAGTTGAGGAAATACCCAAGGAAGTACAGCAAAAAGACCAAGAGATAGAAAATAGGAGAGAAAAGGTAAAATTAGAGGACTGGCTCAGAAGTTCTAATGTCCAAATAATAGGAGTTCCAAAAAATAAGAACACAGAAATGGAGGTATAATCTGAACCCCAGGGGTCAGCAAATGATGGCCTATGGGCCACATGAACCTACCCCCCCGTATTTGGAAATCAAGTTTATGGAAATACAGCTGTGTCTGCTTGTTTATGTGCTGTCTGTGGCTGCTTTTGCTCTAGAACAGTAGAGTTGAATACTTGTGGCAGAGACTGTGTGGCCCACAAAACCTAAAATACTTACTATCAGGGCCTTTACAGAAAAAATTTTCTGACCCCTTATCTGAACAATTCAAGGAAATTTCTAGACATCAGTTTCTGGGTTGAAAGGGCCCCCTTGGTGCCTATCATATTGGATGACAGATGACCTACACCAAGGCATATTATTGTGAAGGTTCAGACTAATGGGGCAGAAGTTCTAAAAGGCTCTGAAGAGAAAAATCAAGAATCATTGTGCCACTGGACCCCTTAGCAACAATACTGGAAGCTAAAAGACATTGATGCTATTTCATTAAAAATTCTAGTGGAGGCTGAGCATGGTGGCTCACACCTGTTATCTCAGCAGTTTGGGAGGCAGAGGTGGGAGGACTGCTTGAGCCTATGAGTTTGAGACCAGCCTGGGCAATGTGACAAGAGCCTGTCTCGATTTAAAAAAAAAGAAAAAGTCCAACAGAAAATGATTTCCATCCTACAAGTCCATGTGTAACGTGTATCTGTTAAGTGTGAGAGAAGAATAAAGATGATTTAGTACAGAAAGGAAAAGTGTGGCACATGGTTTGGGAACAGTATTTAAATACTTAAAAAGTATGTAAACCCAAAAGAGGACTGCAGGCACAGGAAAGTGTCTAATGGGGGCAGGATCCTCATTTAACAGGGAAATCAATAGAAAATGCCTCCAAGTAAATGTGGAGAAGTAGCACACCAGCAAGATCAGTTAAGAGTTGAAGAGCGGTTGTTTCTAGGGATTGGAAAGGGGAGAGTGGGTGAGGGCCGATACTGCTTACAAGCTCGGTTAGAACCATTTGATTCTAAAATGCATGCATGTGTAACTTTGACAAACATAAAAGCTAAATTACACAAGTGACCAAATGATCTATTTCCTTATTAAAAGAGGTTCAAGGAAAAGTCATACTTGAAAATTCCTTATCAGAGGGAAACTAACTTTTTTTTTTTTTTCTTTTGTGAAATAGCCAAGTTCAACAGGGGAACAGAAGACTAAACCTACCCAGAATAGTGTTCGGGAACTTAGAGGACTTGGGCTTTCCCCAGATCTGGTAAGATTTCCTGATAGCTGGTTGCAGTGTAATCTTTTATGTCTAGTTAAGATCACTCTATCATGACAGACAAGACCTTTGTCTTGTTGGGTTGCTTTTGATAATTGATGATGGAGAAAATAGGATTAGTTCTTTGAACCGGGCTGTAGTTTGCAAGATGTTCATACTTAGAGCGTGTTAGGTCTTGTACTCCCCAGACCTTATTTTTCCTCTCAGTCTTTTTACTCTCATTTTTACTCCTACTTGGGAACACTAATGGAGGAAAATCCCAGAGCTCTTGTAGTTCATTAATGTATTCATTTGTACTGCCATTCTCTTATGTTTCTCCAGTTTGGCGTTTACGGATTTTAGCTTTGAAACGAGTCATAATATTTTTATGGATTATGTGCCTGGTGCTGAGAGTTAACGTTTTCGTTCATCTTAACAATGTGATGTCTGTTTTAATTTCAGTCAGGAGAAACCCCTACTTCTGTCATTTTTTCCTTCTGTCTAAGCCATCTTGTTCTCTACTGCTAGGTTGTATGCAGGTGCTCAAATCCACTTGACACATCAGTGAAGGAGAAAATATCAATGTTCTGCCATGTTGAGCCTGAACAAGTGAGTAGAAATTCCCATCTCTAATAAGTTGTTTTTTGCTTCTAATTGTCCTAAAGCCTCTTGATCAGTTTCGTGAGGCTTGTTATTTTCTAATTAGAGATAGTGGGCTGTTCCAGAAGAACCCATTGCCATCGGCCATTCCCTGCCTCTCCTGGTTCCCCAAACAACACCTGTGTCCCTCCTGCCTCTTCTCCGTGCCTCGTTGTACTTTGTGCTTCAGCCGGGTGGAGTATCTTTCGGTTCCCCTAGTACCCTCCACTCTCCCTATGATTGTACTTTTTCACTGGCTAATTTCTGTTAAGAACCCATGTCCCCCTCTTCCTGTTGGCTTGGCAGTCTCCTACTCACTCTCATCCTTCAGGTTCTAGCGAAGACATAGTGTTGTCTGAGAAGCTTTAACTGCCAAACCTCCTGGCCCTTGGCCTTCAGGGTTAACTGCGTCCTTCACTGGGCTCCTGTGTGGTGTCGCATGTATGCTGCTGATGGGCCCATCTTTCTGGTGTGTGTGTGTGTGTACATGTGTGGTGTGTATCTCCCTTCACAGACTCTAAGCTTCTGGAGGGCAAGGGCCACCTCATTCAACTTTCTGTTTCTGGTGCCTGGTGTCTAGGGTGTTGTAGGCTGTCACAGAGATCTTAGTGTTTTTGTTACTGTACCTATGATGCAGGAAATCCAAAATTTGGAACCTGTAATGTATCTAAGTGTGGTGCTTAGTATGGAAATTCTAGTGGTGATACATTGAGCATGTAGCTTTGGCCAGGTTTTAGATATTTCTGGCCTAGCAAGTGAAGGAAATTCAATTCTGTAGCAGAATAGGTTGTCATTAAAATTGTTCAATTTTTTTTTTTTTTTTTTTTTTAATTGAGACAGAGTCTCGCTGTGTCGCCCAGGCTGGAGTGCAGTGGCGCGATCTTTTTGGCTCACTGTGACCTCCACCTCCCAGGTTCAAGCGATTCTCCTACCTCAGCTTCCCGAGTAGCTTGGATTACAGGTGTGCACCACCACTCCTGGCTAATTTTTGTATTTTTAGTAGAGATGGGGTTTCATTATGTTGGCCAGGCTGGTCTCAAAGTCCTGACCTCAGGTGATCCACCTGCCTCAGCCTCCCAAAGTGCTGGGATTACAGGTGTGAGGGCGCCCGGCCTTAAAAATATTCACTATTAAAAATGTAACAAGTATTTCCACATTTAAGTTTAAGTTTCAGATTTTTTGCTTTTTTTTTGAGATGGAGTTTTCACTTTTTCATCCAGGCTGGAGTGAAGTGGAGCAATCTCAGCTCAGTGGAACCTCCACCTGCTGGGTTCAAGTGATTCTCCTGCCTCAGCCTCCCGAATAGCTGGGATTATAGGCACCTGCCACGATGCCGAGCTAATTTTTGTATTTTTAGTAGAAATGGTGTTTTGCCATGCGGGCCAAGTTGGTCTGGAACTCCTGACCTCAGGTGAGCCACCCGTCTTGGCCTCCCAAAGTGCTAGGATTACAGGTGTGAGCTACCACGCCTGGCCTTGCCTTTTTTTTTTAAGAGACAAGGTCTTGCTGTGTCACCCTGACTAGAGTGCAGTGGTGCTGTCACAGCTCACTGCAGCCTGGGCTTAAACAGCCCTCCTGCCTCAGCCTCCTGAGTAGCTAGTACCTTAGGCGGACGCTACCATGTTCAGCTGTTTTATTTTTTGTAGAGATGAGGTCTTGCTATGGTTGCCCAGGCTGGTCTTGAACTCTTTGGGCTCAGGCAGTCTTCTTGCTTCAGTCTTCCAAAATGTTGAGATTACAGGCGTGAGCCGGCAATGCCCAGCCTTACTTACTCTTTTAATTGGAATGTTTATCTTACTGAGTTGACTTGATATAGTCTGAATACAAGTCTTTCATCAGGTATGTGATTTTCACATATTTTCTCCCTATCTGTGCCTTGTCTTTTCATTTTCTTCTCTCTTTTTTTTTTTTTTTTTTTTTTGAGATGGAGTCTTGATCTGTTGCTCAGACTGTAGTGCAGTGGCATGATCTTGGCTCACTGCCATCTCTGTCTCCCGTGTTCAAGCGATTCTCCTGCCTCAGCCTCCTGAGTAGCTGGGGCTACAGGCATGCACCACCACACCTGGCTAATTTTTGTATTTTTAGTAGAGACGGGGTTTTGCCAAGTTGGCCAGGCTGGTTGCGAACTCCTGACCTCAGGTGATCTGCCTGCCTCGGCCTCCCAAAGTGCTGGGATTACAGGTGTGAGCCACCGCACCTGGCCTTCATTTTCTTAATAGTGTCTTTTAGAGCACAGACACTTTTAAATTTCGATGAAGTCCAATCTGTTTTTTTCTTTTATGGATTGTGCTTTCACTGTCGTGTCTAAGAACTCCTTGCTCTTAACCAAGGTCATGAAGATTTTCTTGTAAAAGTTAGTTTTAGGTCTTACATGATCCATTCTAGGTTAACTTTTGTGTGTAGTGTGAGGTAAGGGTTGAAATTTTTACATGTGGATATCTACTTGCCTCAGCCCCATTTGTTGAAAAGACTATCCTTGGATACTATTCTGTACTTTTTAAAAATAAAGGTACATTATAGATTTACTAATCTTCATAAAGTTGTTTAGACTTATTTATAGCTATTCATAATTTTTATTACTACCGTGTATTTTTAAAAATTATATTTTCTGATTAGATAATACCCCATGTGTAGGAGACCCTGCTGACCTCTGTCCATTCATCTACAGCCTAGCAACCTTACTAAAATTCTATTAGTACTGATTGTTTACCTGTAAATTCTTTTGGTTTTTATGGATAAGCAGTGATATTGTATGCATTATTCAGTGGCAACCGCTTCTTGTTTTCTGGTTCATTTTTTTTTCTTATCTAATGATAATGGCTAATATCTTCAGTACATCATTGAATAGAAGTACTGAAAGTGGCCATTCTGGCCTTGTTCTGGACTTTAAATAGTAAACATTAATATTAAACCATGTGATGTTTACTGTGGGTTTTTTATATTGCCAAATTTTCCCTAATCTTAATTTACCAATAATTTTTATTATGAATTTGGTTTTGAATTTTTATCAAGTCTACATCTACTGAGGGAATTGTTTTCCTCCTTAATCTGTTTTCTATTTATGTGGTGAATTCCACTGTTAAATTTCCTAACACAGTAGTTCTCAAACTTGACTGCACACTGGAATCACTTGGGGAGCTTTAAAAATACTGATGCCTGCCTCCTACCCCACAAGATCCTAATTCAAGTGGTCTGGGGTGCAGCATGGGCTTTTGACCTTTTATAAGCTCTGAATGATTCCAATATGCAGCTGAGTTTGAGAACCACTGTTCCTAGTTAAGCCATTCATAGGTTCGTGGACATGATTTTTTTAAAGCTACATTTGTGATTTGGATCATGAATTATTATTATTATTATTTTTAAGACAGGTTCTGGCTCTGTTGCCCAGGCTGGAGTACAGTGATGCGATCTTGGCTCACTGCAACCTCCAACTCCCAGGCTCAAGTGATCCTCCCACCTCAGCCTCCCGAGTAGCTGGGACCATGGGCACATGCCACCACACCCAGCTAATTTTTTGGGTGTTTTTTTTTTTTTTTGAGACAGAGTCTCACTCTGTCACCCAGACTGGAGTGCAGTGGCACAATCTCAGCTCACTACAGCTTCAAGCTCCCAGGCTCAAGTGATTCTCCCACCTCAGCTACCCCCCAGTTAGCTGAGACTACATGCACATGCCCACCATGCCTGGCTAAATTTTGTATTTTTTTGTAGAGACAGTGTTTTACCATATTGCCCAGTCTGGTCTTGAACTCCTGAGCTCGAGCAATCCTCCTGCCATGGCCTCCCAAAGTACTAGGATTATAAGCATAAGCCACCTTGCCCAGCCATGAATTTTTTTTAAAGGACTTTTGCATCCATGTTCATAATAGATTGGCCACTAATTTTCTATTCTATTCTTGAGTCTGTTTTAGTAGTTTATCTAGAAAATTGTCCTTTTTTCTGTTTTCAAATACATAATATTTTTACAAGGTCACGTAGCTAGTAGGAGGCTGTAAGCCTGGTGAGTTTTTGCTTTTATTTAATAACTTGCTTTTTTCTAAACAGGTGATCTGTGTCCACGATGTCTCATCCATCTACCGAGTCCCCTTGTTGTTAGAGGAGCAAGGGGTTGTAGATTATTTTCTTCGAAGACTTGACCTTCCTATTGAGAGGCAGCCAAGAAAAATGCTGATGAAATGGAAAGAGATGGCTGACAGGTTTGCCTGCAATGAGGAGCTGGGAGTGCTAGCCTCCTTTACTCTTTTGTAGGGCTGGTGAAGCCGACTCTAGCCCTAGCACTTTTGTACTTTTGCACTTCTGCCATCCACTCATTAGAAGAGCCTTTGTAGTAAGAGATGTTCAGAAAGGATCTTAGCTGTCACGTAGCTGTGGCACAGATGAGGAGATCCTGATAGGGCCAGGCCAGGTGCCGGGCCTCCAGACAATGAGTTCGGGTTATGTCTTAACACGCTTGTCTCTTACCAACTAGATCAGTGCAGATGGGCGTCCTGGTGGCAGCGGGTGAGTGTGCATATCCAAAGCCCACACGAATGGCTGACAGTGGCTGGAGCACTCCTGGGTACCACTCCAGAGTTCTGAGCTGTGTTTGGGAATGTGTCTCACCCCACACCAGAAAGGGATCACATTAGGACGGGGATGTGTTGCTGCCTACTCCACTACATCCTTTTAAGGCTCGGTGATGCTGTCACATTCCTTCAGAAATCTTCACTTCGTGTCTTAGAGCAATGGGCAGGCCTTATCTTAGTTGCAAGATCAATATGATGGCCTAGAAGCATTTGGAGAGGGCATACTCATTCCG
Organism: Homo sapiens; assembly: GCF_000001405.40. Classification (NCBI taxonomy): domain Eukaryota; kingdom Metazoa; phylum Chordata; class Mammalia; order Primates; family Hominidae; genus Homo; species Homo sapiens. The sequence continues at coordinate 40,996,671 of NC_000001.11, forward strand.
TTGCTCTGTGAGAATCATTTTTCATTTCAACATTTTCCTTTCAGTCTTTGTCTGCTTACATATAGCTATCAGAATGGCAGTTTTATCATCCTTTTTCATAAAACATTATAAGCATTTTGCTCTGTTATTATATTTTACAATGAAAACTTTTAATGAGTGTGGACTTTTCTATTTTGTGAATGTCCCATAATTTGTTTGACACTTGCCTTCACCCCATTAATTCTTGTGAATTGTCTATGTCTGTTATTTTTTTTGGTCTTTGGTATGAAAAAAATTTTTTGTAGGCAAATTTGTGTGAGACGTTGAAACTCTTTGTAAGTTTCAAAACAAAAACAAAAAAAAAATTTTTCTTTACAAAGCCTGCCATGTTGATCTGAAAATTACTTCCTCTTTACTGGTCTGTACACAGAACTCAGATAATAGCTATTCCCGTTATATTCTTCCCAGGTGTGTTTTTGTTGTTTTTTGTGGGGGTTTTTTGAGGCAGGGTCTCACACTGTTGCCCAGGCTGTAGTGCAGTGGTGCAGTCAGCTCACTGTAACCTCCAACTCCTGGGCTCAAGATCCCCCCGCCTCAGCCTTTCAAAGTGCTGGGATTATAGGATTATGGGCGTGAGCTCATCCTGGCCAGACGTGGTTTTTTTTCCCTTGAAATAGCTATTTTGGTCTCATGATAGCGTGTACCTTCTGAGTAATTGGGTTTTTCTTGACGTTTATTTGATAGATATGATCGCTTGCTGGAGACCTGCTCTATTGCCCTTGTGGGCAAATACACGAAGTTCTCAGACTCCTATGCCTCTGTCATTAAGGCTCTGGAGCATTCTGCACTGGCCATCAACCACAAATTGGAAATCAAGGTAAGGAGGGTGGCACAGGTACAGCCAAAGGATGAGCAGGGAAGCAGTCTGTAGTCTCGTAGGTGCTGTGTCATATCTGCTTTCTGTTTGGAGCTCAGAATTACTTTTTAAGGAATTACTTTTTAAGGATTAAAAAGATTTGTGGTTGCTTCGTGGCTTTGAGAAGACAGTAGAGCATTTTCAGGAATTAATGAAGGGGAGAGATGGCTAGAGGAGAGGGTGAGAGAGACTTGAGTTCTTGGCTATGACTATCAGGTAACCAAATAAAATGCCCTGTGGAAATGGGGACCACTGATGGACCACAGGCATGCTGCACAGTTGATAGCTGGAGGCTCTTGGAGACTTTGTTGGCATGTGGGCTGCCTTTCCTAACCTGTGCTTATCACTTATTGCAGAGTGGGAATGACAGTATTGACCTCACGGAGCTGTGAGGTTTCTCTGGGATGCAGGGCAGGCACTCAGTAAATGGTAGTTACTGTGTTCTGGTCTGTGCCATGGCGGGCAGCAGCTGAGCTGGTGGAATGGTGGGGCATGGCCCTGCTTGTCTGTGGGTGGCAGTAGAGTGTCATGGTTAAGAGCATGGATGCCGTGGCTAGGCGCGTTGGCTCATGCCTGTAATCCCAGCACTTTGGGAGGCCGAGGTGGGCAGATCACGAGGTCAGGAGATTGAGACCGTTCTGGCTAACACGGTGAAACCCTGTCTCTACTTACAATACAAAACATTAGCCAGGCATGGTGGCATGTGCCTGTAGTCCTAGCTACTTGGGAGGCTGAGGCAGGAGAATTGCTTGAACCTGGGAGGTGGAGGTTGCAGTGAGCCGAGATTGCACCTCTGCACTCCAGCCTGGGCAACAGAGTGAGACTCTGTCTAAAAAAAAAAAAAAAAAAAAAAAAAACATGGATGCCTGAGCCCGGTGACCAGGGCTCAGATTCTAGCTCTGTCATCTACAAGCGGTGAGACCTAGACAACTTACTTAACCCTCTTTGTGCCTCAGTTTCCACATTGTTAAAAAGGGATGGTGATGGTGCCTTCCTCCTAGGGTTGTTGTAAGAAGTTCATGAATACAAAGTGCTGAGAATTATGCCTGGCATATGGTAAGCACTATGTCAGCTGTCGTTAAACCCTCCCTTCTGCCTGTCCCCTTTATTCCTTTTCTTCCTGGCCCATCAGCTGAAGCTTTTCAGGAAGAGATGAAGGTCAGAGGTAAAGTTGGGGCTCAGTGCTGAGGTTGTTAAACAGGCCCCATGTAGCTGTCCCCACATTGGGGTTTGCTTTCTACTTCCCAGGTGTTTCTCAGCGTGAGAGTTTAGTTTGCTTTGTGCTGCTGGACAGGTTCCTGCAGAATGGCCTGTTGTACGAGTTTTAAGAATTTAAATCCCATTACACAGCCCTGACTTCTTATTTGCTAGTTCTTTCCATCATTCATTTATTTTATCCACTTGGAGTTAGTCTGTGGCTGCCATGTGTTTGTCAGGTGGCAGAGGATGAGAGATGGATGAAAAGGCAACGGTCTCCGCCTTTAAGGAATATTGAGTCTCTTAGGAAGGAAGGAGCACATAGGAGAGGCTGAACCTGCTGTGGCAGACACATGAGGAAGGCAGACTTCCTCATGGAGGGACACCAGGTTGGGTTGGGTAGGATGGAGAAGGCTCGGAAGGGGCATTCCTGTTAGAATAGATAGAGCACGTCCAAGGGCTTGGAGATGTGGAGCAGTTGGAAACACTGTGGATGGAAATTGTGAATTGGAGGCTGTCTGGAGACAGGCTGGTGAGGGCCTGCCCACAATTCCATGAACTGGGCCAAATCTGGGTCTTACCCTGAGGTTCAGGAAACTAACTGCAGGGTTTAGGTAGGAGATTGTAGAAAAGTGGTGAACACCCTAATTTAAAAAGTGGGCACGAGATTTGAACAGACACTTCCAAAAAAAGATGTAGGTGATAAACACGAAAAGGTGCTCAACACCTCTAGTTAGGGAAATCAGTGCAGATGAAGTCACAATGAGATAGTGACACAAACCCCCTAGAGCGGCTGAGTGTTAGAGAGGCTGTGGAGCTCTTACCTTGCTGCCGGGAGTGTAAAATGGCACCACCACACTAGAAAACAGTCTGGTAGTTTCTTATCAAGGTAGAGACGTGTGATCCAATAAGTCCATTCCCAGATACTCACTTGAGAGACTTGAAAACGTCCACAAAAAAAGATTTTTATTCAAATGGACAAATTATTCGTAATAGCTGAAATCTCGAAACAACCCAAATATTTATAGCCTGTCAATGGATCAATTTGTAATGGTTTATTTATATAGTAGAAACCACTCAGCAATGAAAAGGAAGAAACCAGGCTGAACACTGACTGGCTCAAGCCCATAATCCCAACACTTAGGGAGGCTCTGCTGTGGGAGGATCGCCTAAGACCAGTAGTTCGAGAGCAGCCTGGTCAACATAGCGAGACCCCCGTCTCTGCAAAAAAAAGTTAAAAAAGAAAAGGAACAAACAACTGATAAACACAGCAACATGGATGAACTTCAAAAACACTAAGCAAAAGAAGCCAGACACAAAAGGTTATATACTATTTGGCTCCATTTATATGATGTTCTATAAGAGGCAAAACGAATCTGTGATGATAGAAATTGGATCTGAGGTTGTTTGGGGTAGGAGGTAGAGGGGCACATTCTGGGAAGATGGTAACTTATGTTTTGTTTTGTTTTGTTTTGTTTTGTTTTGTTTTGTTTTGTTTGAGATGGAGTCTCGCTCTGTCACCCAGGCTGGAGTGCAGTGGCATGATCCCAGTTCACTGCAACCTCTGCCTTCCAGGTTCAAGCAGTTCTCCTGCCTCAGCCTCTTGGGTAGCTGGGACTACAGGTGCATGCCACCACACCCAGCTATTTTTTTTTTTTTTTTGTATTTTTAGTAGAGATGGGGTTTCACCATGTTTGCCAGGCTAGTCTCGAACTCCTGACCTCAAGTGATCCACCCGCCTCGGCCTTCCAAAGTGCTGGGATTATAGGTGTGAGCCACCACGCCCGGCTCATTCTATATCTTGGTGTGTATGTTTGACAAAACTCTTCAAAGTATGCACTTAAAATGCTTGTATTTTATTGTATGTGAATTATGCTTCAATATGGTAGAAAGAAAAAGAAAAAACCCACAAAAGCTGGGCGGAAGATGGGCTGAGGAGGCTGTCATTGAACAGAAAGCCCTCTAGAGTCTGCTGCAGAGGCTTAGCTGAGACCCGATCCTGAACACAGTAGAGTGCAGAAAGAGAGAGATTTGGGAATTTAATGATTTTGAAGGAAACTGTTGTATTTTAAAACCTCATATTTAAAAAATGTTTAAGTTATTAAATATATTAAGTTGATCACTTTAAAGCCAGTATTAAGATGATCACTTTAAAGCCAGAATCAAGAAAGACAACTTTGATAAAATGATAATATTATTTAAAAATTAAGAACGCACAGCCTGGGGTCACGAGCCTGCTTTTCTCCCCTGTCTGAATAACATCCAGTACATAGATTCTGCGGACTTGGAGCCCATCACCTCGCAAGAAGAGCCCGTGCGCTACCACGAAGCTTGGCAGAAGCTCTGTAGTGCTCAGTGAGTAGAGTTCGCTGCCTTGGGTTTCCAGAGTTCTTTTGGTTTGTTTTAATGAAAAAGTCCTCTTGTTTTCATGTGCCAGTAGTAGGTAATTGACTTGTTAAAATATTTTTTAATTGTTGAAAAGACTACATGCCATCTGATTTAATCCTTAAAAAATGCAGCTTGTCAATATCATTGGATCTGAAAAGCTGCTCTGATTTTGATATTGTTTGCCATATGCATCTATTGATGAGGCTCATTTAAGGATTTTTCATCCAGAACATTTGATGAGTACCCATCAGTAGAGTCTCATCAGTTGTTTTGGCAGCTGTTATTTATAATAGTAAAACATTAGCAAGAATTTCTGGTTCACTAGAACAGTTGAATATTACGGAGGTGTACACCTTCTTCTGAGTGTCTTGGTCAGTACGGCACACAGAGCTGATGAAGAAAGGCCCCCTTAGGGGAGCATTTTAAGCCAAGAGGTAAGATAAATTGTTAATATTAATATATGTATTTAAAATTTTGGGCTGGGCACAGTGGCTCATGCCTGTAATCCTAAAACTTTGAGAGGCTGAGGTGGGAGGATTGCTTGAGCCCAAGAGTTCAAGACCAGCCCAGGCAACATAGGGAGACCCTGTTTCTACAACAAAAACAACAAAACCAGCTGGGTGTGGTCCCAGCTCCTTGGGAGATCAAGGCTGCAGTGAGCTGTGATCACACCACTGCACTCCAGCCTGGGTAACAGTGTGAGACCCTGTCTCAAGAAAAAAAAATTGTGAACAACTCAGTACCAAAGATAGTGCAGTGGCAGTATTACAATTATGTATACTATCTTTTTCACTTGCAATAAGCATGTTCTTAAGTTACTAAGAAAAGTCCATAGTTTCATATGCAGTTTCTAAGTTGATAGTGTTTACATACAATTCATTGTCACAGTAGCACAATGTATGGGGTTAATTCATGGCTTCAGTGTCTTGGTAATGGCCCGTTAGGCGATTATTGCAAGTTGGACTGGTAGAAAAGGGGAATTGCCTTTGTGGTTTGTTCTTTTGTGCAGTGGAGTGCTGGTTCCAGGAGGATTTGGTGTTCGAGGAACAGAAGGAAAAATCCAAGCAATTGCCTGGGCTCGGAATCAGAAAAAGCCTTTTTTGGGTAAGGAGCTCTGCAGTGCAGTCTTCACTTAAGAGTAGGAAAGAGTGGGGAACGGTGCCACGTGGGAGCCTATGAACAAAGTGGGGGGATTACTGAAACATGCTGTCTTTGTGGATAGGAGCTCAAGTAGAAGCCTTCATGTTTTCTCTTTAGAGACAAATTCAGTCTTGGAAAGCTTATTTATGCTTATGAGCTACATGTAGATGTCGTGGAATTTTGAGAGAATGAATTGTGAATTCCTGTCCATTTAATGAACCCAGCTGTTTGTAGCACACGTGAGGTTGAGTTTTATATCTGCTCACTTGGCACAACAGCTGACTGTAATTGGACAAAATGATTTTGCATGCCTCCTGGTGCTGTACATTTTAGTAATTTTCAACTTGAACAATTATAAATAAAAACTTAATGAGAGAGGGTAAGAAAACTTGAATTTTAAAGTACTGAGGCTAGGCACGGTGGTTCACACCTGTAAACCCAACACTTGTGGAGGCTGAGGCAGGAGGGTTGCTGGATCCCAGAAATTTGAGGCTGTAGTGAGCCAAGATCTCTCCACTGCACTCCAGAGTGGGCAACAGCAAGACCCTGTCTGGGGGGAAAAAAGTACTGAATAGAATATCACTTACTTCTAAAATCGGATAACTTTGCAAATCTAGAATTTTCATCTACTTTACATGCAGTTTTTGAAATCTAATACAAGTAAAGTGTAACAGCAGAGAGTACTTGTTCATAGCAGGAAGTTATGAGTTTGCAATTATAATTCTCCAAATAAAGGACACAAAGGCCATTGCAGAGGCTGCTGGGAAAAGTAGGAGCTGCCTTTTCAATGGAGTTTTGTTTGTTTTTTCCCCCCGACTGGAAGGCGTGTGCTTAGGGATGCAGTTGGCAGTGGTTGAATTCTCAAGAAACGTGCTGGGATGGCAAGGTAAGCGTGCATTAAGACACTCATTCAATTCCCGCTTGTGTATTTCTGGAGGATATGAGGCCTGTTGCCGCCTGGGTGATCAGGAGCTTTGGAGAAGGGCAGGCCTGGGTTCCTAGCACCTCATGGTGTGCCGTAAGGGAGCTGCCTTGCCTCTTGAGGAACAGCACGGCTCCTCCATGCAGGAAGGAGGGAGCACAGCCAGACTCCCTCCTTTGCCTTCTGCCTCTGTGTTCCTGTTCTTGAGATTCTGTCACTTTGATCACCGTGGCCACCATCCTGAAGCTGGTGCCTGGTGTGAAGTCCTTGTCCTAAGTGAGGCTTGGGCAGTTATTATGAGAACCTGGGCTCTGGAGCTATTGAAACTGGGCTCAGATTCCAACCTTACCGCTTATGGGTGATTTTAAGCAATTTACTTAGCCTTTATGGGCCTCCGTTTTTTCTGTAAAATGGGAGTAATAAAGGTACGTACTTCACATGATTAAGGGAGATAATGTATGTAAATAGTCTCTAGTAGTGCCTGGAAAATAGGGAAATGCTCAGATAATATCAGCTCTTCGCCTAGCTGTGTATTACTATGTGACAGACCTCCCTAAAGCTCAGTGGCTCCCAACAGCAGTGACTTCTCATCTCAGTATTCTGTGGTTTGGCTCAGTGCCTGGGTTTCAGCTGCACGTGGTGTACTATCTGAGATGGCACACTCCTGCCTTGTGTTCAGCTGTGAGCTCGGCCCAGCCGGGACGTCAAGATGCTGTCTCCACCTAGTGGCTCATCATTCATTAATCCAGCCCAAGCTTCCTCACACAGGGTGGGCAGCTGGACTCCAAAATGACAGGCCTGTTATGCAGGCACTTATCAGGCCTGCTGATGTCCCGTTGGCCAAAACAAGTCACGTGGCCAAGCCCCGAGCCGGCAGGGGAGGAGAACACACATGGGTGTGAAGACTGAGCATGCTGCACTGGGGCCACCCTGGAATGGTCCACCACAGCCCATTTATTCTCTGTAGCCCACCCGACAAATACTAGATTTTCAGAAAGACCTTGTAAATTCTGTGGAAAATAAAGTAACCTGAAGGAATGTAAAAGCAGTTTGACTTTATAAAGAACAAGTGACTCTGGTGGCCAGCATATGGTTTAGGGCTGGGTTTCATTCACCCTTTCCCTGAGAGGCTGCTTCACAGTGACCTGGCGGTGTGGCTTAGTTTGGTAGACAGCATGCCCTTGAGTGCTGGCTTCTGAGTCCTGAGAGGCACTGTCTTATCACCCGCCACCCCAGAGCTGGCTTTCTGGTCTCCCTGGATCCTTCACAGCCCCAGACCTCTGCCTCTCACTTAGGTTCCCAAATGGGTAGGTGCTTTGGTGATGAGCTTACACTTCAGTTGAGACTGGACCCTGGTTCAGGCCAGGAGGAGAACAGTGCCCAGCGTTCACATAGTACCAGGAACTTGGTCCTTTGCCTTTTGGTCTTTAGTGGTTTTGCTTTGGTTAGACGGTAAGTTCAATGAAGGTTAGAAAGGTTGAGTTGAAATCAGTTCATTTCTGACTGAGCTATTGAGTGAAACAGTTGAGTAGGGCTTTGTATTAGCTGCTGAAGATGAAAGAAGTATAGAAGAAATAGTACTTGTTTATCTCAGAGAGACAAGAGTCTGAAACATTAAGACAATATAAAAACTTGGCTGGGCATGGTGGTTCAGGCCTGTAATCCCAGCACTTTGGGAGGCTGAGTTGGGTTAATCACTTGAGGCCAGGAGGTCGAGACCAGCCTGGCCAACATGGAAAAACCCCATCTCTACTAAAAATACAAAAAATAACCAGGTGTGGTGGTGTGCGCCTGTAATCCCAGCTACTTGGGAGGCCAAGACATGAGAATCACTTGAATTCTGGAGGTGTAGGTTGCAGTGAGCCAAGATTGTGCCACTGCACTCCATTCTGGGTGACATAGTGAGACTCTTGTCTTAAAACACAAACAAACAATATAAGAACTGTCACAGGCGGGGCGCAGTGGCTCACGCCTGTAATCCCAGCACTTTGGGAGGCCGAGGCAGGCAGATCACCTGAGGTCAGGAGTTCGAGACCAGCCTGACCAACATGGAGAAACCCCGTCTCTACTAAAAATACAAAGTTAGCTGGGCATGGTGGTGTATACCTGTAATCCCAGCTACTCGGGAGGCTGAGACAGGAGAATCGCTTGAGACCTGGAGGTGGAGGTTTTGGTGCCGAGATCACGCCATTGCACTCCAGCCTGCCCACACTTGTTGCCCACAAGTGTGAAATTCTGTCTCAAAAAAAAAAAACTGTCAAAGATACAGTATCTAATTAAAAATTACTAGGTTATGCCATTAGTTTTGATTTTCCCATTTTGTACTGATTGACTTTCCAGAGAGTTATACTTAACGTAAAAAAATTCACGTGTGTGTGGGTTGAGTATTTTATGTCTTAAAAATGCTATTTATTGCCGGTCTGGTGGCTTGCACCTGTAATCCCAGTACTTTGGGATGCCAAAGCAGGAGGATTGCTTGAGCCCAGGTGTTTGAGACTAGCCTGGCAATATAGCCTTTGTCTCTCCAAAAAATGAAAAAAAATTAGCTGGATGTGGTAGTGTGCCCCTGTAGTTTGACCTTCTTGGGAGGCTGAGGCTGGCGGATTGCTTGAACCTGGGAGTTCAAGGCTGCAGTGAGCTATGATCGCACCACTGCACTCCAGCCTGGACAACAGTGAGATCTCGTCTGGGGATGAGGTCAGGGGGATGCTATCTTTAGTTTTTGTTCTAATCACTGATCTTAAACTGAGGAGGGAAGTTGTGTTTAGAGCTTAGCAATGAAACTATTAATCACTTTCGTTTGTAACTATTTTCATAACAAGTATTTTGGTATTTCAGATGCCAATTCTACAGAGTTTGACCCTACGACCAGTCATCCCGTGGTGAGTCAAGTGTTTGAACCTCCACAGGGCTTAGAAGGGTGTAGAAGGGGCATTTATGAACGTGATTGATGATTAGAGACAAGAAGTGAGACTGCTTGAGTCCATCCCAAAGAACCCTGAGGTTTTGGGCACTCAGACCTACCAGAGAGGAAAAACTTTTCTTTTTCATTATGTAATTCCTCCCTAATCTTTCATTGACCACAGAAAGTTTTTAAGACAGGTACCAGCCCAGGAAACTGGAGGGGATTCCTGATTAAAATTCTTCTCCATCCCTACTCCCCTCAACTCCCAGAACACAGTATAGATACTAATATGAGACCCTGGCATGTGTACTTACTGTGTGCCAGCCGCTGCTCTCACTGCTTTCATATGTATATTTTATATTAATTCATGGGATCCCCAGCCATAGTCCTGGGAGAACTGCTGGGTTGGAGCACTGGTTGGCTTAACCGTATCCAAAGATTTTCCAGGCTGGCGTACCTTGCGTTAGATTTCATGCCGAGGGCATGTGGCATTCTCAGCCCGCTGTACTGTTAGGCACATGGAGGAGGGACGATGCCTTTAATCACCTTTGAATTCCCAGCCCAGGGTGACAGGGATGTAAAGGGAAGGGCACTTATTTACGTTTTTCAGCAGTCAGCAAATGTGAATGCGTACTATATGCTGGGACTGCCCTTGTCACTGAGGACACCGTGCTAAATGAGACGGACAAAGTTCTTGATCTCACGGCACTTAGACAGCATCACTGTGTTTGTTGACCTGAAATTGAACTTTGCTGATACTAAGGCCTCAGGAGTGGACCAGCAAATGTTTTGCAGCATGGGGCTTTGGGGTCAGGAGGAACAGGGCACAGAGAGCCTGGAATCAGAAGGTGCCTGGGAACGCTGGGCTGAGAGGTGGACTGGGCCATCAGTGCATGGCCCACCCAGTCCTCAGATGCTTGCTAAGCTGCAGGGTGCTAGCCCTGCATCCCTTGCCTTTGAGCAGTCATCAGGCTAGCTGGGGCGATGACAGACATGTTATGACACATCCAGTCCGTGTCTGTGCTACTGTATCAGTCTTTCTAAGGAAGTGATGCTTACCGTCCACAGTGCTGGGGCGGGACTAGCCTGAGGAGGGGCTGCTGTGGTCCTGTCTGCAGATCAGGAGGACAGGCTGAAGGACGGAGCCTCCACCCAACCGAGGTTACAAATGCCAACTGGGAGGCATTTTCTTCTGTGACAAAATGTCTCATAAGGAAAGCCTGGAGAATTAGAGCTTACTTACAAGCCTTTGCCACCCACTCAGCGAGGGAGGTTTCTCTCTAGCGGAAGCAGAGTTCTGTAGTTGGTGTCTGTTTTCTGAACATCTCCAGGTCGTAGACATGCCAGAACACAACCCAGGGCAGATGGGCGGAACCATGAGGCTGGGCAAGAGGAGAACCCTGTTCCAGACCAAGAACTCAGTCATGAGTAAGAGCTGCCTCACGCTGGCCCAGCCTTTGGCTCTGCGTGCCCAGGACGCGTGTCTTAGGGTGATGCTGTGGCTTCGAGGAGCAGGCTGGCTTTTTTTGGTTTCGTTCTTGCTTTTGAAGTTCATTCTTTCCTCTCTTATTCATACCCTTTTAGGATGCACTGTGATAGCCATAGAAGCAGTGTGGGTCTTAGAAAGGACACTGGCAGTGCAGTCAGACTCCTAGGCATGGGCGCCTCAACAGAATGAGGCAGTGAGGTTACATTCATCCTTATCGGTTACTTTCCTATTAAGACCAGCCATATCAATTGCTGATGTTTGGCAATTTTTGTCACACAAAGATGGCAATTTCATATGATTCAGCCTAAGTAGATTCTGTTCTAATAAAGTACTAATAGATGCTGAAGGTTTAGGGTAGTTTTCGGAGGAAAATAGTTAAGAAAATGACTATTACACAGATTTCCTTCTTGTCTACTGGGAAAATTCTGCCTTTACTGTATTAGCAGAGGCACCCTTGTGTCTGTCTGGGCGTTCTGTAGCAGCATAGCTGGAGTCACTTGAGTATCGGATCTTTCTCTTACCAACTCTGATGTTCTGTGGATTTGGGGATCTCGAGGCAACTGTGAAATGAGTCAGTAGAGCAGCCCGTTCGCAAATGTCCAGCTTGTTCACATGCAGCCACTGAGGGCTGATGACCTTTGATGACCATGATTGGAACTGAATGATCATCAGAGGTCATCTGTGCAGCTCTTAAAATGCCTCCCATCCTGCCACGTTCCCAGGGCCTTGCCGTTTCGTACATCCTGATTTGCTTTCCAAGGCAGTTTTCTAGCAGCAAAGTGCCCATACTTTGCAATCATGTGTTTGAGGGTGGTGGTGAGAGTCTTGTTTCTGTTACAGCTTTCTGTAGTGTTGTCAGAAAGAGTCAAAAGCCCAAGAATTAGTCTAAACTGTGTTGTTAAGAGCAGGTGACCTTAGCAGATTCATAGAAATAGCCCTCAAAAGACCTGGCTGTGTGGATGATGAAAAGTAAAGCAGGAAGGAGGATGTCTTTGTGAACGCATCATCCTGTGAGATAAAGTTCTTTACATACAGCCCGTTTGTTTTGCCAGGGAAACTCTATGGAGACGCAGACTACTTGGAAGAGAGGCACCGCCACCGATTTGAGGTGAGGATTCCAGCTTGCTGGTACTCTGGAAAGATAGTGAGCTGAGAGACCAGCAGAATTATTTTTCATGCCTCAACAGGTGAATCCAGTCTGGAAAAAGTGTTTGGAAGAACAAGGCTTGAAGTTTGTTGGCCAAGATGTTGAAGGAGAGAGAATGGAAATTGTGGAGTTAGAAGGTGATTATTCGGGCAGTTTTATTTAATGGAAAACTTAGTAAAGTTTTCTTGGCATATGGGAAAATATAAAAATGTTATCTTGTTGCTCCTGACCTAACAGAATTAGGAAGCAGCACTGTCTCATGAGGGAAGGGGTCTTGATAAACATGGGGTCTGGACTCTAGAAACTTCTTTCTGGTACATGGCCTTCCTCGGGGAGCCATTTAACTTCTGGCCGCAGTTTCTCCTTCTCCAAAATGCTTGGAGTTGGTACTAAAGCCACTTCAGCCCTCTCCTGAACCGCAAGACTCAGTCTACAGAAATCCTGGGAGCCAGGGTCTTGGGCGGGACCCTGGACAGGAGGCCTTCAGCCAGGAGGGGACAGCACAAACCGTGCTGAGAAAGGGTATCAGATCACTCATGCTTTGAGGTTCCCTTTATCTAGATTCAAATGAGAAAGTCATTTTCAAATTATTTTAGGGCCTATGGAAACAAACATTTAAGCAGATTTTGTTCTTTTACACTTTGTGCATAACCTTCACAATGAAGCTGTTTCTTTTGAATCTCTATTTCAGATCATCCCTTTTTTGTTGGGGTTCAGTACCACCCTGAGTTCCTGTCCAGGCCTATCAAGCCCTCCCCACCATACTTTGGCCTCCTCCTGGCCTCTGTGGGGCGGCTCTCACATTACCTCCAGAAAGGCTGCAGGCTCTCACCCAGGTAGGCGCACTCTTTGCTTCAGTAATCCATTAGTCTTCTCTAGTCCTTTAGGTGGTCGCTGATTCATTACAGCAACACGTCACAGTCAGTCATAAGAAAAAAAAGCCACAGGCGCCTGGGGTGAAAGTTTCCTCTCCTTTCCCGGAGCTTTCTCACGGTGTTTCCCTGGCATATTGGCCAGGTCCCCCTTTCTGCAGCATCTGAGCTCTGGTGGTGCTGACCAGATCACACTTGGCGTAGGACCCTCTGGTCCATGTTAAGGGGAACTAGTTTTTCCTGGGAAGTAAGCCACAATGGGTAGGTTTATGTCCCATTGCCACCTTTATCCAGAACCAGTACTCAGAGTTGGTGGTAGGGTGTGTGACTGAAGTATAAATGGAATGTATATCTTTTGTAGCTAGAAGAAGGAAATCTTTCTGCAGTTTCATGTTAAATATATTATGTAGCAAACAGTCTTTGTGATTCCTGCCATGTGCAGGCAAGTGTCCCTGTAGGAACCGTGGTTACAAAAACAGGGACGTAAAGTGAGTTTTTGGTGGGAGATGATGCGTAAACCATCTGAATTCTACAGGGACACCTATAGTGACAGGAGTGGAAGCAGCTCCCCTGACTCTGAAATCACCGAACTGAAGTTTCCATCAATAAATCATGACTGATCTTGTAGCGTAAGTGGTACTTTAAAGTTTTAGTTTTTAAAAACATGGTGATAACACACTGCGATTGCAAGAATATCATGGAAGTTTAGGGCTGAAAATTTTTATCTGCCAGGAATGAAAGTGGTGAGGTCTTGAATATAATCCAGAGGTTGAGAGAGAAAAGAAAGTAGTGAGGTCATTGTGGGTATCAAATGGGCAGCCCTTCCTCCAAGTTGCAGTGCACCTCCCAGTCCTGCCCTGGGGATGACAGCTTGGGGAGCATGGTCACTGGGCAGTTGTCTCAATACTGATTACTACATTCTGGTGCCAGTCTGACCAGTTCTGGGGCGGGGAAGGGGAGGGTCTGAATTCTTAGACCCTATTGTTTGATGTAGCTGTAAATTTTGGAGATCTTGAAGGAAGGGACAGATACAACAATGTGGCACTTGTCATTTCTGCAGAGCCTCAGGTTTTCATCAGGAAGTACTTTAAAACTGACACTGCTTAGAGAACTTTTTTTTGTTGATTGCTGCTTATTCTGGAATTCCTTCAAAGTTGGAACAATTGCCAAATAGACGTCGAATGTTTGTCTATTAAGTGACAGGGTTTGTAGGTTCATAAAGTGCAATAACTGTGGGCACTGCCACGAAATGTAAATGTCCTTTGAGATAACTGTGTGGACTGTGTTGGCAGAAGTACGCATTCTGCTGGTGAGGTATCAAATGAGGGAGTGTCAGTCATCTGGGGTCTGGAATAAGAACCAGGGGTATGGGTGTGTGGTTCCACCGCTCCTGCCCTAAGGCCTGGGCAGGGGGACCTCCCTGAATCCTGCACACCGTGTGTTCATCACCAGTGGGCCTCTGGTGCTGGGTCAGTGCCGGTCTGACCTGCTGATCCCAGCTGTTTCCCCTCCTGCCTTGGTTGGTTGACCCCCTGTCCTGGCATAGCCTAAGTAGGTGGTGGGTAGGCATGAGAAGTTAGTATCAGGAGGAGGGCCTGTGTGCTAGGTAAGCGTTTAACACGGATGGACTCATTAATCCCCTGACCAGGGAGTTTGCTATAGGCTGTTTCACAGTCTTAAGGAGCTGATACAACAAGAACTGTTACCAGTGAAGGAGGTAGATATTTGGTCAGTTACATGGAATTTCTGACTGCCTCGCAAGTGGAGAATTGCCCGTTAGTGACACTGTTACGAGGTGCTGTGGAGAAAGAATGCTTGCATTGGGTGGTTGTAGAAGTCGATGTGTGAGGTCTTGAAAAGGTCTGATTCTGTAGGAATTATAAATTTAGCGTCTAATTATTCCCAGTAGGCTCCTTCTACTGCTCTGCCATGAAAAACAGGCTTAGTTTCCCATGGCAGCTGACTAGAAATTCTAACTTTTCTACTTTAATGTACATCATATAATTCCCACTTTTTTTTTTCTTTTAAACAGGGATGATTCTTCAAGAGACCCTTCAAACTTGGGTAGAGTTTACAGCTCTGACTTTACACTCGGCTTTGGAGACTTTCTTTAAATTATGTTTTTATTAAGATTATTTTATTATGCGGAAAGGTATTTGGGAAACTTGTCACTTGCATGTCCCATCACGTGTACTGGCTCCTCTGTGGTGTCTGCCTGTTGCGTGACACTCTCCTTGCAGTTCTTGAGTTGCGGCAGAACATCGCGATGGGAACCGATGGTGGGTGGGGCTGCAGAGTGCCCCATCGGTCACCTTGTTTCTCAACTACCTCGCATCATTGCAGATGCTAGCGCGTTGCCTGTCGCTTTCCCTTGGATACCTAGACCGTTATAAAGTGTGCCACATGGACTTACCGAGCATGGAGAGAGGATTTTAGCTAGGATTTGAACACTTGGTGCTGGGAACCTCAGGGTATTGCTTGCCACTAAGCCATGAAACCAGAGACAAAATCTCTATACTGCCCTGAGTTGGGGGGAATTCTCAGTGCCAACTGTGGCTGGTCCTCATTCAAAGGGACGGTCAGTTTGGTGTCAACATGAAACACCAAGATGTCTGTCTCTGAAGCGTGATTTTAAAATCCCCATGCCTGTGGCTGCGCTTCCTATTTCTAGGGCTGGGAAACACTCCTTGCATCAAGGGGTCACTTACAGAACAAAGAATCTTTTGGGGGAAACTTCCTCTAAAACCCTCTCATATATAGACAGCTTTGACTGGAGGGTCCATTTTTCTTCCAGGATGGTGTTACTGCAGTTGAAAGGGCAATATGAAGTTACTTTCTTAATGTGACCTAGCAATAGGCATAGCTACGTGGCACTATATTCTGGCCAGACTCGATGTGTACTCTAACTTAAGAAATAAATCAGTAAGGCAGAACAAGAGACATGCTTTGCTTCTCATTCTCTTTATGTCATTGGCCAGATGGGAAGCGTCTGAGCACGTTGCTGGCTTGCTTGTGTGCAGTCAGCTGAATTGTCAGTGCCGGGTGCTCCTGCAGGTGAGCAGCCTTGACTCAGCAGACAACCTGAGAGTTTGTTTAAAAACTAAGAAATGAGGCTTTCTTTTTAATAGGAACCAGAATTTTTCATAAAGCTTCAAATACAGGTTCTCAGCATGTAGAGCGAGATGAAAAGGTGCATGGGTGCTATTATGGTGCTATTTATGACTGAGAAAGGGGAGGGATAAGCATGATTTAGGAAGGTGGTCCTTTCCTCTGCCAGGCACTGGACGTGGGTACCCCATATACACAGCCAGTGAGCAGTGGGCCAGACTGTCTTCACCAGCAGAACTGCTTGTTATGGTACTTTGAACGTGGCTGATTGAGCATAATTCTAACCTCTTCTCCCACCTGGTGGTACCAGGAGATTGTCTTCATTTTAAATTTTATTTATTTATTTATTTATTTTTTTGAGTCAGGGTCTCACTCTGTTGCCCAGGCTGGAGTGCAGTGGCACAAGCACGGCTTGCTGCAGACCTCCTGGGCTCATAAGATCCTCCCACCTCAGCCTTCCAAGTAGCTGGGACTACAGGTTCACATCACCACGCCCAGCTAATTAAATTTTTTTTTTTTTTAATAGACAGGGTCTCGCTGTGTTGGCCAGGCTGGTCTTGAACGCCTGGCCTCAGGCGATCCTCCCATAGTGCAGGGATTATAGGCATGAGCCATTGCACCTGGTCAATAGTCTTTTTTTTGAGATGGAGTCTCACACTGTTGCCTGGGCTGGAGTACAGTGGCGTGATCTTGGCTCACTGCCACCTCCACCTCGCAGGTTCAAGTGATTCTGTTTGCCTCACCTTCCCAAGTAGCTGGGATTACAGGTGCCTGCCACCACGCCCATCTAATTGTTTTGTATTTTTAGTAGAGATGGGGTTTCACTATGTTGGCTAGGCTGGCCGTGATCTGCTCATCTCAGCGTCCCAAAGTGCTGGGATTACAGGCGTGAGCCACCACGTCTGGCCCGTTTTTTTTCAAACATTCCCCAAACTGAGGGTCTGACACGCCCGTTGTTGACATCATGGTCCCCCACAATGGCTGGGTGTGTGGGTGGTGTGAAAAAGCCTCCCAGTAATTAAGTTCCTGCCCCTATGTTTAAGATCACTTTGGCTGATCACTTGTCAAGTGCTGGCCACATAATGTAAGGTTTCTGAAAAAAGAGATCCCAGATGGCTCTCCAGAGCTTGCAAAGCTCGAGCAGCCCCGCCACGCTGGCTGTGGCAGACAGGATAGGGCTGAAGCTGGATTTACAGGAGGGCAACCTGTGCCCAGTGTTTACTGACCCGTCCCCGGAGGCTTCTCCCTCATGGGGAGGAAAGCTGGTCACATTCCTCGTTCCTTTCTTAATGTGACCTAACAATAGGCACAGCTATGTGTAACTTCCCTTCAGTAACTTCCTTCAGTCCAGGGAACTTCCCTTCAGTCCAGGGGATCTGGGCAGTTCTTAGCAGTCTGGAGCAGCTGGGCTGAAGCCTGACTTCACCCTTCCTTTGTAGAAATCTGCTCTTTTCCCCCGAAAAACATTTCCGAGGATTGTGGTGCCTGGACTAGCATTTAGCATGGTACCTGGACCGTGGAAGGTGCTCAGAAATGCCACTCCTCCTTCTTGAGTAACACATTTGTGTAGTTTTCAAACAGTCTTGGTGACCTTGGGGCAGCTCGGGGGGTGAGCAGCAGGAGTTTGGTAACCTGCCACCATATAGGTGTCTGTGATCACATTGGTCCCTAACCAGCATGAATGGCAGCCGAGGCAGGGGTTGTGTGCTCTTTGCTAAGTGGGAAAACCAGGTCTCAGAGCAGTTGTGATCACCCAGAAAATGTCACCTGGCTGGTGAGTGGAGGGGCTGGGGGTTCCAAAGTTCTCATCTGTGTCTGCTGTGGATGTGGCCAGGGTCTTCAAGTTTTAGGGGATCAACTGAAGTGTGTTCTGTGGAACACTAGTCCTGTGAAATGCCCTGTTCAACAAGGTTTGGTGATTTTCTGGTGGCTCAGACCCCAAATTTAGGAGTATCCTTAATTGTCTCACCAGCAGGTATTTATTGGGTGTCTACCATATGCCAGCCATACCCAAACCCCTGTCCCCCAGAGCAGTTATTCAGTGGGGGAAGCACCAAATATAAGCTACAGAGTGTGGTAGTTCATAGATGGAGACCAGGGGTGGAAGTGAGCAGGGGAGTGGCAGTGCTGGGAGGTGGTGTCTTTAAAATAGGGTGGGTGGGAAATTAAGCATGGACTTGAAGGTGAAGAGGAAAGGAAATAGGCCGCTATGTAGCGCAGAGGCCCCGAGGCAGGAGTGCAAATGAAACAAGTTGGTGGGCGTGGCTGAAGTGGCTTACATAAGGGGCGGAAGACATTGAGGTTGGGTGGGCTAGGTGGTGGAGAACCATGTAGGCCATCAAGTTTGGGCTTTGCTCTTGAAGAATTTGGAGGGCTATGGGTGCAGGTGTGGCGTGAGTGTGATCAGACTCTGGCTTTGCAGCCTCTGGCTCAGCTGGTGGAGACAGCAGGAGAAACGGCCAGAGGCAGGAAGCAGCTGGAGGAGTCTGGTTTTTTTTGTTTGTTTTAAGCTAACGGTCTTACTGGACCAGAGGGGTCTTGGAAAGGAACTGAGACCCTTAGTGTGAGGTGCTGCTCTGTGCCACAGCTGGCGTAGACACAGGGCACTGGCCCGATGGTGACAAAATGCCCCTGGCCATTGTCACTGTCTTATAGATGAAGAAACTGAAGCACAGAGGCATAGCACTTTGCCCCACGGTCCCTGGTCTTTAAGACAGAGCTGGACTGGAGTCTGAGGGGCTGGGCTCCCTGCCCTTGCAGGTCTGTCCTCTGCCTCCTGGACAGAGGTGGGCTGGGCCTGGGACTCATGACCCTGCAGCATCTGACCGGCTGACCCAGTGTCCTAGAAAGAACCATTCTTGTCCCAGGTGCATGTAATTTATTAATGGAGCTTTGACAGTCACAAGTTCCAGCAAGTCAGGGGTGGGGGCTGCAGGGTGGCCTCTTGCCCTGTAACCACAGTCATCAAATATGCCTCGCCATCTTTGAGGGGCTTTCCTGAGATGACAGATTCCTTTCTGGCACTGTGTAGCCAACTGGAGTCACAGACCTCAGCCTGGGCCAAATGAGCATTTTAGGGAGAAGGACAATCCCTTATAGCTTAGCCCTAGGGGAGCTCTGGGCAGGGTTTTACACATTCTTTCTGAAAGTAAGGTCATTTGGGGACAGGGCTGAGAGCAGTTTCTTGGCTACACAGATGGGTCTGTCAGGGTTGAAGCCACATGGGTGCCTGCTCATGTGCCATGTTGAAGGAGTCCCTGTCCGCCTCTCAGCAGCCCGCATGGGCTTTACTGGTTGGCCTTACACTCAAACAGGAAATCCCTGGGTCTCAGGTGGAGAGTGCCGTGCCGTCCTGCCTGCTCCCCAGGGCCCTCACAGGACACAGCAGGTGCAGGACACAGGCCCGTGCTGCTGCAGCTGCTGCTGGAGCTGCTCCTTCTCCATCATCAGCGCCTTCATCTTCTCTTCCAGCTTGCCCAGCTCCACCAGCCACCTCTGAGGGGACATGGGAAAAGCATGTGGCCAAGCCCGCCTGGTCTCGGGCCTGTCCGTCCTCCACCTGGGGCCAAACTGAGGGAGGAAGGCAAAGCCCAGGAGCCTGAGAGCTTTCTCAGCTAGGGGAAAAGTCAGGCCCCTCGGCCTGCTGCCACCTTCAACCGTGTCAGCCTGAGGGAAGCTGCCGGCTGCCAGCCATGGAAGGGAGCCTCCTCCGTGCTGGGCAGGCCATGTGCCTCCTCACTGTTGGTCCCTTGTCCTCCATTCTCTGTTTCCCTCTTGAAAAAGCTCTTCCTTGGGACTGTGTCTTGCCCCCTCTGCCGCTTTAGGGCCTCCCCTAAAATGCAGTGTATAGTCTTTGGGGTTTTCTGGTGACATCTCAACATTCCAGTCTCTCTGCTCCCTCACTCAAGATCGAGTGTGTTAACTGCCCAAGTAGAGGGTGAGGGGTTTCAGGCACCCCTGAAGGGAGGATACTGCATAGGATTTTTTTTTTTTTGAGATGGAGTCTCGGTCTGTCGCCCAGGCTGGAGTGCAGTGGCGCGATCTCGGCTCACTGCAACCTCCGCTTCCCAGATTCGATCGATTCTCCTGCCTCACCCTCTCGAGTATTTGGAACTACAGGCGCCCGCCACCATGCCCAGCTAATTTTTGTATTTTTAGTAGAGACGAGGGTTCACCATGTTGGCCAGGCTGGTCTCGAACTCCTGACCTTGTGATCTGTTCGCCTCATCCTCCCAAAGTGCTGGGATTACAGGCGTGAGCCACTGCGCCTGGCCACTGCATAGATTTTTAAAAGGAGAGAGCTTGGGCCTCTTCCTTCCCACCAGCCACCTACCCGCGGAGTATGGGATGTGGTGTGATTGTATTCCAACCCCTTGGGTTCAACGGGGTGATGCAGGACCCAGGGAACCATGGTGGCTTGCCCTGGGCTGCTCAGTGGGTGGCTGAAGGGGTCTGGGGTCAGCTCCGCTCCACCCCACCCACTGGCCTCAGCTTCCGTACCTGCCTGCACCACTCCTGGATGGCGCTGGCAGACAGCGGGCCCTGGATGCTCCCGTCGCGCCGCAGAAACACCTCCCCCTGGTCTGTCTGGTAGAGTTGCGGCTGGCTCTGGGCCTTGGGGGTGTGCACGGTCAGGCGGATCACCTTGGTAGGGGCAACAGCAGCTCTGGAGGCGCCGCCCCTCACGGTCGGCAGCCCCCATCCTGCCAGGCTGCTCAGCATTGCTCACTGATTCCTTAGGGCAGGCCAGCAGGGCTGGCACAGGGGCCATCCCCAGCCTCTTCTCCTGTGGCCCCCAGTCCCGTCCCTGCCCCAGCACTGCCTGGCAGGAGTGCAGGCCATCGTCTTACTGAGTGATGACAGATGACAGGCCCAGAGGCCCTCCTGTCCTGCAGGCTCACCTTGAGGGGGACGCTGGTCTCCGAGGTACTGATCACAGGGATGAAGGTGAGAGTGTAGGCATCGGGAAAGATCTGAGGCTTGAAGCCCTGCAGGATGGAGTCCACCAGCAGGCGTGCGCGGTCCTCGTCACGGTGGCTGCAGCGGATGCCCTGCACCAGGCCGCTGTCCTCTACTCCCACGAGCAGGCTGCCGCCCTCGCTGTTGAGGAAGGCGCACACGTAGCGCCGCACGTGGTGCTTGAAGGCCAGGCTGAGGTACTCGCCGCTACCCCGCTTGAACTCCATATTGCGGGTCTCGCTGCCCAGGAAGGCACCCTGGAAGAGCTGGTCCTTGCCCACGATCTGCTGGTGCACAATGGCACTGTCGGAGCACACGCCGCTGGGCCGGCCCTGGCAGCTCTGCAGCTGCTGGGCCTGGGGCCTATCAGGCAGCGTGTGTGTAGGCCAGGTGGGCAGCGGGACACCAGAGCCTGGACTGGGGCCAGGGCTCAGGCCACTGTCCTCCTCCTCCTCCTCCTTCTCCTAGGGTGGTAGTCAAGAATGAATGTATGGGTCCAGCCAGGAAATGGGAGCCCTGACCCTGAGAAGGACTGCAAGAACCCCCAGTCAGGCCCCTGCTGCAGCCTGACTCTTACGGACATCCTGATGCCCCTCACCAGGCCGAGGGGCCCAGTTCTGCCCACCCTCCTGCAGCCGAGGCAGGAAACCCTGCTGGATCGAGGGTTCCAGTCAGCGCTCCTTTCCCTGCCAAGCTGGGCCCTTCCCAGGTGAGCTGTGGGATGCCTGGTGGGGAAGAAGAGATTTCTGCTTCTCAGGGCTGGGTGCTGGGACATGTGTGGGCCCATTTTTTCTTACTTGGGTTGCAGACAGGCCCCTGAGGCCCAGAACCAGATCATTCCAGCAGGTATCTCAGCACCCTGTGACAGAGCTGCAGTACCCTGAATGGAGAGGGACTCCCAGGTACCCCACCCACTTCCTGATTTCAAACCTTTGCCCACTACTTGCTGGGCTATTGACAAGTCCGCCCTAATCCCCACTTTCTTCTGCGCCTCCTGAATCTCCTTTCATGGTTTGGGCTCTGCTCGAGGGCTTGGTGTGAGCCTCCTCGGGGCCACTTCCTAGTCTGGGCCTCCCCAGCGAGCCCCTCCCTGACCTCCCTGCTTCCAGGCTCACCCTTTCATGTCAACCCTCCTGTTTTTTTTTTTTTTTTTTTTTTTTTGAGACAGAGTCTCGCCCTGTCACCCAGGCTGGATGGAGTGCAGTGGCGTGATCTCGGCTCACTGCAAGCTCCGCCTTCCGGGTTCAAGCCATTCTCCTGCCTCAGCCTCCCGAGTAGCTGGGATTACAGGGGCCCGCCACCACGCCCGGCTAATTTTTTTGTATTTTTAGTAGAGACGGGGTTTCACCATGGTCTCGATCTCCTGACCTCGTGATCTGCCCGCCTCAGCCTCCCAAAGTGCTGGGATTACAAGCGTGAGCCACCGCGCCCAGCCAACCCTCCTTAGTGACGCTAACTTCAAGGCAGATTGTTACTCCTCACAATTCTTTCATGAGCGTGGGTTGGGGTGAGGAGACTGAGGCACCTCCCTACCAGCCCTGCAGCTCCCCAGAGAAGATGAATTTATCAGTCTTAGAAACAGGATAAACTTCATACAAATGTGAAATTGAGTTGAAATGTAAGCCACAGAGCCTTTTAGTTCTGCAACAGTTTAAACACCATCATTTTCACACCAAAAGAAACCAAAATCACCTGTCTCATGGAGTGACCTATCCTAACGTCCCATGTCCCACCCAATAAAGCCAGCAGTTCAGCCTTGCCTTGGATGATAGCCTTGGTGACCTGGCCCCTACCCTACCTTCTGGCCCAACTTCCTTCCTTAGCACCCCCTGCAGCCTTTAGTGGGAGCTCCAGGGACACCAAATGGTTTGCCCTTCTGCAGACATGACACTCCCTCTAAGCCCCCAGGTTCCTCTGCATATTCTGTGTCCCTTGCCTGGAATGTCCTCCCTTGCAAGTGCCTGTCCAACTCCCTAAGTCCCGGCCTGGATTTCACTTCCCCTGTTAATCTGTCCCCAGAGAGCAGGGCAAACCTTCCTGTCTTCTCTCACAGCTCTGAGCGCAGCCACCTTGCAGCTCGGTGGGTGGCTGTCCAGCTCTGGCCACAGATGCAGGGCTTCCTGGGGGCCTGGCTGGGCCTCTCATCCCTGCCTTACTCTTGGCACAGAGGGGGTGTTCATGTTTGTCAATTGAACAAATGAGTTGGGCCAAGGAGAAAATCGGGGCCCCTGTGTCTTCTAGGGTCTCCCAGGCCCAGAGGCTGGAATGTAAAAGGACCTAAGGAGAGGAGGTCCCCTCGTGGCCTTTCTTCACACAAACGTCGGGCTTGAGCTTGAGGCAAACTGTTTTTCCCAGAGAAAGCTGGCAGTACCAGCCGCAAGCCATGGTCATTTGAGTGGCAGCCCCCAAGTTTGCAGATTTGTCCCTGCTTCCCCAGAGACACCCCTCCATCCCCACTCTGCAGGCCACTCCCACTCAGAGGCTCTCCCTTGGGGTGAGGCTTTGGAGCTTGCTTGGGAAAAGTCCCACTTACCTCTCTGTGGCTGAAGGGCCCTTGGGCCTCACTCAATAGCAGGTCCTTCCCACGGGCTGCCAGCTCCTTGAGGATTAGGTGCTCCTCCAGGGCCGTCTGCAGGCGCCAGGGGAGGGAGGCCAGGGTGTCCCTGTGGACAGTCACCTGCACCAGTGCATAGGCCTTCCGCGGCCGCCTCACCACTTCAATGTGCTCCCGCGCCACCGGCATCTCCAGCCGCTCCAGGGTGTCTCGCAGCAGGCAGGCAAGCACCGGCACTGAGAACTGGGGGTTCAGATGGCCCACATAGAGAGTGTGCGCCGAGGGAGCCTCCTCGAGGTCAGAGTACTCCGTCAGGGACTGCTCTGCGGGTAGCTCCGGCAGGGACTCCTCACCCCAGGACTCCATGAAGGGCTCTGACACCTGTGTTTGCACTGATCTCTTCATGGGGGTCATGGGAAGGCTCTCCCTGGGAAGGGGTTCCAGGATTCCTCACTGCTGGCTGCTTCTCCCAGGGTCTGTGTTCTCAGTGTGGCTTAAGGGCTCCCAGAGGACTCAGGGAGTGTCCCGGCTCCTGGGAGGTACACAGATTGGCAGAGACTGGGCAGGGCCAGAGAGAGGGAGGGCAGAGGGCAAGCAGGAAAGGGCCTGCCACCCACCTGAGGCCTAGGATGAGAAAGCAGAGTCACGTGGACTGAGCAAGACACAGGGCCTGTGGGAAGACGGGATCTGCCCAAAAAGTGGCAGAAGGGACCAGAACTCAGGTCTCTGAGAGCTCCACCATTTCAGTGGCCCCAGGGGTCCTGTCTTCCCTCCCCAACCCACAGGCTAGGGGCCTCCTAGGTACCCTCAGGGTTTCCTGCCTACCAGTTCACTCCTGCCTCCAGGCAACAGAGAAAACCTTTACACAGGGCCTCCTGGAGAGGAGGCCTTAACCCAGGACTCTGAGGACTGGCTGGTGGCCCCATTGCAGCTTCTCTGCCTGCTCTAAAACCCCATGTGAGGCCATCGGGGGCTCTGAAACTAGGCAGCGCTGGGGCAGAGGCTTTTAGAGCAGAGGATCTCACGCTTTTTGGCACACTGATGAAAGCTATGGCCTCTCAGAAAAATGGCCTTTGCATATAAACATAACTTAAGGTGGCTCCTAGACCCTAAGAACTAGTCTAGACTGAGTCCTCCATTTTTGGTCCAGAGAGCAGAGGTCAACAGGGCAGAACGAGGGTTAGAGTTGGGGCCCTAGTGCCCCCGCCCCAAGTCCAGGGAGCCTCTGTCCTGAGCTGTGCACATATGTGCACACACCAGCCCCTCTACTGCTCCCCACACACCCAGCCTGCATCTTCTCAAATGGAATCCTTGAGGCAGTTGGCCTGGGGGCATTCAGGTCAAACAGGAAGAGGAGGAGAGGAGAGGCCTATGACCTTCATGTCCTGGTGGCTCCCGCGGGAGCATGGGAGGTGCCTGCCCTGAGCTCCCATAGCCTCCCGACCCCTGGCCGGTAGCTCTCAGGGAACTTGGAGGCTTGGCACAGGGACGGCCAGAACCAGGGTTATAGGAAGTGGGCGGGGCCTGCACAGCTACCTCTGTGATCTCATGAGGTTCAACAATGCCTTCTTGGCCAGCCACAGGCAGGCTGGGTGCGGGAAATCAAACAGGAAAACTCAGCTCCCTGTGGGTCCCACCACACACTGGAAGCAGACCCAGCGGCCCACCCACCATGCAGCTTGGCTGTGGGACACACTTCCCCACTTAGTGATGTCTCTTCAGGCCCCAGTTCCCATGCAGGTCACCTCTTGCCACCTCTTTCAGCGCTGCTGCCTAAAGCCTCCACCTCCCTCTTTAGTCAGTCACCAATCCCAGGCTCTACTGAGTACTGACAGGGCCCAGCTGCTCCCAAGATGGAGCAGGAGGCACATGGTAGGCTCCAGGGCTCCCCCTGACGCCAGGCCCTTCTCTGTGCTGGAGACAGAGGCTGCTGTCCAGAAGAGCCCTGAAAAATAGGTCAGGCGTAGCTATCTATCTCTTTGGGAAGATGAGGTTGTTACCTGCTGTTGGAGAAACCAAGACGTGGGTGACACACAGTCTTTATCAGCACAGGACTGACCAGTGCTCATCATTCTGCAGAAGGCTGGCAGCGCTTGCCCACACTGCTTCTGGAAGCCCCAATTGGGGGCAGTAAGGATGGTGCCACAGTTAGATGCTTCAACTAAGAAAGCTGTTTGACAGCGTAGAGAAGCTGCCTTCCTTGAAAGCAGCCTTTCTGAAGATGTTACCAAATGTTTGTTTCCTAGGGGGTGAGGCAGTAGTTTGGGTAGAGCACTCAAGAAAAGAGGCTATGGTGTGCGGGGAAGAGAGGGGCGCAGGCCTCAACTGGTGGCAGTGCGAGGCTCTGGGGAGAGTGCATTCGGTGCCCTCTCCTTGCCCGCCCGGGCAGCAGCCAGGTTGGGCTCGGCTTTGTGTCCACAGCTCTTAGGGTTAGAGAATGACGGCTCCAAGCTCCCCCTGCCTCACCCCCTCTCCCTCAAGCCTTTCTTGCCTCTGTCATCCATGAGGTGCCCTCACAGCAACTGAGGCTATAGCTGTTTTGAGATGGCCAACTCAAGTCGTGTTGAACTGTGCAGAAATAGCTGTCCGGGAGAAGCACCTTGACAGACGAAACACCTGAACATGACCAGAGGCGTTCTCCCTACTTACCTAGAGGCCTTGCTATTGGGTGGCTGTTCTGCATGAAATTTCCCAAATTGACTTGAGTGCAGCAACTTTCCCCACTCTTCCTGGCAGTCTCTTTAAGCCACTGCATCACATATTTCTCTGGCGCCTTTAACAGCCTTCTGTGAGCTGAATCAGTTCTACTTCTTTTTGGAGATGGGGGTAAAAATTGTCTTTCATGGTAAGCACTAAACACATTTATGAACCATCTTTTAAATACATAAATATAAGATAACAAGGTTATTTACGGTGTCTCTGGCTCTCTAGTATTAGGTAATAGTATTAGAAAGTATAGGTGCTCTGCAGGCAGCTTGGAGTGGTGGGTTCCCAGTGGGGGGATAAGCAGCCCCGTTAACCCTCTTGCTGGATGTCTGTGACCTCACTGACAAACCTCATCTTGAACTGAAGGAAAAAACCCTAGAATTTAAGCCTCTTTATGAATGTGAGGTGGGGCCCAAAGATGAGGGGCAGAGAGCTGAGCCGCTGTGGATGGCCTCTTTTCATGTTATCTGGACAGTGTCCACTGGGTGGCCCACATGGCCACAATCCCTGAACCCACAGCAGGCATGCCATCCCCTCTTCCCCACAGCTCCCACTTCACAATCTGCTGTTTGCCCAGGAAGGCCAGTCAAGGGGCAGAGGGATAGGGAAGAGGAATGAGCCCAGCCAGGTGCAGGAGAGAACAAGGATGATCAAGAAGAGCGAACTCTGGGGAGCAGAGTTACAAACATAGCTTTCCAGGTCCTGGGACCCACATCACTCCAGCCTCCCTTGGTCTCAAGCCCTCCCCTAGCGTGCTGCCTCCAGCCTGTAGATCCCCACCTGGCTCTGACAGGGCCCAGCCCCAGTTACTGCAGAGTATCTCTGACTTGAGTGGCTCCAGCCTAGTGTCTGTGCCCTGGGTACTGTGGGCTGCCAGCCTCTGTGAGCACCTGCAGTGGCTTTGGCACTGTAGGCACAGAGCCGCAGTTCTGATGCTTGGCTGTGACTGCCTCTGGGCTGAAGGCTGGAAGCTGTGGCTCTGCCCTGACGGAATGTGGTGGCAAGACCATGTCCAGTGACTCAGGGTACTTAGGTAAAGAGGCTGCAAAAAGCTGAGGGCTGCTGAGGGGAGAAGTGTTGGGACCCTCTTCTCAAGGTTTCCCACACTTTTTGTTTTGGTGGTAAAGAAGGAGGGATGATTCACCTTCAGGCTCTTGCCAACGAGGGAGTGTGGCACCAGTGTGAGGGCCGGAACAGTGTCCATTTGGCCCACCATTGCTACACCTCAGGGATCAATCTTAAGGAGTCCCATAAGACCCCCACAAAGAGTGTCTGGACAATGCAGTCCACGGCCAGCAGGCAGGGTGGAGCCACGGCTGGGGAGGGCGGAGTGTTCCAGAAAAATGCCCCACACTCCCATGGATTCGGCCTTAGGTGGGGCCTAGATCTCTGTTACCTCCCAAAGTGTTTGGTGTTTCCCTCCTGAGCTCAGCACAAAGTCAGTGTCATCTCCCTGTCCCCCCATTGAGGGTGAGCACATGAAGCTGATGCCATGAGACCTCTGGCACCTGTGCCTTTCCACCTGGTGGGCTACTGGACTGCTGGGGTTCACGGAGTGGCCTCTCCAACACTGCAGCATGTGTGCACTGGGTCTGAGGCCCGTTCGAGTGCTTTTAATGATTCTGGGTCACTATTAGAAGGCTTTTGGCTTTTGAAACAATTTCCAAAGTTGAGGGGTTTTTTTCTTTCTTAAACAACATTTAATTTTGACCCCAGAGGTTATGGCAGCGTGAATCATCCTCTCCTTTCCTGCAGAACTTGACATTTGGTTACCTTTCTAGTTCTTTTTGTCTGGAAACCAGATAAAAGTATGTTAGCTGTTTCAGTGCAACATTACTTATGGTAAGCATGATTCCTAATTGTAAATTATCAGCACTTGGAGTTTTCTGTGTGAACTATAAACACTTGTTAAAAAGCCATAAGGTTGGGCGTCCTATGTGGAATGACTCAATTGGGTATGTGGCTTATGGGGTCCCTGAAAGCTATGCCTATTGAGTTGTTCAAAGAGATATGAGCTCCTTTGGGGAATGATGCCTCTAAGCCACAGTGAACCAACCCCCTTCTCCCTGATGTGTCTCATTCCCTTGTACCTGAGCTGTCACCTGGGCAACCAAGGAGAATAACTCCTGATGACCAGAGGCTCTGTGAGGACTGCCCTCCTCCCCTGAAGAGGGCTGCTTCCCGCTGCCCTGCAGCCAGGCCATTTCTGTTTGACAGTCTTCAAAGTTAATGACATGCCCAGTGTAGCCTGCAGGGGTCTGGAGTCTGAATGGTAGCTGGATCTGAGACAAAGGCCCACGGGAGAGAGTTGCAGGCAGCAGGACATGTACCCCTTAACAGCTATGGAATTAACCTCTCTAAGCACCTGTAAGATAGGGAAACAGTAGTTATACTATAGGACTGTTGTGAGGTTTCAGTGGGATAGTGTAGAAAAACAACTCAGCACAATGAGTTCTCACAACAATGCTCAGTAGGAAGTTACATACTCTTGGCGAAGAGGGTAAGGTGGGGTGGGTGCCCAGCTTTGCAGCATGTCTGGCCTGCCTACATATGCCAGTGTCACCTTTAGTCCCTGTGTCTTGAGGGTCACATCTAGAAGTTTGTTGTTAGGGTTCAGCAAGGTGCTCATTGGGAATACCCTGAATGAACAGCACAGTCTACAAGATCCCAGTGTTGGCCGGGTGCGGTGGCTCAGGCCTGTAATCCCAGCACTTTGCGAGGCCAAGGCAGGCGGATCACTTGAGGTCAGGAGTTCGAGACCAGCCTGGCCAAGATGGTGAAACTCTACTAAAACTACAAAAAATTAGCCAGGCATGGTGGCGTGTGCCTGTAGTCGCAGCTACTTGGGAGGCTGAGGCATGAGAATCACTTGAACTCGGGAGGCGGAGGTTGCAGGGAGCCGAGATCGTGCCACTGCACTCCAGCCTGGGCGACAGAGACACTGTCAAAAAAAAAAAAAAAACCCCAGTGTCAAGGAGTTGGTAGAAAATGAGGGCCTCAACTTGTTTGGCAGCCTTGACCCTGACTGTTTCACAGTGACCATGGTTAGAACCTCACAGTGGCCAAGTAGAAAATATATTCTAAGTAAGTTATGATATTGGAACTTGTCACTGGTGAAAGCTTGAAGGGCCTTCACAAGTCTCCTCATGCAAATACCCCATAGCCAGATGGGCCCAAAGAAAGGAAATGACCCACCCAAAGCTTCCTGGCACATAGGTGGGCTGGCTAGAACCTCAGCCTTGCAGTCAAATGTCTGCTTTGGCACTTCCTGCCTGTGTGACCTGAGCTTAAGTTTCCTTATCCATAAAATGGGTTTGTTGTGAAGAGTAAGTGAGATAGTTCTAATTCATGTAAGCAGCTCATGTGGCACACAGTGATATAAGTGTTGGTGGTGGTTATTATCAGGTTATACTGCACTGACCTGCTGCTCCCCTATGCCTTCTCTTCCTCCTGCAAACCCTATACTCCAATTATAAACACGACGTGTGGCCCTGGAGTTGTGTGCCTGGCCCCTGGTCAGCACAAGGGGTACAGTGCAGGCCTGACCTGGCTGTGCTGGCCTGCATCTTTCCCCACCCTATATGGGTGAGGATATGCCCAGCCACTGAGGCTCCTAGGAGTTGCTGATGTAAGATTGCTCCCTCCTGCTCTGGCTTTGCATAGCTGCTGTGCTTACTACTGTCTAGCTGCACCAGAGCAAAGCCCTTTGAGGGTGGAGACTGGATTCACATACTGACTTTCCAAGGGGCCTGTGTGATGCTGGGGCTCTGGTGGACATTCGGAAGACCACCTGTTCTTTAGGGACTGCTGGAATTAGAAGGACGCTTAGGAATCATTTTTTCCAAGCTCTCCATTTTATTTATTTGAGACAGGGTCTCAAATTGTCACCTAGGCTGGAGTACAGTGGTGCGAACACGGCTCACTGCAGCCTCGATCTCCTAGGCTCAAGCCATCCCCTCACCTCAGCTCCCCAAGCAGCTGGGACTACAGGTGTGCGCCACCACAGCAGGCTAATTTTTGTATTTTTTTTTTGTAGAGCTGGGGTTTCACCATGTTGCCCAGGCTGGTCTCAAACTCCTGAGCTCAAGAGATCCTCCCACCTTGGCGTCCCAAAGTGCTGGGATTACAGGCATGAGCCAGCGTGCTCGGCCTCGTTTTATGTATGAGAAAACTAAGACCAAGAGAAGGGGAATGACTGGTCCAATGAATGCGTAGTGATTTGGCTGTTAACTGATTAAAAAGACACTGGTATCTATATTGGTTTTTATTTATAAACAGATTGACATAAAATAAGTCCAGATGGCAGCGTGAGTAGCTGTGCTGCTGACTTGCTTACAAGGAAGCCTGTGGACAGGCGAGTGGGTGGAACCGACTCCAGCCTGGAAAACCTGCCCTCCCATCCCCCTTAGCGCCTTCTTGGCCTTCCGGCCTGATTTTCTTCGACAGCAGTTCTGGCCAGGGCAAGGAGCTGTGGTGGGGGCAGTATAAGCCAGGGACTCCCTTCCCACAGATGAGGCCTAGGGCTGCAAAAGGGCCCCGTGAAGAGAGGAGAAGGTGACAGGGATCCTTCTCCTCCCCATATGGAGTGATGTGGTCAAGGCTTTATGGGTCTCTCCACCTCAAAGAGAAAGTGCCCTAGGGTAGTGTCCTCTGAAGAGGGGCCACGCCTATCTGCAGAGGGCCTCTCTGGGACCAAAGCAGGGCAGTCTCCCTCCTCCTGAAACCCAGTGTCTAGTGTGGGAGGAGTATTAACTACAGGGTTTGCCCAAGTGCCAGAAACAATAAATTAACAATAAGATCTTTTTGTAAAAAAGGTAGAGGTTTGCACCACGAGTTTGGATTCAGGGGAATCTGGTGAGAAGGTACGAGCTGTGGGGCGATGGGGTGCCACAGCAAGACCAGGACAGAGTTGGCCTTTTCCTCCATCACGTGGAAGGCATTCAGCCTAAACTCCTGGTGAGAGGCCAGCCAGGGTTGAGAAATAAATAGAGGGACCTTAGAGCCCCGGCAGAGCTGAGGGAAGAGCAGCACCAGCCCTGGACCCCCACTCTCCCTCCTCAGTCCTTCATGGAAGGACTTATCATGGCAGCTGTGGCTAGGAGTGGTGGCTCCACACAGCCTCTTGGAGTCCTGAGGTGGCCCGGAACCCCACTGAGGTGCCTGGGGTGGGCTGATGCCCCTCATTCCTAGAAGAATGCCCCCACCTGCTGCCACTTGGTTGTCTAGGCTGCCTCTCCTGGTTCAGAACTTGCCCTGCTTCAGCCGGTCAATGTGGTAGGAGAGCTTGAGTGCAGGCCCCAGCTTCAGGCCCATGTACTTCATCATCATGTCACTGCGCAGCAGCAGCAGGGCCTTGCCATCGATCTCCTGGGGGGTGGGGAGGTGGGCAGAAGTGGAAGGGAGGCACCATCAGAGTCCTGGTTGGTCTGACCACCCCAGGTTCTGATTATAGGCCATCCTGGGAAGTGCCCGCCACATGGAGTCCAGTTCACCTGCTGTGATGCTGAAGCCTACCTGTTCTCCTCAGCCTTTGTCTCTAAGCATCCCTCCTCCCCAAACATCTCGTATTGTCCCCACCAGGTGAGGCTCTCCACACAGGTTCCTACTGAGAGGTCAGGCAGCAGCACCTACGTGTTTGCGAAACAGGTCAGCGTGGGGTCCAAGCTGAGGATCAGCTTCCCGGACAAACTGCATCACATCCTCGACTGTCCATGAGGAGGGGTCCCGGCCACTCAGTCGAGAGGCATCGCGGCTCTCCAGGTATCGGTCCGACCCTGCAGGACAGGAGGGCACCTACCATAAAGGGCGGGGACTGGTTTGTAAATCCCCACCACTCTCCTTGGCACATCTCAGTGGCCTTCTAGGTGATGCTCACAGTAGTGCCAGACGATGAGCTGAGGAACTGGAGATAGCTGGGGGAGGGAAGCATTTCTTCACAAAGGGAAAGCCAAATCTTTGTTTTTTAAGGGTAGATCTGATTTTTGGAAATGGCCAGAAGAAATTTTGCATTGAGGCTATGATTCAGCCCAAACCTGAGACAGTGGTACCAACATGGTAAGGGGACTATTTGGGTGTCTGGGGGGCCTGGTGAGTGGGGCTGTTTTTGCCTTGGCTCTGGGGGACCATTTCTAGAGAGACTGGTAGCCTGGTAAGATTAGAGACAAATCCTTGGCACGTGGGCAAAAAATACCCTGGATTCTTTTCCAAGGCCTGGAGAATAGGTGACCTCATTACAGCCTGATACACTAAGGCAGAAGCTGGTTTTTTGGTTTCTTTGAGATGGAGTCTCGCTCTGTCACCCAGGGGCTGGAGTGCAGTGGCGCCATCTCAGCTCACTGCAACTTCTGCCTCCCAGGTTCAAGCAATTGTCCTGCCTCAGCCTCCTGAGTAGTTGGGATTACAGGCATGCAGTAATTTTTGTATTATTAGTAGAGACGGGGTTTCACCATGTTGGCCTGGCTGGTCTTGAATTCCTGACCTCAAGTGATCTGCCTGCCGTGGCCTCCCAAAGTGCTGGGATTACAGGCGTGAACCACCGCGCCCAGCCACAAAAGTTTTTGCTTTGGCTGCCAGGAATCTCAATGTTAATTTAGTGTTTTGCTTGGAGCTTTCATCTCAATTTTGACTCAGATATAACGCCTCCTGTTTCCCCTGTGGGATTTGGGATCTCTGTATTTTGACTATCATCTGTCAGAGATCTTTTACATGTTTTATTCTCTCTGCTTGGAATCTGTCCCCTTCTCTCCCTTCAATTTTTAATTTTCTTTGGGCAAACTTCAACTTAACTAAGCAGGTCTCGGCTTCAAGGATCAGTTCCTTTATGAAACTTTTCTGGTCAAATACTGAAATAAATGGTCTCACAAAGTATTTAGTATATTCTTGGTTACAGATCATTCTGTACCATTTTCCCCCATCACACCATGCTAGTAATCTCTATTCTCCATGAAGCAGTAAAGGAACCTTTAAAAAGCAATAATTAGGATGGGCATCATGGCTCATGCCTATAATCCCAGCACTTTGGGATGCTGACATGGGAGGATTGCTTGAGCCCAGGAGTTCAAGACCAGCTTGGGCAACAAAGCAAGAACCCCATCTCTACAAAAAATTTTTAAAAATTAGCTGGTATGGTGGCACATGCTTGCAGTCCTAGCTACTCAGAAGGCTGAGGCAGGAGATCATTTGATCCCAGGAGTTCCAGGCTGCAGTGAGCTGTGAGCGCCATTGCAGTCCAGCCTGGGTGACAGAGCGAGACCCTGTCTCAAAAAAAACAAAAACAAAAACAAAAAGAGCAGTAATTGAACCATGTCAACCCCTTCTAAAAACTCAATGCAGTGGCCTCCCTTTGCATATGAAATGAAATCTGAACTCCTTCCTGTGCTTGCCAGCATCTATGAGGTACTCCATCAGCTCAGCCTTCCTACCTTCGGCCTCATTTCACTCTGCAGCCCCTGCCCGCAACTTACCCCTTACTCGCCGTGCTTCAAACACACTAGCCTTCTTTCTGCTTCTTGAATAAGTCAAGCATTTATCCTCTGACATGCAATTTCCTGGGTCTGGAATGTTCTTTTCCCAAATCTTTTCATGCCTGACTCCTTCTCAACATTTGGTTCTTACCTCAAATATTGATTCCACAGAGAGGCCTTCCCTGATCTCCTAGTAAAAATGCTCAATTCCCCGCACAGTTCTCTACAATCCAATTACCCTAGTTTCCCCCTACCCCCACACAGTACATATCGTTACCTAAAATAATTTCATGGACTCATTTATTTTATGTTTCTTATCTGTCTCCTCCCTATACAATATAAGCTCTCTCTTGTTCCTTGCTATGTTGCTGACACATAAAAGAGTGCCTGGTCTGCCACAGTAGATGTTCGAACACATCTGTTAGATAAATAATGATCACAGATAATAGTTACTTGTATATTTTTCTTTCTCTCCAACCAGACTATGTCTCTATTGAGGCAGGGTCCTTGCCTTGCTCACGTCTGTATCTACAG
Source organism: Homo sapiens (assembly GCF_000001405.40). Classification (NCBI taxonomy): domain Eukaryota; kingdom Metazoa; phylum Chordata; class Mammalia; order Primates; family Hominidae; genus Homo; species Homo sapiens. The sequence continues at coordinate 41,030,950 of NC_000001.11, forward strand.
CATCCAGAGGTGCCTTGTTGCAAACTATCAAGTGGCAGAGCTAACACACACCTGTACACTGAGTGCAGTGGCTCACGCTGTAATCCCAGCACTTTGGGTGGCCAAGGCAGGAGGATCGCTTGAGGCCGGGAGTTTGAGACCAGCCTGGGCAACATTGCGAGACCCTGTCTCTACAAAACAAGTAAAAAAATCAGCTGGGTGTGGTGGTATGCACCAATAGTCCCAGCTACTCAGGAAGCTGAGGTGTGAGGATGGCTTTAGTCCAGGAATTCAAGGTTAACAGTGAGCTATGATCATACCACTGCACTCCAGCCTGGGTGACAGAGTAAGATCCTGTCTCAAAAACAAACAATAAACAAACAACCACCCCCCTCCCCCACCGCCACCACACACACACACCTGTTAAAGTAAAAGGGCCTAATATTTAACTCTCTCCGGCAAAGGCTAAGAATCTCCTCCCATTTGCCTTCATTCTGGGTCCCGGGCCTAAAAAGTCAAAGTACACTTTGTCTGGCCTGGCCTAGTCCAGCCCCTTTTGGAGCAGAGATTCTAGCATATTGTCTTTTCAAGCTTATAGTTGGGCACTGGGGAGAGGTATGCTAGAGCCAGCAGGGGCTGCTTAGAGTCACAGAAATCCCAGTGGCTTTTTGGAGGTGTTAACAGATGGAAAGTTGGAGGGGGCTCTGTGAGCCAGTCACTTCTCCCTGTCTTAAAAGTCTACTGTGATGCTAAGAGAGAAACCAAGTGCAGAGAGGCTCTGGAGAACAGAGAGAAGATATGGGGAGAGAGTGTATATGCAAGAATGTGTCTTTCTTGGACCACCTTAGATAATTCCTCTAATCAGAGGCTAGATACCATATATACATACATACATGATATTATACACACATATATATGATAGTATATATAAATACACACATGCTACTGACTGAATATGTATCCCCTCAACATTCCCATGTTGAAATCCTACCCCTCCCTACCCACATGATAATATATATTAGGAGGTAGGACCTCTGGGCAGAGCCCTCATGAATGAGATTAGTACTCTCATCAAACACGGTGCAGAGAGCTCCCTTGCCCCTTTGGCTGTGCGAGGTTACAGTGAGAAGATGGCTGTCTATGAACCAGGAAGTGGGTCCTCATCAGACACCAAATCTGCTGGTGCCTTGATCTTGGACTTCCCAGTCTTCAGGACTGTGAGAAATAAATTACTGTTTATAAGCCACCCAGTTCATGGTACTTTGTTAGAGCAGCCCAAATGGACTAAGACGACCCACATATTTAATACTACTATATATTTATATGCTTGTCTGTCAGCCTACTCCCATTAGAATATAAACTCCATGAGGGCAGGTGGTAGGAAGTTGCTAATTTATATGGTGATTAGGAGAGATGTCTCCGAAATGATGAAATTTGAGCAAAGACCTTGAGGCAGAAGAGCAAATAGCACATGTAGGATTTAGCAGGAAGGCCAATGTATCAGAACAAAGTGAATGAGGGAGAAAGTGGTGTGAAATAACACTAAGAGGCATGGATGTGTGTGTTGAGGAAGAGGAGGGAAGTGGCAGTGAAGATAACAGAGGACCCTGTACACCATGGAAAACCACTGGCTTTTCTGAGTGAAATAGGTAGGTTTTGAGCACAGGAGTTACATGAACCAACTTGCAATAAGAAGGATCACTCTCATTGTCTATGTTGGTAACAGACTTCAGGGGGACATGGAGAGGCCAGTTAAGAAGGAGGCTACTGGCCAGGCATGGTGGATCATGCCTGTAATCGCAGCACTTTGGGAGGCCGAGGTGGGCAAATCACGAGGTCAGGAGTTCAAGGCCAGCCTGGCCAACATGGTGAAACCCCGTCTCTACTAAAAATACAAAAAATTAGCAGGGCGTAGTGGCAGGCACCTGTAATCCCAGCTACTCGGGAGGCTGAGGCAGGAGAATTGCTTGAACCCAAGAGGCGGAGGTTGCAGTGAGCCGAGATTGCGCCACTGCATTCCAGCCTGGGCGACAGAGTGAGACTCTGTCTCAAAAAAAAAAAAAAAAAGACAGAGGCTATTAGGCCAGGCACAGTGGCTCATGCCTATAATCCCAGCACTCTGGGAGGCTGAGGCAGGCAGACTGCTTGAGCCCAGGAATTTGAGACCAGCCTGGGCAACATGGTGAAACTCTGTCTCTGCAAAAAATTAGCTAGGTGTGGTGGTGCATGCCTGCAGTCCCAACTACTTGGAAGGTAGCTTGAGAGGAAGATCGCTTGAGCCCAGGAGGCTGAGGTTGCAATGAGCCATGATTGAGCCACTGTACTCCAGCCTGGGTGACACAGTGAGAGACACTATTAAAAAAAAAAAAAGGAGGCCATTATGATAAGCCAGGCAAGAGACCACTGTGGCATGAACTACCAGGGTGGCAGTGGTAAAAAGGTGACCTGATATATCAACAATATTCTATAAAGAACCCCCACCATTGTCAACTCATTTGACCTTTAAAATAGCCCTTGAAGGAGGCGTTATCACCATCTTTAGTTCAGAGGGGAGGGGTGAAAAGAGAGAGGAAGTGACTTGCCCTGTCTTTTCCTATTCCCTCTGCAGACAGCCTATGGCAAAGCTCTCCCCATCGCCCCTCAATGTGTACGGCTGGCACTTACTCTTCAAGGAGGGCTTGTTGTCTCAGTCTGAGCATGACTAAGGCAGTTGAGGCACATCCACAAGAGGCCAACTAACAAGCTCATGCCTAATCATCCTGGTTAATGCAGTAAGAGAGGAAACAGACTCAACATCCAAATTCTTTAAGACAAATAATTCTAGGGCCAGCCGAATGAATCTTTTCATAGCCTTATGAAGACCATCAGGCTGTAAAGAGATTTATACAATGACCTGGCAGACAGACTCATGGTGGGTTTCCAAGGAAAATTGGAGATGCTTAGGGAACAACAGTACCATCTGAGGCCAGTGCCAGGAGGGCAGCCTATCACAAAGTACTCTTCTCAGAAACAGGGCCTTGGGGAAGATAAAAATAACAGTAACTCCCCTCATACCTGGGGAACGATTTAGTTTCCAAAATGATTCCATATCCCTTCTTTCATTTGATCCTTTTAACACTCCTGTGGAAAGACCAGGTTGGTGTCACCATCTCCAGTTTGCACATGAGGAACATTCTGCATATGAGGAAGACCTGAGAGGTGAGATGACTGACTCAAGTCTCAAAGCAAGGGAGCCGAGGCTAGAATCAGCGCTCAGCTCTGCCTCTCTACTTGAGAGCCCTTTAGATTCCATTTTGCTGCCCTGCTCGGGTTGGGGTGGGGGGAGGGGCACCACAGGCTTCTTCCCATGATTCAGCCTTCCTGAAAGCTCTCTCCGCTGAGGTGACTTTTTTTCTTTTCTTTTCTTTTTTTTTTTTTGAGACGGAGTCTCACTCTGTCCCCCAGGCTGGAGTGCAGTGGCGTGATCTCGGCTCACTGCAAACTCGGCCTCCTGGGTTCACACCATTCTCCTGTCTCAGCCTCCTGAGTAGCTGGGACTACAGGTGCCCACTACCACGTCCGGCTAATTTTTTGTATTTTCAATAGAGACAGGGTTTCACCATGTTGACCAGGATAGTCTTGATCTCTTGACCTCGTGATCCACCCTCCTCGGCCTCCCAAAGTGCTGGGATTACAGGCATAAGCCACCGTGCCCGGCCGAGGTGACTTTTTTTCATTGCAGGCTCTGCTAATGGAGTCTTCCTATACTTTCACACCTCACTCATGCGTCCCTGGGCTGGAGGAGGCTGGAATCAGGGTGTGGAAGTGACATTCTCCTGGCTCCCCACTGCTGCTTCTAGACCATCCTCCTATGAAAGCTCATGTTCTTCAGAGGCCAAACATGTACCCAACCATTGGCTCTTCCTTCTCACTGTTACTCATAGATATCTGGGTTTCTGCCCCTTGGTAAATGAAGACTTTTTGTTACTTAGCTCACTACCCACTGTTCCACCCCAACTCCTGCTCTAATCCTTGGAGGCAATCCAGCTACCATGCCTCCAGTGACTCTCACCTCCATTCTACTCCAAATACCTACTGCCAACACCACTGTCTGATTCTTGCAATCCCTTGGAATAAATCCACTTCAGAATTTTAAGCATCCCATTCTCTGACCCCAACCTTCCATCTTTTCAGCTCTCTTGGGACGTATGTCCACTGTAACCATTATATCACAAAGTTCTTTGGCATGTCAAACTTTCCATTTTCCCTATCCTGATTTAGCCTTGCATCCTTCCTACCCTGACTGCCTTCCCAGATGTAGTGGTTGATGACTTAAACTGCTCTTCCTGATTCCTGATTTCTTTACATACTCTCCCCCTTCCTCCCAGCTCTTGCTCTACTAGCTCAGCAAAAAAGCCCTTAATTCTCAAGCTGTCTTTTCTCATCCCATACCTACTAGGTTGCTAAGAATCACAGAAGAAAACCATAGCTTGTGCAAACTGGCCAACTAGTCTCCAAGCATAGTTGGGCCCTGAGGTTTCCTGCAAATCATCCCCTTTTCTTTGGTCCATTTTTCCCCATCTTCTTTAAGACTAGTCCAGTCTATCAGCGCTCCTAACCCCTTCCCTGACCAGGCCTTTCTCTATTCACTGATGGACACACTCAATCTTCCCTCCTCTCTCAGAGAAAGTGTGCCTCCTTTTGGCTTAAGACTGATGCCTCTGCCTATGCCCTTGATCCCACCACTCCTGAAGCCTAACTTTCTCCTCTTTCCTATATTCTTAATTGCTACTTTTTGGAAGGTGCAAGCTGTCTGCTGACATACGTGCTTGAAGGGCTCCCATTCTGAAAGATCTTCTTTGACTTAGAGTCCTACTCATCACCAGCCTTTTTTTTCTCATCAAAGTCCCCAGCACAATCTGCCTTCACCCCTCCACCACAGCACCAAGGCTGCTTTCGCTAAGATCCACCAATTACCCACTAATGGTGGAATCCAATAGATGTTTCTCAGTCCCTTTTTTGCCAGAACTTTGTTATGCTGTGCTCTCCTTCAAATACTCTCTGTAGTCCTGGCCACCACAATATCAAATTCTTCTCACTTTGAATTTTCTAAATTTTCCCTCACTTTGAATATTCCTTTTTCTCCTTGGTGGGCTCACCTTCCCGTTCTCACCTCCTAAGCTTTGTTGGTTCCCAGGACTTCATCTTTGGTTAACTGTTATTTTCATTCACTACATACTTCTGAGAAGTGAGTATCATTCACCCTAAAATTTCAACTGCTGTTTATACACTGGTGACTCCTAAATATTTAACTTCAGCCCAGCACTCTTCCCTGAGGATTGGATCTGCATAGCCACTGCCTGTTAGATGTCATCTATATGACCATGGGCTCCCCCACCTTCCTTCTCTTCTATGGTGGGTTCCCTCTCTCAGTGGATGGCACCACCATCTATCTGGCCACATCTAGAAACCTGGGAGACAGTCCTCACTCCCTTCTTCCTCACATCTGATTAAATCCTCAAATCTGATTAAATTTGCCTTGTGAACAGTTTTCAAATCCACTCTCTCTTCTCCAAACCTTCTGTCTCTGCCCTAACCCAGGCCTTTGTCACTTCAGATCTGGCCCACTCGAGTAACCTCCTAACTTGTTTAGGTTTCTCTAGTTTTGTCCCTCCTCAAATCCATGCTCAACACAGTAGTCAATAATCTATTCAAAACAAAAACCTGTCTTGCCTCTAATTAAACGCCCATTTAAGGTCTTCTATGATATATGCCTTGACCTTTCCAGGCTTTTCTCTTTGAGTCTCAGTATTACATTTTATGGTTGAGCAATTCCAAATTGCATGCAGTTCCTGGTATAATCAGTGCTATTTCTTATTCTTTTGCCCTTATTCATGTTGCCCCTCTTCCTGGAAAGCTCTCCCTCCTCTACCAGCCCTGATATGGCCATTTATACAGTCTCAGGCAAGGCATCATTCCCTTAAGAAAGTGTCCCTTGAACACCAAGCTTGGGTTAGGTATTCCTTCTTGTAATTTTCATATTACCCAAAGCATATGTCTGTCACTGCACTCAAGACATTGTTTAATAATTATCTGTTTACGTGTCTCTCTCACCATAATACCTTGAAGATAAAAAGTGACTGATTTTTGCTTCCCCATGCCAAACACAAATGGAGTTCAAATAAATAGTTAATGGATGAATGAGTGAATGAATCCTTCCCTGTCCCTTTTGGGTCTAGGTCTTTGGCTCTTAGTTTCTGTTATGCTCAAGCCAATCCTGGAGCTCCAATTACCTCCCAGGTGCAAGGCCAGGCACAAGAGTAAGTCCAGTCCCTAGTCCCACCACCAGGCAGAGGGCAACAGAGCTAGGTCCTCTCTGGCCTCCCAGAGCTCAGGAAGGAAGTGAAGGAAAGAGTGAGGGAGGGAAGGAGGGCCAGGACTCTGGTAAGCTTACCCCTGGAGCATAGCCTGCGCACAGCTGAGGCAGTGCTTGGTGGGAGGCCACAGGATGAAAGCAAGGGCCGGTGCCTTTGGGAGGTGCTGACAAGGTTGGTGGGATTTGAGGCAGAGTCCATTGAGTCTGAGTGTGGTTCCAAGGAGCGGGCCAGACTATTCCCCAGGACAAAGGTTTCACCTGAAAAACAGTAAAACCAGAGTTAGAGCTTAGAAGGACTGCCAGAGTGCTGGCTCCCAGATACCTGTTTGAGTGGAGCAAGCAGCAACAACAGAGAAAGCCCTGGGCAGGGACTCAGGAGGCCTGTGTACCAGTCATGGTTGTGGCTGTCATGAGGTGACCTTAGTCAAGCTCAGTGCCACTCTCTGGACTTTGGTCTCTTTAGAAATTCTTTCTCTTAGACTAGATGGTCTTTGAGGCTTTTTCTGGTCTAGATGCCCTATGCTTTTTCTTGATAAGGAACATCTTAAACAAATGGAGCTATTCTAGGATGGAAGATACTGCCTTAGACACAACATGCTAGAGCTGGGACACATTGCTTAGATGAAGGTACTTTAAAAGGTGACCCTCTGCTCAACCATCTGGACATGTCAGAAATGCTTCTTGATGCTTGGTTAAAGGCTTGTTTGTAAAGAATCTGCTCCTATGTTCCATCTCTCATTTTGTATTTGCCCTATTCTACAGAAACACTTCAAGGAAGCTGGGGTTGATGAGCGGTGAGCTTGGGCATGGAGATGAGAATCGGGTATAATCTGGCTCTGCCACTCAGCAGAGTGCTTCTCGGAGCATGTTAGTCTCCTCATCTACAACATGGGAAGCCCCTTTCTTCCAAGGAGTTTGTGAATATCACAAAAGAATGGCTATGAAAGTCTTTCCTTGTAAAGGGAATCTTACCGTGATGTTTCTATACCCAGTCCATGGCCCAACACCAGGCGGCAGCACCCAATCACTGTACAAAGAACCCGAAGCAGATTCCTCATGACTGGGTTCTACCCAAACCAAATCAGTTCCTCAGCCTAGGCCACAGCTTCTCTGCTTGTGGAGGGTGTCTTGAGTACTGGAGCATAACACTGTCCTTTATCATTTTTCAAAGACATCAAGTGTTTAGGTAATGCTTGGGATTCATTCGGAGCCTCTGATGAACACTAAATTTGAGCACATGGTTTGGCACACAGTAAGGCCTCAATGTTAAGATGGTTTAGGATTTTAGGACTGCTTTCTAATACTTACCTAAAATTGCTTGGCAACTATGAGCTCAAAGTAAAATCTAGGATTAGACAGCTATTTACCTTTATATCAAGGAGGCTAATTGTTGAAACCCTTTCCTAGAAGTGGTTCTGAAAAGATAAGTCTGAGGGTCCATAATACCTAAGCCATATCCCACCTCCTTCTGCAGATGAGGGTTCTGTCTCCTATTTTCCAGGAAAAATGACTAACAGGGTCCCATTTTGAGACATGAATGGGAATCCAATCCAGGATATAGGAGACCTGGGTTCTATACCTGGGCTCCTGCCTTTCACTAGGTATGTGATTCTAGACAAGTAGCTTGTCTTCTCTAAGCACCAGTTTCTTCATGTGTAAAATGGGGAAAAATCATCCCCTATCATGCTGAGAACATCAAATGAGAAAATGGAATGGGAGGAACTTTATGAATGTGAAAAATTGTTATTTTGTATTTCATTCGGAGTTGAAGTGGCAAATCTAAGCTGTCTGTGATAGTACAAGAAAAATATTTCATCCAGTTTCAGCATTTATCAGCAGGGTAACCTCACTCTTCTAGTTCTCATTTTATTCAGCTAAGACTGGGGATAGTATTGTCTGCCTCACATGAGCTAACAGATGTGAAGAATAATTATGATGACAAAGCCAGAGGCTTACCAGATGCTGATGCAAACCATTGAGTGTCTCTTCCTTTCAGCAATGCTAAGAACACTGAGACGTAGATTCTGAGTTGAAGGGTCTGAAAATCTGGACTGATGGCAAGTCATGAAATCTTATCCTAATGAGATGTACTGAAAGCATCATGCTCCAAAGCTCTGGGGGGTCCTAGTCCTGACAAGGCTGATCAGACGAGGCTCTCTTTGGTAGGACAGTGCCAGAAAAGAAGATTGCAAATACTTTTTTTTTTTTTTGAGACAGAGTCTCACTCTATCACCCAGGCTGGAATACAGTGGCACAACTCACTGCACTCCTCTGCAACCTCCACCTCCTGGGTTCAAGCAATTCTTGTGCCTCAGCCTCCCAAGTAGTGCATGCCATCATGCCCCACTGATTTTTTTTTTTTGTATTTTTAGCAGAGATGGGATTTTGCCATGTTGGCCAGGCTAGTCTTGAACTCCTGGCTTCAAGTGATCTGCCCACCTCGGTCTCCCAAAGTGTTGGGATCACAGGTGTGAGCAACCACACCTGGCCTGAAGACTGCAATACTTTCAAACTGTGTTCTACAGAGCCCTGTGGAACCTCCACAGGGAGGCCAAGTAAATAGGGTTATGGGCCTCATCCAAGCTTCTATCAAAACTACTCTGGTTTTAATTTTTATGCACTGGAGTGTATACAAATTTTATATATAATTTTACCTTTGCCAAAAAACTTTTTTTTTTTTTTAAAAAAAGGAGTTCTACTGGTAAAACAAAACAAACTTTGAAATCACTGGTGCAGGTGTCAAAGACTGGGGCTGGAAGACTTGATTAGTCAATGATCACTGCCTTTTTACAGGATTCCTTTGCCCATCTATAAAATGGAGAGGAAAAATGCTTAAACTTCCTAGGGTCAATGTAAAATATACTATTGATATGCTGCAGATATGGGAGCAACTGGGATCAAACAAACATTTGTTGAGCACCCTTTGTGTGTGTGACAGCCACTATACTAGTTATGGTACATGCAGAGGTAAACAAATAGATAAGGACCTAGCCCTTATGCATGTATTTTCAGTGAGAAGCAGCTCTTCTCAGAGTATCACATTGCAAAGCTGACCTTAAAAATTAGAGTTCCCAGTGGAGGATGATCAGAGTGGTGGTGAGGAACCTCAAGATCATGGCAAAGGGGAAAGGCAACGGGAAGGCATCGTCCGGAGAAAAGTCAAGGGAGAGAAACACCCTAAGGGCAGTCATGGGAAAAGAAGAAGATTGGAGGTAGATTTGCTCTTTTGGAATACAGAGAGTAGAATGGGGGCAGGAGTTGTAAGAAGGCAGATTTCAGCTTTAAAAGGAGGGCATTTTGGCTGGGCATGGTGGCTCATGCCTGTAATCCCAGCACTTTGGGAGGCCGAGGTGGGTGGATCACCTGAGGTTGAGAGTTCGAGATCAGCCTGACCAACATGGAGAAACCCCGTCTCTACTAAAAATACAAAATTAGCCGGGCGTGGTGGTGCATGCCTGTAATCCCAGCTACTCGGGAGGCTGAGGTAGGAGAATCGCTTGAACCCGGGAGGTGGAGGTTGCAGTGAGCTGAGATCGTGCCATTGCACTCCAGCCTGGGCAACGAGAGTGAAAGTCTGTCTCAAAACAAAAAACAGAAAACAAAAAACAAAAACAAAACAACAACAAAAAAAGGAGGGCATTTTAGCAATCAGAACTGCCCAACAATAAAATCAATTGCCAAAGATAGAGAGAACCTGTCATCAGGAATATTTAAGCAGAGGTCAGATGACCACCCTCATGTGTTGGGCTAGATACTAGATTATCTCTAGAGTACTTTCCACTTCCAAGATACAAAGATTCCATGCTCATAACCGAGCTTTCCCCTTTATGGGTGTGAACTGAGTGACCAAGGAACTAGAGATGTTGATCTAAGAAAATTCTTACACCAACGCAGGACCCAAAGACATAGCATAGTCCTTGTGCATGTTTACATCACTCTCAGTGTTTAAAAAAAAAAAATCCCTCTCTGAACCACTTCCCACATCGTTTACTGCTCTTTCATTCAACAAATACTATTAATTACTTACCATATGACAGTTAGGATGATGGATACTGAGAATGGTGAAAAAGATATTGTCTCTATCCTCATGGAACATTTACTATAGTGAGGCAGATGACAAAATACAGGTAGCTAAAAATATTAGCAACTATTATAATTATAACAAAGGAAAGAAACAGGATATTAAGATGGACAGTATCAGGTGCATCTCTTTTGGATGAGGAGAGCCTTGGAGGTCTTCCTGACACCTTGAAGTTTAAGCTGTGGTCCCACGAAGGTCCACCTGAAAAGCGGACGTGTGCCAGACAGTGTGCTTCAGTGAATTATGAGCATTTGCGTCATCTTAAAACTCTGACAATTCTAGGCTGGAAACCTATGTGGGAATCAGAGCACATCCTGATATTTCAGTTTTTATTTGGCTTTAACCACTGTGAATCTTGGGATTTGGGCAGGAGAACCACTTTATAACTAACTCACAAGACCAGGATGACAACTGGAAAGAAAGGCACAAGGAACCAGTGTCATGGGCAATGAACCACTTCCTCTAACAGAGAGGAACCTGAGAATCCCAAAACAGCAGACTCAGAGTTTAATGCTGGGTAGATTTCAATTACAGCTAAACTTAATAGTCACTGGGACCAGTGAAATCAATACAATCTCCTGCTTAATACTGTCCTAACAATCTCCTGCCTCATACTGAGCCACTGCACCCGGCCGGGCCTCTTTTACTTAGTCTTCACAAGCCACTTACTTGATCTAGCCACATGTATAGTTCTGCTCTGACATCACCTCCCCCAGGAATCCTCCCTTGACCTCTTCTTTCACCATACTCCTGGCTCATCATGCCTTGCTGGGCCAGAGTACCTCTGTGCTCTGCTTTCACCACATACATGTTCATATTGTCCCTAATACTGAAGGTAGGGACAATATCTTTGTCACCATTCTCAGTATTTTTTAGGGTGCCAGAAGGGGCTTTTTTTTTTTGAGATGGAGTTTCGCTCTGTCATCCAGGCTGGAGTGCAATGGTGCGATCTCAGCTCACTGCAACCTCCGCCTCCCAGGTTCAAGCGATTCTCCTGCCTCAGCCTCCCAAGTAGCTGGGATTACAAGCATGCACCACCACGCCCAGCTAATTTTTGTATTATTAGTAGAGACAGGGTTTCACCATGTTAGCCAGGCTGGTCTCGAACTCCCGACCTCAGGTGATCCACTTTTGGCCTCCCAAAGTGCTGGGATTACAGGCATGAGCCACTGTGCCTGGCTGGGCCTCTTTTAGTTTTCACCAGCCTCTTATTTGATCCAGCCACATGCATAGTTCTGAAGAAGAGACTCTGCTCTGACATTGCCTCCCCCAGGAATCCTCCCTTGACTTCTTCTTTTACCATACTCCTTGCTCATCATGCTTTGCTGGGCCAGAGTACCTCTGTGCTCTGCTTTCACCACATACATGTTCACATATCTCTACCTGTCTCAGCTCTTTGAGCACAGGGATGGAGTCTGTCTCACCTCTGTCTCCCTAGAGTCTAGTATAGAATCGGGCACAGAGTAAGTATTTGTAAATATTTGATGACCTAAAGTAAAACAACTGGCCTGGATTATTCAAAATGCCAATGTCACGTCGTGAAAGATAGAAAAAAAAAGGTGGATAACTGTTCTAGATAAAGGAAACTAAAGAGACAGGAGAATTAAATGCAGTGGATGATCCTTTATTGAATCCCGGATTAGGAAACAACAGCTATAAAGGACATTAGTGTGACAACTAGGGGAAATTCTAATATGAACTACATAATAGCTAATAGTATATTAATTAATTTATTATTATTATTTTTCAGACGGAGTCTCACTCTGTTGCTCAGGCTGGAGTGCAGTGGCACAATCTTGGCTCACTGCAACCTCTGCCTCCTGGGTTCAAGCAATTCTCCTGCCTCAGCCTCCCGAGTAGCTGGAATTATAGGTGCACACCACCATGCCCAGCTAATTTTTGTATTTTTGGTACAGATAGGATTTCACCATGTTGGCCCAGCTGGTCTTGAACTCCTGACCTCAAGTGATCTGCCCACCTTGGCATCACACAGTGCCGGGATTACAGGCATGAGCCACCGCACCTGGCCTAGTAGTATTTTATTAATGTTAAATTTCATTAGTTTTTTTTTTTTTTGAGACAGAGTCTCGCTCTGTCGCCCAGGCTGGAGTGCAGTGGCGCAATCGCTGCTCACTGCAAGCTCCGCCTCCCGAGTTCACGCCATTCTCCTGCCTCAGCCTCCTGAGTAGCTGGGACTACAGGTGCCTGCCACCACGCCCGGCTAATTTTTTTTTTTTTTTTTGTATTTTTAGTAGAGATGGGGTTTCACCATGTTAGCCAGGATAGTCTTGATCTCCTGATCTCACGATCCACCCGCCTCAGGCTCTCAAAGTGCTGGGATTACAGGTGTGAGCCACCGCGCCTGGCCTCATTAGTTTTTATTTATGTTAAATTTCTTAATCATAATAATACTATTATGTTCCTTATTCTTAGGAGATAAACACAAAAGTATTTAAGGATAAAATCTCTCATCTGCAGTTAACTCTCAAATGGTTCAGTAAATAAATGAAAAACATTTTAAATATACAGGTATTCAACAAGTATGTATATTTATATGTGTATATATAGTTAGGAGAAACAGACGAAGTAAATACTGCAAAAAGTGGTAAAGATAGGCAAAGAGTTCATGGTTGCTTATTGTTCTATTTTTGTAACTTTTCTGTAGGTTTGAAATTTTTAAAATAAAACATTGGAGAAAAAAGTAGTAGTCTCAACTTAGGTAGGAAAGCTTAATGGGATATGAAATCTCCCTGAGCTTTGGGTGACTACCTGCTATATCGGAAGTGCATGGTCAGTTGGGCCAGGACTCTAAGTGGTAGGGTAGTGTGGAGACAAGGATATAGGAAAGGGGGAGGGCCAGTAAGCACCCAGATAACAGAGGTGGTACCTATGTATGTCTAGCAGAAGCGTGTAGCCAGGCAGAAGGGCAGGAGTCATAAATACCAGATCCAAAGGGCAAAGCAAAAGACAGCTCTTGTACAGATCGAGCTCTTTGGCAGAGGTTTAGGTAAGTAATCAGAAAAACACAGGAAATGATAATATCAGAGGTGGGGCAAAGGGTCAGTAAGGCAGGCAAGCAGGCAGGAAGGCAGGCAGGCAAGCAGGCAGAAAGGATACACTAAGAAGCACAGAGGAATTAGAAGTTTAGGCAAGGCTCTGGCTTGTCTGGGCATAGTTAAAGGCTAATTTCAGGGAAGCAAATAGAAACTAGAGTGAGAGCAGACAAGTTGCTGAGCACCCACGATGAGAAACAGCTTAAGAGCAGAGGAGGACACAAAAAGTGGGCTCAATCTGTCTGAAAATGGGGAAGGGAGAGGTAGCAGCTAATGGCAGAATGTGATACCTTGGTCTTTGTTTCTCTTAGTTGGTGAGGCAAGAAGAGTCTGGCTAAAGTTTGCTTCCTCTTATCTAGTGGCTGAATCAGAGAGATGTAAATTGGGGCAGAATTCCCAGGAAAGGTCATGCCCCGGTCCCAAACCACTTTTGGGACTGCAGGCCCATGAGGTACATCCTTACCAGTCTCTGAATGCTGCTACCAGTATGTTTCTCTCACTTCTTAATGATGGCATTCCATTTAAGAATTCGGAGTTCCTATTTCTTTGAGAAATCTCTTTTTAAACTAGCAGCTACATTCATGGATGTGCTAACCCCCATTCATGCATCCATTCTTTCAGAATCCCAGGTAGGCCTAACTTTCACGTCTGAAATGTAGATCAGAGTTCCTGAATGCCTAACTGGAGGTATTTAAAACTTGCCTTTGTCTGGACCAGCTCTACCATGCCCAGTCCAGACTCCCAGTGCAACATTCTAACTGCAAGTCAGAATGCCTTTTTCTTTTCTCAGAGACTCTGGTACTGAAAGAAAGCAATCTAGCATGGGTTAGGTGAGGAGAAGTTCCCTCCATAGAAAAGGATCAGCCAGGGGATCATAGAAATGGCTGCAGGGATCAGATGGTCTGGCCCCCACAGAGTATTTAAAATTCAGGTATCTTTTTGACCTGCTTGCAAGTCACATAAGCAATACGGATTTGGGTACAGAAGTATCTATGAGGGAAAGGGGGAAGGAGAATGGGGGAACAGTCACTTCCCTGGGCACATTCTCTAGAAGCAGTGCTTTTATCGGAGGTGATTCTGTTAAGACTATGATGAAAAGACACCAGGGAAGGCAGTGTGGGAACAAGACTTGTTTGTGTAGAGGAAGGTCGGAAAAGACACCTTTCAGACCTGTGCCCTCCCATCAACAGACAGCACAGCACTCACACTGGCAGCACCCCTCCCTATTTCTCTGCTCAGGACACAATCTGCAGGGCTTTTTTAAGGGCCTTTCCTCCCTCTCAGTAATGACCTACCTTGCTATGTTTAAGGCTGAGCTTTTCTTCCCTCCCTTGTTCTGTGTCCTGGGTTCCAGATGAGAGACGCAGAGTTCCATTGAATCTTTAATCTCTCTCGGAAGTACTTAGTCACTGATTTGGCCACGTGGCATCTGCTTTCCCATTGTGGGTCTGGTATGTTAACTAAGAAAGTTATTTTCCAGCCGAGTTAGAAATAGCAGGAACTTGAATTGACTTGCTAGACTGGCAGTGCTGGAAGTTAGGGCCATGTGCCAAAGGAAAGAATAGATGGCCAATCACCAGGGAGCAAATTTCTCAATCTGTAGCCTGAGACTAAACCTTCCTGCTGGCAAGGGAGATGTGTGTTAGGCCTTTGCTGCCAGGTTCACACTGGGAGACGTTCTGTGACTTCTTGGTGGCTCCACATGCAGTCTGAAACTCAGAAGGGGAATTGCGAACCACCTTTTATCTAGGGATAAGGATCTAGAAGAAATAGGGGTGATCCTAGAGACAGAAAACAAAATCCTGAAGAAAAAGTAAAGATGAGAGGAGGCTGAGAAGTCTCAGATATGGCAAAGGTAAGGGACAGAAAAGCAGACCTCTAGATAGTAGGTGCCAGGCCAGTAGTTCTGAAGGCTGACCCTGGGCCCCTGCAGGTGCTGCTGCTAGCCCTGTCCCCCACTCTCAGCCCAGGCCCCATCCCAGCTCCTACCTGGTAGGTACCTGTCGTGGCTGTGGCTGTACTCTATGGCAGTGAGTGACAAGTGAGTCTGTGTAAAGGGCTGGTTGCCAAACAGATTGTCACTACGAAGGTTGTGGCAGAGTTTCTCCAGGAAGCGGAGGACGTAGGTGATGCTGTTGACTGCTGGGAGGTTGAGGGTATGCTGTTCCCGGTCAAACACGGCTGTGGAGTGAGTAAACAGGGCCAAGCATGTCAGCCTGGCAGTGGAGTACAGCGCTAGGCAGGACGAGTCCAGCCCACTGCTTGTCTCAGGCTTACCTGGTTACACAAAGGGAATCAGTGCCCCACGTTTCCTCCCTCCCTCCCTTTAACTCCCTCCCTCGAGGGCTTTGATTTTTGCCTCCAACTGTAAAGGGCTTGCAAATATGGGAGTGGCCAGGCCAGGTCTGTTGCACCCTGGGCTCTGGAATGATTTTATTCAACTTGTGAAAACAACTGTGAACATAATTCTCTCTGCTCCATCACTTGGTTGGACCTCCCCCAGGAAATCTGCTCATTTAGGGTGCTATTTTCACAAGAACTGCCCAAGAACAGAGAAGCTTGGCAGAAGAGTAGAATATAGCCATAGCCAGCAATGGTATGGGTACACAATTTCTGATCTACATAAGGGCACTAGAATTTTGGCAACATTTGGAACTGTTTCATGCTTGGTGTTAGTTTACTTCCTATCATCTTTTTCTATAAAAATGTATCAGTATAAACCTTAAAAAGCAAAGACCTGTGTATTTGTCTCTGAGGGCAGCAAGGACATGGGGATTTGGGGAGATAGGTCATTCTCAAGAACCAGTTTTGAGGCAGGAGAAGAACCCCAGAGAGGGTATAGGAGAGCAGCTAAAGAGAGGCAGTAAAGAAGGCCAGGTTCCTACAGACCATTACACAGAAACAAAGAAGAGACCAGGGAGTAGGCTGGGCCTCAGAAGGGACATAAGGCTTAATTTCCCAGGCACTTCCCAGTCTTTTTTTTTTTTTTTTTTTTTTGAGACGGAGTCTTGCTCTGTCACCCAGGCTGGGGTGCAATGGCACGATCTCAGCTCACTGCAACCTCCGCCTCCCAGGTTCAAGCAATTCTCTTGCCTCAGCCTCCCGAGTATCTGGGACTACAGGCGTGCACCACCATGCCTGGCTAATGTTTTGTATTTTTTTTTAGTAGAGACAGGGTTTTGCCATGTTGGCCAGGCTGGTCTTCAACTCCTGACCTCAGGTGATCCGCCCACCTCAGCCTCCCAAAGTGCTGGGATTACAGGTGTGAGCCACCGCACCTGGCCAATTCCTAGTCTTCTATAAAAATTCCCTGCCTGTCTGCTCCATCCTCCTCACAGCCAAGTACTCCCTAGTCTGGGTTCCCACACCACTCTGTATACATTTCCCTATTACAGCACTTCTCACAGTTAGCTATGTATATTCTTTCTTTTTCACTGGTATGGAGCCTAAGCTGTCATCTTCTATTCTCCCCTTCTCCTGACCAGTGTCTGGCAATCACCTGACACATAGTAAGGGTTCAATAAATGTTTGCTAAAATAATACAGTCTGGTTATTTATGGAGTCTTCCATGCCAGCGGGGTTTCCTGAAGCTGGTTATTACAACCTGCTAGGGAGGAGGGGCAGGGGAATATGGAATAGCATCAGTTAAGACTGAAAGGCTCTAGGTCAAGTCTTCATAGGTTTAGTGGCTAAACAGGATTTTGGATTTAGGAAAACTGAAACAGAATCAGGACACAGGAGAAAAAATGAGTATTCTGTGAGAGCAAAAAACACTGTGTCACTGAATCAAACTCTCATAGCAGTAAAGAAAAAGGAAATGACTTTTCCCAACCACCCTGGGATTTAATTCTCTTCTTCTGGGCCTGGTTTAGGACGAGGAAGCTAAGGAATCAAAGGAATGATAGAGGAGTTCAGTGGTTCCTGAAACCAGGTGGGAGGCTGCAACAGTCTGGAGAAACCCTCCTGCTGCCACAACATAGCCCCCTCTGGATTCTTTCTCCTATACTTTCTGTACGGACAGGTCAATCAGGTAGATGGGGGGAATCAGTTTAGAGGCTCACTGAAGCAGAATCTGTGGGTATTCTCCTTGGCAGAGGTATGCATAAGGCTCAGAGGGGCTCTTGGGGGGTTGGAGATGAGGAATGGAATACCTTCACATTTTTCCAGAGCCTGCAGGTATGAAGTGGGAACCAGGATGCCTTACAAGAAATCAACCAGTTGAGAAGGTGGGTCCTTCTGGCTGGGAGGCAATATGAGCCAAAGTGTGCTTACCTGAGATAACCTCACCACCATGGCCTTGCTTGAGGAAGCTGAAGACGGTTTTCTGGTGATAAGCACAGTCGATACAGGCCTGGACAGCCTGCTGCAACACCACAGAGGCACGGGCTGGTCCAAAATGGTCAGGGAGTTGCTGGACCTTCTTCTTATCTAAGTGGGGGCCTGTGCTGCCATTCTTGTTCAAGTAGATACAAACTATGGGAGACAAAGAATCAAAGAAGCTTCAAGAGTCTCTGGGATAGAGAAGTCAGAGAACAGCATCCTATTCCATCTTTTATACCTTGGCCTCTGGTTCCTAACAGAATTCCTAGCAGCTGAGCTGGTGAAATGCTGTGGGAGGTAGAGGGTGGAGGGTCAAGAAAAGGCTGTGCCCAGCTACTGCCAACCCAAACTGCATGATCAAAGTCTGTGGGAAGACTGGAAGAGTGGCCCAGACCAAAGGCCAAGACACAGAGTTTGCACTTTGTCTTCTGTGCACTGAAAAGAAAATCTAGACAATTCCCCTCTTGTACGTACTTCCATTTTTTTGTACTTGGTTGCCTCACATATTCTTTGTACCTCTTACCATATATGTGTAAGGCACTGTGGGGCAATGGCAATATTAGCAAGGGCATATGTGTGTGTGTGTGTGTGTGTATGTATGTCATTGGATTTAGAATAGTTGCACCATTGATCATTTGCCTTGCTTTCTGTTTTGGGCCTTAGGGTCCCTTTGTTATCTTCTACATCAACACTCATGCCCAAAGAATATAATAAAAATTTTAAAAAAAATTGGATTAAAAAAAAAAAAGTTGGGCTGGGCGTGGTGGCTCACGCCTGTAATCCCAGCACTTTGGGAGGCTGAGGCAGGTGGATCACGAGGTCAGGAGTTCGAGATCAGCCTGGTGAAGAGGTGAAACCCCGTCTCTATTAAAAAAAAAAAATAGCCGGGCATGGTGGTGGGCGCCTGTAATCCCAGCTACTCGGGAGGCTGAGGCAGGAGAATCGCTTGAACCTGGAAGGTGGAGCTTGCAGTGAGCCGAGATTGCGCCACTGCACGCCAGCCTGGGGGACAGAGTGAGAATTGGTCTCAAAAAAAAAAAAAAAAATTGGGTGCAGTGGCTCACATCTGTAATCACAGCACTTTGTGAGGCTGAGGCGGAAGGATCACTTAAAGCCAGGAGTTTGAGACCAGCCTGGGCAATACAGTGAGACCACATCTCTACAGAAAATTTGCTAGGTGTGGTGGCATGTGCCTGTGTTCCCAGCTACTTGGGAGGCTGAGGTGGGAGAACTGCTTGAGCCCAGGAGTTCAAGGCTGCAGTGAGCTGTAATCGCGCCACTGCACTCCAGCCTGGATGACAGAGACTCCGTCTTTAAAAAAAAAAAAAGTGAAAAGAGCTTGAGGGTCCCAAGACGGCTAAGCACTCTCCTAGCTACTGGCCTCCACCTGGCACTGCAGTGGGGAAGGGGTGCAGTGGGCACAGGAGACCGAGGCAGTCCTAACAGAGTTGTCTCTGGAGTTGTTCTCTCCTCAGGACCCACAGCAACCTGGTCAGCAATGACATTTTCTCCTCCATCTGCTTTCCAGCTTCCCATTTGAGTAGCGGGTACTATTCTTTCTTGTGTGGTTGTGGCTCACTAGCTGAAGGGGTAGAAGGGCAAAAGTCTCTTTGCTATTAAAGGTAGAAAAGATAAGAGCAGTAATTGTGTGGCCCGTGGATGGACTGTTGTTCTCCTTGGGTCTCAGGTTCACCACCTGAAAAATGAAGTGACTGAGCCAGATGCTCTCTGAGGATTCTCCACCTTCATAATTCTAATTCTAAGGAGAACCAACATGGACGGAAGAAATGGAAAACAGAAAGTAGGGAGGTGATATGTGGAAAGTGACAGGAGAAACATAAAAACAAAAAGAAGAAAAGGGTAAACAAGATGAATTGAACGAATACATTTAACTCTGTTCTCTCCAAAAACTCACTAAAATGAGCCAGATAATAAGAGAGGAGATGACAATAAGATTAGGAAGGTGGAAAGCGGACTGGAAACGTAGCGACTGACTCAACAGACCCAACAAAGCTGTATACCCTAAAGCTGGAGTGGGGAGTGATGAGAACCACGCTCTCATAATTTGCAAAAGGCCTAATAATCGGCAGAGTTGGTGCCTCTGGAGGTGAGTGTGAGGGGGATCTAATAAAAGAAGGTTTAACTGAAGTCTTTTAAGAAACAGGATTTTCACATCTAGTAATGTGACTCTTTTACTGAAATAACTAAAAATGCAGGAATCCAGAGAGATAAGAAGAGTAATAAAAACAAGTGTCTATGAAAAGACACCTATAAGAATGTTCATAATAGTTTATTCATAATAACCCCAAACTAGAAGCAACCCAAATATCCACCAAAAAGAGAAGAGATACAAATTGTGGTACAGTCATATGCCACATAATGACATTTTGGTCAATGGCAGACTGCATATATGACAGTGTTCCCATGGGAGCTGAAAAATTCCTATCACCTAGTGACCTTGTAGCCAATGTAAAGTCATAGCACAATGCATTACTCATGTGTTTGTGAGGAAGCTGGTGTAAACAAACCTACTACACTGCCAGGCATATAAAATAATATAGCATATAGGATTACGTAGAGTACATAATACTTGGTAACATAATAAATGACTATGTTACTGATTTGTGTATTTAGTATACTTCTTATCATTATTGTAGAGTGTACTCCTACTTATTAAAAAAGTTAAGTGTAAAACAGCCTCAGGCAGGTCCTTCAGGAGGTATTCCAGGAGAAAGCATTGTTATCACGGGATGACAGCTCCATGCATGTTATTGTCCCTGAAGACCTTCCAGTGGGACAAGATATGGAGATAGGAAACAGTGACATTGATGATCCTGATCTTGTGTAGGCCTAGGCTAATGTGTGTGTATGTCTTGGGTTTTAATAAAAAAGTTTAAAAAGTAAAAAAATAAAATAAATCTAGAAGTTTTTTAAATAAAAAAAGCTTACAGAATAAAGATAAAAATAAAATATTTTTGTACAGCTATAAAGTATGTTTGTATTTTAAGCCAAGTGTTATTAAAAGAGTCAAAAAGTTAAAAAGTTTATAATGTAAAAAAGTTACAGTACGCTAAGGTTAATTTATTATTGAAGAAAATTAAAAAAAAATTTAGTGTAGCCAAAGTGTACAGTGTTTATAAAGTCCACAGTAGTGTACAGTAATATCCTAGGCCTTCACATTCACTCACCACTCATTCACCACTCACTCAGAGCAACTTCCAGTATTGCAAGCTCCATTCACGGTAAGTACCCTGTATAGGTGTACCATTTAAAAAATCTTTTAAACCATAATTTTACTGTATCCTTTTTATCTTTATACATGTTTAGATACACAAATACTTAACCATTGTGCTGCAACTGCCTATAGCACAGTAACATGCTATACAGGTTTGTAGCCTAGGAGCAATGGGCTATACCATCTAGGTTTGAGTAAGTACGCTATGACAGGGGTCCCCAACCCCCAGGCTGAAGACCAATACGGGGGTCTACAGCCTGTTAGGAAAGGGGCTGCACAGCAGGAGTTGAGCAGCAGGCGAGTGAGCATTACTACTTGAGCTCCGCCTCCTGTCAGATCAACAGTGGCATTAAATCCTCACAGGAGCATGAATCCTATTGTAAACTGCGCATGCAACGGATCTAGGTTGTGTGCTCCTTATGAGAATCTAATTAATGGCTGATGATCTGAGATGGAACAGTTTCATCCTGAAACCATCCCCCATGCCACTGGTCCATGGAACACCTGTCTTCCATAAAACCAGTCCTTGGTGCCAAAAAGGTTGAAGATCGATGTACTATGGTATTCACAAAATGAGGATACTGGCTAATGATGCATTTCTCTGATCATATCCCCGTGATTAAGTAATACGTGAGTGTATATTCATTTAATGGAGTATCACTTGGCAGTAAAAAAGAAGGAACTCCTGATAGGCACAAGAACATGGGTGCTTTTTAAAACACTGAGTGAAATAAACCAGATACAAAAGAGTACATATAGTATGATTCATTTATAGTAAGTTCAAGAATAGGGAAATCTAATCTATGGTGATAAAAATCAGCATAAAGGTGGAAGTGGAGACCAACTGTAAGGAGGCATAAGGGAACTTCGGGGGTGGCAGAAATGTCTTCCATCTTCCTTGGAGTTGTAGTCACATGGGTGCTTAAAACTCATTAAATTGTAGGCTTTTTTTTTTTTTTTCTTGAGACAGAGTCTCTCTCTGTCGCTCAGGCTGGAGTGCAGTGGTGCGGTCTTGGCTCACTGCAACCTCCACCTCCCGGATTTAAGTGATTCTCCTGCCTCAGCCTCCTGAGTAGCTGGGATTACAGGCACGTGCCATCACGCGAGGCTAATTTTTGTATTTTTAGTAGAGATGGGGTTTCACCATTGATCTGCCCGCCTCAGCCTCCCAAAGTGGTGGGATTACAGGTGTGAGCCACTGTGCCCGGCCAAATTGTATGCTTAAGATCTGTACATTTCACTAAAGGTAGAAACTTTACCTCAGTTAAAATACACAAAAAGGAAATAATATAACTAGTCTGGTGATGATTTAAAAAAATCTACATGGATTAAATGATGAAATATAAAAGGCAGAACTATAAAGCCTTTAGACTATGCAGAAACAACACTGTACCAGTTTCTGGGCCTAAGGATTAAGAAACTGACAACTTCCACTTCCTGTTTCTTGGGACATTTGCTTTGAGACCCCAACTACCATGTGTGAGGAAGCAAAGCCACCCTGCAGGGAGGTCCATTTAAACCAACAGCCAGAACGAGCTGGTTGGCCATGTGGTGAAAGTGGATCCTTCAGTCCTAGTCAAGCCACCCCAGCTGACGCTGCATGCAACAGAGACAAGCTGTCTCCACCCAGGCCTGCCCACATTGTTGTTTTAAACCATGAAATTTTGTGGTGGTTGTTACATGGCAAAAGATTATTGGGACAGATTCTGATACCAGAAATAGGGTGCTGCAGTAACAAAAGGCTGACACACATGGCATTGGCTCTGGACCTGGGGAGCAGAAAGAAGCATAAAGGACCACACAGAGTGTCAGTGAAAACTGAAGGAGACTCGAGGAGAGTTTTAATGGAAGCCTAAAGGTTTTTTTTTTGTTTTGTTTTTTTTTGTTTTTGAGACAGAGTCTTGCTCTGTCGCCCAGGCTGGAGTGCATTGGCGTGATCTCGGCTCACTGCAAGCTCCGCCTCCCGGGTTCACGCCATTCTCCTGCCTCAGCCTCTCGAGTAGCTGGGACTACAGGCGCCCGCCACCACACCTGGCTAATTTTTTGTATTTTTAGTAGAGACGGGGTTTCACCGTGTTAGCCAGGATGGTCTCGATCTCCTGACCTCATGATCCGCCTGCCTCGGCCTCCCAAAGTGCTGGGATTACAGGTGTGAACCACCGCGCCCGGCCTAAAGGTTCTTAATGAGGCTGTCAGTGAAGGTTTAAGGGAAAGTGAAGAAAATCTTATTGGAAGATCGATGAAAGGGGAAGTGTTGAAAGTTTGACAGGACTGTTGCCTATAGTAACATGGAAATAAGAAATATTCCTGATGAACTCAAGGAAATAGCTAAGGAGATTTCCAGACAAAGTAATGAAAGTATCACCTGGCTTCTCCCTGCTTATGATAAAATGCAAGACAAGAGATGAGCTTAAAAACATGTACACACACCCCTCCACATACCCCCAGGACTTGCAGAATTTACAAATAAAATTTCTTATTTCCAGTCTCTCCATAAGGCAAAAAACTATAAATTATGAAAGGATTTCGACTCTAGAAAAGGACAGTAAAATTCTTTAAGATGTAAGAAAGATGTAACTCTATGCTGTGCAGACTCTCAGGCCTAAAAGGTTCTCTAAGAATCTTAAGGGCAAGCCTCACAGATTCTTTGCCTTAAACAACAGGATTTTTAAGAATCTTAAGAGTACTGTCCTACAGCAGCTGAATAGGAAGCCCAAAGTAGAGAAGGGCTTATCATTAAAAGACTTGTAGTTGTGGCTTTTGTCTAATGAAGTGAACTCTGACAGTTCAAAGAAAGCCCCTCAAATTTCTTTGGTTTTAAATTACAGACAGGGTCTTGCTCTGTCATCCAGGCTGGAGTGCAGTGGCATGCATGATCATAGCTCACTGCCACCTCGGCCTCCAGGGCTCAACCAGTCCTCCCACCTCAGCCTCCTGAGTAGCTGGTACCACAGGTGTGCATCATCATGCCCAACTAATTTTTACTTTGTTGTAGAGACGGGTTCTCACTATGTTGCCCAGGCTGGTCTTGAACACATGGGCTCAAGGAATCCTCCCACCTTGGCCTTCCAAAGTGCTGGCATTATGGGGGCGAGCCACTGCACCTAGCTGAAAAACCTCTCACGTTTCTAAGAGAATCATTCTGGCAGAAGCATTGACAGCTTGGACTAAAAGCAAGAAAGATGGTACAAAATGGAAAAAATCCTTTGGATGCCCAACCTTATATAGGCAGGAAGGAAACTAAAAAGGCAATCTCAGTTTTCTTATGGAAAACAAGGATGATTCAGAGGATAAAACCAAGATCCATGGAAAACAACTCCCAGAAAGTAATACTGGACCTAATTAAGGAGTTGGCCAACATGTGCCCAGCTGGATTTCGGAATTTCTTTTTTTTTGAGATGGAGTCTCACTCTGTCGCCCAGGCTGGAGTGCAGTGGTGCAATCTCAGCTCACTGCAAGCTCTGCCTCCTGGGTTCACGCCATTCTCCTGCCTCAGCCTCCTGAGTAGCTGGGACTACAGGCACCCACCACCATGCCCGGCTAATTTTTTGTATTTTTAGTAGAGATAGGGTTTCACTGTGTTAGCCAGGACCTTGTGATCCGCCTGCCTTGGCCTCCCAAAGTGCTGCGATTACAGGCGTGAGCCACCGCGCCCGGCCTCAGAATTTCTATAGACCAGTGACTGCTGCATGCCTTCAGGTTTCCTCCCTTTTGAAAAGAAAGCATCTATAAATGTTACCTCGTGTCTGTTGCACCACTGTGTGTTAGGTAGGTAGTGAGCAGACAACTTATTTCTTTAGTTCACAGGTCGTCGGGACAAGAAGAACCACATTGAAGGAGGTATCCTTGACAAACCACACCTAAGAGGCCTCGTGTACTGGGACCTGATTTAGATGATGAGATCCTAGACCTTGAGCCTACTGGTGTAAAAGGATGAGACTTCTGATGGGGCATCTTGTGAGGGCAAGAATAAATTTTGCAAGTGGAAAAAATGTTAATAATCCATGTCCAGAGAATAGAGAGGTAGTTTTAAAATATGGCCCATATTATTTGACCCTCTTCCTATTGAGAGGTGGGGTCTACTCCTCTCCTCTTGAATCTAGGCTCTGTGACTGATTGATCAATAGAATATGGTGGCAATGATGCTATGCTAAGTTTGAGGCTCAGGCCTTAAGAAAATGGTAGCTTTCACTTCCTATCTCTTGAGAAACTTGCTCTAGGAACGCAGCCACCATGGTATGGCAAAGCCCAAGTTATCCTTTGGCGAGAACCAACAGGCAACATGAGTTCTGCTAGTTATGTGAATGGAATTATCATAAGCCCCAATTGAGGTACCCCAACTGATGCCATGTGGCGCAGAGATGAGCTGTATTCATTTTAATATAGAATATATTGATCTTTTCCTTTATAGTTTATGCTTATTGTCTTATTTTAAAAATCCTTCCCAATCTTGAGGTCATAAGGATATTTGTGTATACTGTCATTTTTTTTTTTTACTAGATCCATTAAATTAGAATTGGAGGTTATTAAAAAAATTCAGAGAAAGGTCTGGCACATAAGGAGTTTGGAAGTTGCCACTCCATCCTAACAACCAGTAAAAAGCTGAATAAGCTGAAAAGTCAACAATCCTTACATCTGTCAGAGAAGTAAGGTCTCAGGGCAAACTATTAGCCCTCAAATTTGAAGAGACAGACAGGTGAATAAGCCGAAGTCTCTGGAACTAGTGCTAGGGCAGGAAAACCTAAACTGTACTTGATGACTTGTCAGAGGCTCAGTGTGAAGAAGTTTGAGATTAAAACTCCAGGGAGTCCCAGTCACTGGGGAGGAGGGGGAAACTTTTGTGAGTTTTGCCTCCAGGAGCTCAACCGGATTCTCACAGTAAATATAAGAGAAAAATACCCTCATGCTTTTGGCAGGGAGAGGGGAAAAGGAACCATTTTGAAATATACTAGAGCCCTCTGTTCTCAACAAGGTCTTCCCTCAGGAGAAACTATTTTACCACAGCCTAAACTATTAGGGATTTTTCAGAGCCTAACTGATCTGGAAGAGGAGAAATAACCAACTCCAGCCAATGCTAGCCTTCCATTCGGGAGAAGAGAAATACCGCACTCCAGGCCATTCTATCCAACCCAAAGAGGTGGGGGCGGGGACCAGAAGCACTTGTTAAGTTCACAGCCCAGGGGCAAAGGCTCATTGAAAGACTGAGATTTAGTCATAGGACTGTAGAATGCTTCCCATCGCTCCACATCACTAAAGACCTATTTACCATGTTTTTTTTGTTGTTGTTTTTTTGTTTGTTTGTTTGTTTTTTGAGACAGAATCTTGCTCTGTCGCCCAGGCCGGAGTGCAGTGGCATGATCTCGGCTCCCTGCAACCTCCGCCTCCCGGGTTCAAGCGATTCTCCTGCCTCAGCCTCCACCACCATGCCTGGCTAATTTTTCTTTTTTTTTGTATTTTTAGTAGAGACAAGGTTTTGCCATGTTGCCAGGCTGGCCTCAAACTCCTGACCTCAAGTGATCTGCCCACCTTGACCTCCCAAAGTACTGGGATCACAGGCGTGAGCCACTGCGCCTGGCCCTACCATGGTTCCTTTTACCCAGTACATCATGTCCAGTTATCACACAAAAAAGGTATACTCAAGGACAAAAAACACAGTTTGAAGAAAAAGCGGCACACTCAGATATGGCAGGGATGCTGGAATTATCAGACTGGGAATTTAAAACAACTATGATTAACATGCTGGGGGCTCTAATGAATAAACTAGACAGCGTGCAAGAACAGATGGGCAGTGTAAGCAGAGAGATGGAAATTCCAAGAAAAAATAAAAAAGAAACACCAGAGATCAAAAATAGTGTAACAGAAATAAAGAATGGGCTGGGTACAGTGGCTCACACCTAGCACTTTGTGGGGGGTCAAGGCCAGTGGATTGAGTGAGCTCAAGAGTTCAATATCAGCCTGGGCAACATGGCAAAACCTTGTCTCTACTAAAATTACAAAAAATTAGCCAGGTGTGGTGGCGTGCGCCTGTAGTCCCAGCTACACAGGAGGCTGAGGTGGGAGGATCACCTGAGTGTGGGAAGCTGAGGCTGCAGTGAGCTGTGACTGCACACTGCACTCCAGCCTGAGAGACAGAGGGAGATTGTCTCAAAAAAAAAAAAAAAAAGAAAAAGAAAAAAAATGAAATGAATGCCTTTCATTGGCCCATTATTAGGTTAGACATGCTAAGGCAAGAATTGCTGCATTTGAGCATGATAACTGAATGAGTGACTGAAGAAATGGTCTCAATCAATCAAGGTTTATTAAGCTAGCTTTGGAGTATGTCTGGGGAAAATATGAGCCACAGACACATCTGTGACTGTTCCAAAGAGGCTTTCAGGATTTTAGTATTTATACATTTTCTTTCTTGTTTTTTTTTTTTTTTTTTTTTTGAGACAGTCTCGCTCTATCACCCAGGCTGGAGTGCAGTGGCACAATTTCGGCTCACTGCAACCTCCGCCTCCTGGGTTCAAGCAATTCTCCTGCTTCAGCCTCCTGAGTTGCTGGGACTACAGGTGCATGCCACCACACCTGGCTAATTCTTTGTATATTTAGTAGAGACGGGGTTTCACCGTGTTAGCCAGGATGGTCTTGATCTCCTGACCTTGTGATCCACCCGCCTCAGCCTTCCAAAGTGCTGGGATTACAGGTGTGAGCCACCATGCTCGGCCTTATTTATACATTTTCTTAAAGGAGGGCAGGTAGGCGGTAAGGGGAATGGTTACATTCTTGTGAGACTTTAGTAAGTGCTTGGCAAATCTACATTTTACATAAGATAATGTGAATGTTTGAAGAGCAAAAATGGGGTAAAGTAAAAATCAATTATGCAGACATCTCTGGGTTGGTGGAGGAATGACTAGTCCCCTTTGTCTTTGTTCTGCACCTGAGAAGATATGATATTGACATTATCAGTGTGGAGTTTAAGAGCTAGACTTAGATTATAGACCTGAAGTTGCAGCTGGTGTGTCCTTGCTTGTGGGAGACCATCGAAGAGTTTACTTGTGAATGATCTGTGCAGGCAGTCCTTCATGGATGCCTGAGGCTTTTTACCTTTCCTTTGGGGATCTGGCTAATGCGTAATGCTAGTAACAGCTATTCACCTGGAAGATGGTGTTACATGGCTTAACCCCCAGGTTTACCCTTCCCTGTTGCATAAGTGATACAGACAGGAGACAGGGAAATACTGGGTAGAAGAGGGCAATTCCCTGGCAAAGGCCCCACCCCCAAGCCTGGAAACCCACAGCACTAAATGGGAACAGGCATTCCTGTTTTCGTGCCCAAATGTTGCCTTTTGGCCTGCCATGCCCCCTTATCCTGTACCCATATAAACCCCAAACCCCAGGATCGATGAGCAGAAGAGTGGCAGAATGGCACAGCAGAGAAGGAGGGAAGAGAAGGAGCATCTGAACACTGAGAGGAGTTTGGCTGGGGATGGTCAGAGAGGAGATCAGCTGCTGGTCAGCCAAACTCCAGGAAGATCATCTTCCCACTCCATCCCCTTTCCAGCTCCCCATCCATCCCACTGAGAGCCACCTCCACCACTCAATAAAACCCTCCACATTCACCATTCTTCAAGTCTGTGTGTGACCTGATTCTTCCTGGATGCCAGACAAGAACCTGGGTACCAAGAGGGCACTGAGCTGGTTTACACTTAAGCCATCTGTAGATGGCAGAGCTAAAAGAGCACTGTAGCATGCCCACTGGGGCTTCAGGAGTTACAGACACCCACCCTTAGATGCTACTGTGGGGCCGGTGCCCCAAAAGTGCTTATCCTAGCTCCTGCACTTGCCCATCTACGTGTTCCCCCTCCTGTAAGGGGTTTGAGTGCACGGCGCTGAAAAGACAAGCCACACCCCTATTGCATGTCCTTCGAGGGAGGTCAAGGAACTCTCCCATTTCATAAGGAATTTGGCGGGTCCAGAGAATTTCTAATTTTCCTTTACAAATATATCTCAAGGGAAAGAAACTCCCAAAATTAAAAGCAAAGAAAAAAAAGACTGAAAAAAAAAAACCATAACAGAATATTCAAGAACTGTGGGATAACTATAACAGATGTAATCTATATATAATGGTGATACTAGAAGGAAAATAAAAAGAGAAAGGAATTGAAGCAATAATGACTGAGAATTTTCCCCAAATTAATGTTACATACCAAATCCCAGATTCAGGAAGCTCAGAGAATACCAGGAAGGAAAAATGCCAAAAACCCTGACATCTACACCTAGGCATATCATTTTCAAACTACAAAAAATCAAAGATAAAGAAAAAACACTGAAACAGAACAGAGGAAAAAATTGTCTTACCTATAGAGGGGCAAAGACAAGAATTATATCTAATGTCTCATAAGAAACCATGCAAGCAAGAAGAGAGTGAAATATTTAAAGTGTTGAGAGAAAAAAACCCACCGACCTAAAGTTCTGTACCCTGCAAAACTGTTCTTGAAATGTGAGGGAGAAAAAAAAAAAAAGAAAAATTGAGGGAGTGTGTTGCCAGAACACCTGCCTTGCAAGAAACATTAAAAGAGGTTCTTTAGAAAGATGGAAAATGATATAGATCAGAAACTTCGATCTATATAAAGAAAGGAAGAGCATCAGAGAAGAAAAAAGTAAAGACAAAATTAATTATGACCTTTTTTTAAATTTCTTTCTTTTTTTGAGACAGGGTCTCACTCTGTCACCTAGGTTAGAGTGCAGTGGTACTATCGTAACTCACTGCAGCCTCAATCTCCCAGGCTCAAGTGATCCTCCTGCCTCAGCCTCCTGAGTAGCTTGGGGCTACAGGCATGCACCACCATGCTTGATTAATTTTTTAATTTTTATTTTTAGTAGAGAAGTCTTGCTACATTGTTGCCTAGGTGCCAAGACCTTGTTGCCAAGGTCTTGCTATGTTGTTGGCGACTCCTAAGCTCAAGTGATCAATCCTCCCAACTCGGCCTCCCAAAGTAGTGAGATTAAAGATGTTAGCCACCATGCCTGGCCTATTTTCCTTAATCTTAATTCATCTGAAACCACCTTTGCAAAAATTGTAATAGTGAGAAAATATGACAGTGAAAGAGATCTGATCTAATCAACTCCTATCTTATCTTTAACCTCCAAACTGCCCTTAATCATTCCTGGGCTTGGGACAAGCTAACTTTGGGAGACATTTAGTTTATAGTTTAAACGATAATAGCCCTTCCCCAAAACTAAACTGTCTTTGTAAAGCTAATGAAAGATCACCAGGTTAGGAGGATGAGAGGAGCTTGAATTCTGCTAAGGTGTAAATGTAAATGATTATTTTTAAAAATTTTTAAAAAACCAAGACCCAAGTTTATGTTGTCTACCAGAAACCTACTTTAAATATAAAGACATATATAGATTAAAAGTAAATGAGTAAAGAAAGATATACCATGCTAACACTAATCAAAAGAAAGCTGGAGTAGCTATATTAACTTCAGACAGAGTAGAGTTCAGAGCAAGGAAAATTATCAGGGAAAGACAGGGGCATTACATAATAAGAGGCCAATTCTCCAAGAAGACATATCATTCCTTAATGTGTGTATACCTAACAACAGAGTGTCAGATATATGAGGCAAAAACAGGCAGACCTGCAAGGAGAAACAGATAAATCCACTATTATAGTTGGAGACTTCAACACCCCCCATCAGAAATGGACACATCAAACAGATATAAAATCAGTAAGGACATAATTGAACTCAATAGCCCCTCAATCAACTGAAATATAGTTGGCATCTATTGACGACTTCATCCAACAACAGCAGGATACATACTCTTTTGAAGCTCATGTAGAACATTCAGCAAGGTAGATCACATTCTGGACCATAAAACACATCTGAATATATTTTTTTAATTTTTAAAATTTCTCATTTTTTTTTGAGACAGGGTCTCACTCTTTCACACAGGTTGGAGTACAGTGTTGTGATCTTGGCTCACTGCAACTTCTGTCTCCCAGGTTCAAGTGATCCTCACACTTTAGCCTCTTGAGTAGCTAGGACCACAGGTGCATGCCACCACACCCGGCTAATTGTTTGAATTTTTGGTAGAGACAGGGTTTCACCATGTTGCCCAAGCTGGTCTCAAACTCCTGAGCTCAAGTGATCCACTGGCCTCAGACTCCCAAAGTGCTGGGATTACAGGCGTGAGCCACCGCACCCAGCCTGAACAAATTTTAAAAGAATAATCACACAATGTCTTCTTTCAGAACACAACAGAATGATACATGAAAAAAATCACCAGAGATTCAACAATGCACTTCTAAATAACACATAGGTCAAAGAAGAAATAACAAGAGAAATTTAAAAAATATTTGGAAATGGCCAAGCATGGTGGCTCACGCCTGTAATCCTAGCACTTTGGGAGGCCGAGGTGGGTGGATCACTTGAGGTAAGGAGTTCGAATCCAGCCTGACCAACATGTTAAAACCCTGTCTCTACTAAAAATATAAAAAAATTAGGCTGGGTGCCTTGGCTCACACCTGTAATCCCAGCACTTTGGGAGGCTGAGGTGGGCAGATCATGAGGTCAGGAATTCGAGACCAGCCTGGCCAACATGGTGAAACCCCATCCTACTAAAAATACAAAAATTAGCTGGGCATGGTGGCGCATGCCTGTAATCCTAGCTACTCAGGAGGCTGAGGAAGGAGAATTGCTTGAACCCAGGAGACGGAGGTTGCAGTGAGCTGAGATCGGGCCACTGCACTCCAGCCTGGGGGACAGAGAGAGACTCCATCTCAGAAAAAAAAAAAAAAAAGAAAAAGAAAAAATTAGCCAGGTGTGGTGGCGTGTGCCTGTAATCCCAGCTGCTTGGGAAGCTGAGGCAGGAGAATTGCTTGAAGGTGGGAGGTGGAGGTTGCAGTGAGCTGAGATCGCACCATTGCACTCCAGCCTGGGTGACAGTGTGAGACTCCATCTCAAAAAAAAAAAAAAAAATTGGAACTAAATGAAAATGAAAATAAAACTTATCACAATTTGTGGGATAGAGCAGAAGCAGTGTTTAAAGGGTGACTTATAGCACTGAATGCAGATATTAGAAAAGAAGATCTAAAAGCAGCAATCTGAGCTTCCATCTTAGGAAACTAGAAAAAGAAGAGCAAATTAAATCCAAAGTAAGCAGAAAATAAAAAATCGTAAAGATTATAGAGCAGAAATCAATGAAATCAAAAACAGGAAATCAATAGAGGAAACAGGCCAGGCGTGGTGGCTCACGCCTGTAATCCCAGCACTTTGGGAGGCTGAGGCGGGCGGATCATGAGGGCAGGAGGTCGAGACCACCCTGGCCAACACAGTGAAACCGCATCTCAACTAAAAATATAAAAAATTAGCTGGGCGTGGTGGTGCATGTCTGTAGTCCCAGCTACTTAGGAGGCTGAGGCAGGAGAATCACTTGAACCTGGGAGGTGGAAGTTGCAGTGAGCTGAGATCGCACCACTGCACTCCAGCCTGGGTGACAGAGCGAGACTCTGTCTAAAAAATAATAATAATAAAAAAAACAATGAAACCAAAAGCTGGTTTGTTGAAAAGATAAATAAAATCAATTATATTCTAGCCAGGCTAACTAAACAAACAAACAAACAAACAAAAAAACAAAACAAACAACCAGAAGGATGACACAAATTACTAAATCAGAAATGATAAAGGGGACATCACTACAGATCCTATTGTCATTAAACAGATAAAGGAATACTATGAACAACTCTATGTCCACAAATTTGATAACCTAGATGAAATGAACTCATTCCTTCAAAGACAGTCTGCCAAAACTCAAACAAGAATAGACAATCTGAATAGGTTTATATCTATTAAAAAATTGAATTAATTAAACCCAAACCTTCAAAAAAGGAAAGTACCAGGCTTAGATAGGTTCATTCGTGAATTCTACCAACATTTAAGGAAGAAATTATACCAATTCTTCAAAATCTATTTTAGAAGTTATTAATAGAAGCAGAAGGAATATTTTCTAACTTATTTTATCAAGCCAGCATTGTCCTCAACAAAGTATTATCAAATCAAATTGAACAATATAAAAAAGAATTATACACTATGACCAAGTCAGATTTATCCAAAGTATGCAAGGCTGACTCAACATTCAAAAATCAATTAATATAATCTATCATATCAACAGGCTAAGTAAGAAAAATCAGATAATCATATCGATAGATGCAGAAAAAGGATGTGACAATATCCAACACTCATTCATAATAAAAACTATTGGAAACTAGAAATAGAGGGAAATTTTCTCAACTTAATAAATAACATCTACAAAAAACCTAGAGCTAACATCATACTTAATGGTGAGAAACTAGAGGCTTTCCAACCAAAATCAGGAACAAGACAAGGATGCCCTCTCTTACCACTCCTCTTCAACATCATACTGGAAGTCCTAGCTAATGCAGTAAGACAAAAAGTAAGATAAAAAGAATGCAGTTTGGGAAGGACGAAATAAAACTTTGTCCTCAGGTGACATGATCGTCTATGCAGAGAATATGAAATAATTAACAACCAAAAACATCCTGGAATTAATAAGTGATTACAAGAATGCAGGATACAAAGCTAATATACAAAAAGTCAATCACTTTCCTATATAGCAGCAATGAACAAGTGAAATTTAAAATTAAAAAACACCATACAGGCCAGGCACAATGGCTCCCTGTAATCCCAATGCTTTGTGAGGCTGAAGCAGGAGGATTGTTTGAGGCCAGGAATTCAAGACCAGCCTGGGCAACATGGCGAGAAACCATCTCTATAAAAAAAATAAAAATAAAAAAATTAGCCAGGCATGGTGGCATGTCTGTAGTTCTAGCTACCCAGTTGAGGCAGGAAGATCGCTTCTGCCCAGGAGTTTGAGGCTGCGGAGAGCTGTGATCACACCACTGCACTCCAGCCTGGGCAACACAGCAAGACCCTATTTCAAAAAATAAAACAAACCAAACCCTCACAATACCATTTATGTTAGCACCAGAAAATGAAATACCTGGGTATAAGTTAAACAAAATATATATAACATTTATATGAGGAAAACTAGAAAAGTTTTTTGAAAGAAACGTAAAAAGAACTAAGTAAACAGATATTTTGTGTTCATGGATAAGAAGACTTAATTTTGTCAGGATGTCAGTTCTTTCCAAGTCAATGTAGAGATTGACTGCAATCCTAATCAAAATCCCAGAATTTATTTTGTAGACAGCAACAAATTGAATCAGCTGGGGGTGGTGGCTCACACCTGTAATCCCAGCACTTTGGGAGATCAAGGTGGGAAGACTGCATGAGCCCAGGAGTTTGAGACCTGGGCAACATAGTGAGACCCCGTCTCTACAAAATTAGCTAGGTATAGTGGCATGTGCCTGTAGTCCCAGCTACTCTGGAGGCTGAGGTGGGAGGATAGCTTAAGCCCAGGAAGATTGAGGCTGCAGTGAGCTGTAACTGTGCCACTGCACTTCAGCCTGGGCAACAGAGTGCACTTCTGTTTCCACAACAATAGCAAACCAAACTGAATCTAAACTTTATATGAAGAGGCAAAAGACCCAGAACGAAGCCAGGAGGGCTGATACTACCTGACTTCAAGACTTATTGTAAAGCTACCATAATTAAGACAGTGTGGTATTGCCTAAAGTATAGACAGATCAATGGAACAGAATAGAGAGCCCAGAAATAAACCCACATAAATATAATCAGCTTATCTTTGACAAAGGAGTAAAGGCAATACAATAAAAAATAGAGAGTCTTTTCAACAAATGGTTCTCAAACAACTGAACATTCACATGTAAAAAAGTGAACCTAGACACAGAACCTACACTCTTGAAAAAAAGTAACCCCAAAAGGATAATAGACCTAAATGTAAAATGCAAACTATAAAACTCCTAGACGATCACATAGGAGAAAATCTAGATGACCTTGGGTTTGGCAATGACATTTTAGATAAGCCCCAGCAGAACCTTGCACCCTGTTCACATCCCAGTTTCAGTCCTGGTGGTACTAGCTTCAAAGAACTGGCAGGTGCAGCCTACGCCTCACTTGTGAGTCCTACCTATGGGAACCCATTTCCAATTTTTGCCCTAGTCCAAGCAGTAACAGCTCAATTTTCCCTAACACCTCATTCCTGGCGCTGCTAGGCCCCAGGACAGAATGCAGTCTGCCAATGGCTAGGATTGAAAATGGTGCGTCAACTGTAGCTGCTTATGGCTCAGAAAGGGTGTGTGACCCAGTGCAAGCTCCTCCCCTGGAATAGTTCCCTCTCCTGGTCTTCTGGCAGCTCCCTATGTCAGTTTCAGGGGTTGGGAAGGTAAAGGGCTCTCGTTGCCAGGAATGCATGATTCCATACGTGGGGATGTGGGCTGCTAGAAGTCTCTTGCTTACCCTTGGGAAGTCACTTGCTGTTTCCTAGCCAATCTCAGCCAGGTAGGCTGCTTCTCTTCTTTCTCCTTCCTTGCTTTCTGTGTTTCCTGTCACTTTCCTGTTGAATTCCAGTGTTCTATCTTAGATAATTTATCAGAAGTATGATTGTCTATATACTCTTTTGGTTTTTCTAAGTGGAGGAGGTGAGCATATGAAATGCTTTTAGTCAGCCATCTTTTTTTGTTGTTGTTGTTTTGGAGACAGGGTCTAGCTCTGTCACGCAGACTGGAGTGCAGTGGTGTGATTTTGGCTCACTGCAACCTCTGCCCTGCCCCATCCCTGGAATCAAGTGATCCTCCCACCTCAGCCTCCCGAGTAGCTGGGACCACAGGTGCACATCAGCGTGCCCAGCTGGCTATTTTTTTTGTATTTTTAGTGGAGATAGGGGTCTCATGATGTTGCCCAGGCTGGTCT
Source organism: Homo sapiens (assembly GCF_000001405.40). Taxonomy (NCBI): domain Eukaryota; kingdom Metazoa; phylum Chordata; class Mammalia; order Primates; family Hominidae; genus Homo; species Homo sapiens. The sequence goes on from NC_000001.11 coordinate 41,066,809, forward strand.
TGAACTCCTGAGCTCAAGTGATACACCTGCCTCAGCCTCCCAAAGTGCTGGGATTACAGGCATGAGCCACTGTGCCCAGCCCTAGTCAGCCATCTTGAAACCCCTTTGGTTTCTTGCAAAACAAAACATACTCTTACTATTTAATCTAGCAGTTGTCTTCCTTGGTATTTATCCAAAGGAGTTGAAACCGTATGTCCACATAAAAACCTGCACACAGATATTTACAGCAGCTTTATTCACAATTGCAAAAACTTTGAAGCAACCAACATTCCCATAAGTAGGTGAGTGGATAAATAAACTGTGAAACATCTGGACAATGAAATATTTTTCAGTGCTAAAAAAAAATGAGCTATCGGCCAGGCGTGGTGGTTCACACCTACAATCCCAGCACTTTGGGAGGCTGAAGCGGGTGGATCACGAGGTGAGGAGATCGAGACCATCCTGGCTGACATGGTGAAACCCCATCTCTACTAAAAATACAAAAAATTAGTCGGGTGTGGTGGCGGGCGCCTGTGGTCCCAGGTACTCGGAAGGCTGAGGCAGGAGAATGGCGTGAACCTGGGAGGTGAAGGTTGCAGTGAGCTGAGATCGCGCCACTGCACTTCAGCCTGGGCGACAGAGCAAGACTCCATCTCAACAACAACAACAACAAAAAAAAAAAAAAAAAAAAAAAGAGCTATCAAGACATGAAAATACATGGAATAAATTTAAATGCATAATACTAAGTGAAAGAAGCCAATCTGAAAAGGTGGCATACTGTATGATTTCAACTATGTGACATTCTGGAAAAGACAAATCTATGGAGACAATAAACAGATCAGTGGTTGCCAGGGATTAGTGGGGAGGGAGGATGAATAGGCAGAGACCAGAGGGTTTTTAGGGCAGTGAAACTATTTTGTATTATACATGATGGTGGATATATGTCATTATACATTTGTCAAAACCCACAGAACGTAAAACACCAAGAGTAAACCCAAATGCAAACTATGGACATGGGTGATAATAACGAGTCAATGTAAATTCATCAATTCTAAGAAATGTACCACTCTGGTGGAGGATGTTGATGAATGGGAGACAATGTATGTGTAGGGGCAGCAAGTATATAGGAAATCTCTGTATCTACCACTCAATTTTGCTGTGAATCTAAAACTGCTCTAAAAAATAAAAGTCTATTAAAAAATTTCAAAGAACAACAAAAAGAGCTCTTGATAAACAAGATGCAAATCTCCAACCACGGGGAAGTAGAGTATAAGCATTTCCTAAATGTATATAACTAAATTTCCTAAACGTGTGTAAAATCCTTTTATGGAGAGCATTTTGCAGGTCTGGTGTTTCTACCAAACAGACTTTGGAAAATGCCACTGGAGTACTAAATAATTATAATTTAAAAAGCAAGATGGCAAAAATGAAAAACTCAATACAAAGTTTGGAAGATATAGTTGAGGAAAACTTGATGAAAGTTGACCAAAAGGCAAAGAATAGGGGTAAGAACAGAGATACGACTATTACAGAACCAGGTCAAGAGATTCAAAAACTGAATAAACAGGTATGACGGGAGTGAATAGAGAAAAAGAAGTGAAAGAAAATAATTGATTAAAGAATTTTTTTTTCTTTTGAGAGAGAGTCTCACACTATCACCTAGGCTGGAGTGCACTGGTACGATCTTGGCTCACTGCAAACTCCACCTCCTCGGCTCAAGCAGTTCTCATGCCACAGCCTCCTGAGTAGCTGGGACTACAGGCATGTGCCACCATGCCTGGCTAATTTTTGTATTTTTGGTAGAGAAGGGGTTTTGCCATGTTGATCAGGCTGGTCTTGAATTCCTGGCCTCAAGTAATCCGTCCGTCTTGGCCTCCTAAAGTGCTGGGATTACAGGCGTGAGCCACCATGCTCAGCTCATTTTTAAAAATTTTATAAAATAAAAGTGTCCAGTATGGTAGGTGAAAATATATCCAAAGTGAAATTTTAGGGTACTGGGAATTAAGAGAAATTTCCAAGAGAATGAAGAGATTTCATACAAAACTAAATATGTAAATCTAAGAATGATGTACAGAAAACAAAGACCTTGGAAAGAGCAAACAGAGACCCTCACCAAAAAAGAGAGGTGAACAGAATCTCAAGAAACTAAGAAGGCTCCAGGAGAGATTTCTTCTAGAGTATGACATGGATAGAATATAT